>NC_000002.12:55341867-55644897 GCF_000001405.40 Homo sapiens
AACAAGCATGGGAATGCAGATATCTCTTTGATATACTGATTTAATGTCCTTTAGATATATACCCAGGAGCAAAACTGCTGAATGCTATGAGAGTTCTATTTCTAATTTTTTGAGGAACCTCCACACTGTTTTCCAGAATGGCTGAACCAGTTTACATTCCCACCTATTCCATAGAAACTTGAAAGCACAAGTACTGCAAACTTTTATACTAGATGATTATTAAACACACTGGCAGTTAAAAAACTTCTAAGATAGTTTTAACTTTCCTAAGATACGTGGGTTAGAAAATGAGATAGAAAAGTTCTGAAACAAATTTTCTGAAATGAAAAGTGACTTAAAAAATTTTTAGTGCCTTTTATTTCTTCCTTTTTTTCCCAAATTCTGTAAATTTTCTGGAAAGTCCCTTGTATAATTTAAAAAATAAAAACTACATACACCACAGTAAAGCAAATATTCAATTCTACAACACCAGCTAAGATCAATTACAAAACAACAGTGACATAATAATAATGATATTTAATACTTGAATGCTTACTATTTACCAGGCACTATTTAAGGGCCTCACAAATATCAACAATTTAATCCTCAGAAGTCTAGATGATATTCACTATTTTGTCCCCACTTAACAAGTAAGGAAACTCTTAACTAACACAGTAATTCTAAATACCTTTAGTAGAAAACACTTAAGTCTGAATTGCTTTCTTTGTAACTCAATTCACAAGGAATATAATTTTTAAAGTTTCACAAATATCTCAAGTAACACAAGTTCAATCATTGAATATCATAACTTACTCTATAGCCAGTACATGGGGCCCCAGAATTTGGAATTAGGTTTTCAAGTATAAAACAGGAAGAACCTAATTGGTAATCAATAGGATGAATCATCTATAGAGGTAATTATTCTGTAAGCACTGGATTATAAAATCTCAAGAGTTTATGTCTACGTCAACATTATGTCCTTGGTGTCTGGTATAGTATTTTACACATTAGGTGCTTAGTAAATATTTGCTGAAGAAATGCAAGTAGAACAATCTAATACTGGGCAAAACTGAGGAGTTTTGAAACTAGTCTAATTTGAATAAATGTGACCTAACTGGTGAATTTTTTTGTAATTTCAAAAATCCATATTAGCATATCCAAAGCTATAATCCAAACAATTGTACATAATCATGCCCAGCTTTAAGAAAGAGGACAAGTCAATGTGAAGCCCAGGAAAAGAGAGCCAAAAGTTAAAAATTTACCTGGGGGATCTTACATTAGGTCCATAGTATAACCAGGCTGGGCTGGTTGGCAGGTATAATCTTATAATGGAGACTATACATATTACAAGTAGTCATGAAGATCCTTAAATTAACTAATTCTAACTATATTTTCCTCTGAAAATTTGCCCATTATGCTTTAACTTCCTATTTGGGTTTACCTATAGTCAAAGAACATGCTGACCACTAATACGACTTTTCTGTTCTATTTATTAGATGGCTATATTTCTTAAAATACATTAATAAACTGATATTGCAGCCTCTTAGGATATTAACATGAAATAGTGGCTAAGAAACCAATTAAATCTGTTATTGCATTCATGAAATTCAGTTGTAAGACATGTAAAGCTAGGGACCAGACCCAAGAAAATGCAAACAATATATTACTGTGTGAAATCATATCTATGGAGACAGGTAGTCTTCTGAGATATCTCCCACTGCGGAAAATAAAGAACTGCAAGTAAACATAAATACAACTTCATGATTCGATTATCTATTTAAATTAAAAAAATTGGGAATACCTTCGGAAAGTTCACTAGTTCTGGATATCTGTTCCAGTTCCCAGCCAAGATGTAATGATTCATCCATACTTTGTTTCTGTGCCATTTCCAAAGTCATATTTTCTTCCATTAATTCTTCAATCTTTTTTCTATCCATATCTCGTTCCTTTTTTATTGGCAAGGATTAGGGAGAGAAAAAAGCTAAGAAACAGTACAATTTTGAGCAAATACTTTATTTCTCACAACTTTTATTTATCAGAAACTCAGTAATAATTATGAGTTCTTTAAATTTTTCAGTTTTGAAGGCAATTATAATTATTACCGGTCATTATACTGATTAAGTGTCTGACATCCTTTTAAGCTGATCTTTGGGGACACAATGAAAATTCTTCTTCATAGTCAACATACTGTTTTAGTGATACAACAAAAGAATTATGAACCAATGCTAAATTTTAGCAATCAGATTTCTGTATTTTTAAAGACATGTTTACACAATAGCTTATTTATTGTGGTATTAAAAGGTTGAAGACAACATTAGTAAGTAACATGCTTCTGTAACAAAAGCAGAAATTTCTACTACTTTTATATTTATATAAAGTTGGAGGCATCTAATTTATTTAGCTCTCTCTTCTCTGTTAAAGCCTCAAGGACACTAGCCATCCTTGCCAATACAGGGAAATCAGCTGAATCTTAGAAGTTTTCCTTAAAGGCCATGTAACTGATCTACCTCTTAAAACTTACCATTTCCATATCATGAAGTTTAGCTTTCAGTTGTAAGTTCTCTTTTTCTAATTCATGTAATTTATCAGAACGAGCACGAGTTCCCTCTAGTTGGTCTTCCAACATGGTTTTTGTTTCTAATAAAACTTGATTGTCTTCTTTTAATTCCTATAAATGTTTATCACAAATGTGTTAATATCTGTTAATTTTTTAAAGTTATGGAACATACAGATTATCATAAAACATTAAGCCATCTTTATCAACAGTTCTATGCATGAGGAAACCTACTGAGTAATAGAAATACAATTAATGTTTTCTTGGCTTCCTTTTTACCCCAGAATGCAAACAAAACACTCAGTTCTTAAGATATATAATACTACTATAACTTCACATTAAATTGTCGGGGTATATTTAACTTCCTTAGTCACAAGGATAAGGAATTAACTAAGTACAAGGAGTCTTCCAGATATTTAAGATACAATTCTCCATGGAATCAAGGCTTAATGTATTGACTGAAATAGATTTAAATATTTCTCTGTACTTGGAGCTATAACTTGGAAGTGAAGGGCTTGAGGTTTTTGCAGTAAAATACCAAGACTTAAACCAGAACTCACATAAATCATAAACCAAGGCTCTATTAATAAATATTTTATATAAATACACCTTGAGGAAATCCTTAAAAGTCCCTGCATATGTTTTGAAGACAAGTGTTCACAATTCTATCTTGCTAAGTTATATACCTATGGTTTCTAAACTAAAGTCTAGAAAAAGTATACTAAGACAGTGGTATTCATGAGAATCCCTTAACAGTGTCATGCATACACAAGTCTTTAAATAACTGGCAAATAATTAATATGTACTTTATCTCTACAGTCCTATTGGGTCTACTTACTGGTAACCTTTAAGCTAAAATGTTCTAACTACTTTCTCTTATGTTTTCGTTTCTTGATTTTGTATACTCCCTCCTTCTTATCCTAATACTGAAACTGACCAAAATCTCCTGTTTACAGATGAGGAAATTAACTGAGAAAGAAGATACAAGACCTGCCAAATTCTTTTTTTTTGTTTTGTTTGAGACAGAGTCTCACTCTGTCGCCCAGGCTGTAGTGGCGCGATCTCGACTCACTGCAACCTCCACCTCCTCGGTTCAAGCGATTCTCCTGCCTCAGCCTCCTGAGTAGCTGGGCTTACAGGCATGCGCCACCATGCCCAGCTAATTTTTGTATTTTTAATAGAGACGGGGTTTTGCCACACTGGCCAGGCTAGTCTCGAACCCCTGACCTCAGGTGATCTACCCACCTTGGCCTCCCAAAGTGCTGGGATTACAGAAGTGAGCCACTGTGCCCAGCCTGACCTGTCAAATTCCTGTCAAACTCAACTTCATGTAACACTGAACTGTAACTATCAAGTTAGAATATTTTTTTCATTTGTTTGCATATATATAGACTTCATTAATCTTAATTTAGTGATCTCAGTTAAGAAGCAATCTGAAATATGTTTTGCTTTCACTTTTGGAAAAAAGTCTGAAATAGAAGTAAATATTTTGACTACAAGGGAAGGACTTCAAAGGTCTGCTCTATATATGATGCTAAGAAAAGGAATAAAAGAAGAACCCCAGAGTTCAATAAAATTAGTAATATCCATAGATCCCTTTTGTAAAAGTCTAACTAAAAGCAATATGCTAATCTATCATAAAATAAACATACCCAAATGTATTTACTGTTTGTTCACCATTTCAAGAGTTTCTCATGTTTATTAACTGCATTTTAAATGTGTTAAAATTCTAACACAGAAAAAAAAATCATGAATGGTTAATTATGCAACATACCTCAACTCTTGCCTTATAAAATTCAATATCATGTAGTCTCTCTTTATATCTGCTGACTTCACTTTCAAGCTTATCGACTCTGACTGCTTTCTCTCGAAGTGCATCTAATTCATCTCGGTACATTCTGGCAGAGCGAGCATCCGAAAGCAAATTCATGTTCTAAACAAAAATTTAAAATTATATTTTAATTATTTTCTGTTATCAACTTGTTATTCTTTGTTGCACAATTTGAAATTTTATTTATTTATTTATTTATTTATTTGAGATGGAGTTTCACTCTTGTTGCCCAGGCTGGAGTGCAATGGTGCAATCTCAGCTCACTGCAACCTCCGCCTCCCAGGTTCAAGCACTTCTCCTGCCTCAGCTTCCCAAGTAGCTGGGATTAAAAGCTCCCCCCACCATGCCCGGCTAATTTTTGTATTTTTAGTAGAGATGGAGTTTCGTCATGTTGGCCAGGCCAGTCTCAAACTCCTGACCTCAGGTGATCCACCTGCCTCAGCCTCCCAAAGTGCTGGGATTACAGGCGTAAGCCACCGCACTCGGCTGATAAATTTACTTTAAAAATCAAAAAAGTACATACTTTAAAATGGTGAATTTTATGGTATGTAAATTATATCTAAATTTGTTTTTTAAATGGGGAGATATAAACTTTTTTTCCATTATCGTGGATATGTTACTAAAATTTTTTTAAAACCTTTTTAAAAAAATCGAAGTATTTTAAACATATATATACATTTATGCTCATATTTTTTAAATATCATGCTATCTGTCAGGAATGTAAAAAATATTCAGGATATTTTAAAATAAGTTAACATCTATGTAACAACCATTTGCAATTAATTTATGGTGAAAAAGTTAATTTTAAAATAAAAGATGGTAAAAATACAGAAAAGGCAAACAATATTACTAAAATAAATCATTAATTACTGTATAGAAGTAAAGTTTCTATAGATATGTTGTGATATACCAAAATCTTGCTGACATTTTTTTAATGCTTCCAAGTAAAATCATTAGTGCATACGTTAATGTCATTTGAGACAAATATTAAAATCCAACCTTTTAAAAGCCTTATTGTAATCCTTTAGGATAGTAGTTCTTAAAGTGTAATCCAGGGTCTTCTGTGGACCCTGAAACCTTTTCAGGGAGTTCAGGAGGTCAAAAGTATTTTCATAATAACCTAAGACATTATTTGTCTTTTTCACTTTCATTCTCTCATGAGGGCAGAGTAAAGTTTTCCAGAGGCTACATGGTGTGTGACATCTTAACAGACTAAATGCAGAAACAGCTATGAGAATATAGTAGTAGTAATCTATTAAGCAAGGTATTAAAGAGATCTGCAAAAATGTAAAATAGTACCATTCTTTTAATTATTCTTTGTTTTGGAAAATAACGGTTATTTCATTAAAATACCTATGTTATCTATTCATCTACCTTTTTTTTTTTTTTTTTTTTGAGACAGAGTCTCACTCTGTCACGCAGGCTGGAGTGCAGCAGTGGCACAATCTCAACTCACTGCAACCTCCACCTCCCAGGTTCAAGCGATTCTTGTGCCTCCGCCTCCCAAGTAGCTGGGATTACAGGTGTGCACCACCACACCCAATTAATTTTTGTATTTTCAGTAGAGACAGAGTTTCGCCATGTTGCCCAGGCTGGTCTTCAATTCCTGGCCTCAAGTGATCTGCCTGCCTTGCCCTTTCAAAGTGCTGGGATTACATGTATAAGCCACCATGCCCAACCTAGTTATTTATTTTAGAGATGGAGTCTAACATGGAATGGGTTAATTTTTTAATGACTTTTTTTTTTCCTTTGAGACAGGGTCTCACTCTGTCACCCAGGCTGATCACTGGCACATTCACAGCTCACTGCAGCCTCGACCTCCCAGGCTCAAGTGATCTTCCCACCTCAGTCTCCCAAGTAGCTGGGACTACAGGCGAGTGCCCCATTACGTGCAGCTAATTTTTTCATTTTTTTGTAGCGATGAGGTTTTGTCACGTTGCCCAGGCAGGTCTTTAACTCCTGGGCTCAAGCAACCCACCTGCCTTGGCCTCCCAAAGTGCTAGGATTATAGGCATGAGCCACTGCGCCCAACCCAAGTGACTTAATTTTTTTTTTTTTTTGAGACGGAGTCTCGCACTGTTGCCCGGGCTGGAGTGCAATGGCGTGATCTCGGCTTGCTGCAACCTCCACCTCCCGGGTTCAAGCGATTCTCCTGCCTCAGCCTACTGAGTAGCTGGGATTACAGGTGCCCACAATCACGTCCGGCTAATTTTTGGTATTTTTAGTAGAGACAGGGTTTCACTACGTTGGCCAGGCTGGTTTCGAACTCCTGACCTCTTGATCCACCTGCCTCAGCCTCCCAAAGTGCTGGGATTACTGACGTGAGCCACCGCACCTGGCCAGACTTAAGTTTTTAAAACTTCATAGTTTTAGTTTCTAATATGGTAAATACCAATAGATATAATCCACATTAAACCAATCCTCATTAATTTTTAACAGTGGTGAGGAGGCTTGAGACCAAAAAGACTGCTTTAGAGAGAACCTTTAGAGAAAACTACTGCTTTAGAGAGAACCAACACACGTAAAAAAAACCCTGCTGCCAACAAGTAGAAAAGCAACCCCAGCATGTCTAGAAATAAAGACTATGAAGCCCAGTCTCATTTATCTATGAAGGTCCCAGTTTATGATCCTACAATTACAGTATTCCCTGCATCTAAAGTCAGGTATGGGGAAGTTAAGGGAAGAAACAACTATCCAGCCTTATCCTAATCCTTAGCACTTATGGATTAAAGAGCTCATACACTAACCCCAAAT
The DNA here is from genome assembly GCF_000001405.40 of Homo sapiens. Lineage (NCBI taxonomy): Eukaryota > Metazoa > Chordata > Mammalia > Primates > Hominidae > Homo > Homo sapiens. Next base: position 55,348,986 of record NC_000002.12, read on the forward strand.
AAAAATGAAACATTAGAGTGATTGTAAAAGTGAACTATTAATTACTCTTGGTTTAAGGTGAAAAAAGAAGAAGCTGCTGTAAAATAAAGATACTTTTTAAAAAGTTTTAATCTTATTTAATAGGAAAAGTGAAAAAAATCAAAAAACATTCTATTACATATGAGTTAGCATAAAGCACTATCAGGGAGCAGAGACACAGAGAGATACACATAAAGAGCACAGTTTACAGTAGAGGTGTTCTAGCTTCCAAGGCCACAGAAGCCAAACACATCAAAAAGAAAAATGTGGAACTACCTCAGTCCTAAGTAGCTCTTTTGAATCTTAGCAGAGTTTGAACAGCATTAATATGGAAGAAAGTTTGGCTCTGACATTTTTGAAGAGAGAGACTCTGAAAAAGTCATCCAATCTCTTGAAGCCTCAGGAACCTCTTTTATTTACATAAAGCATTGAAGTAAAGGTTATAAATTACAAGGAAGAAAATCAATTTCCAATTACTTGGTGGTCCTAAATAACAGATATTCCAGGTACAAACCTCTTGTTGCAGCCTTTTGAGTTCTATTTCCATTTGCTCAAGTTCTTGTTTACAATCCAACAACTGCTCAGTCTTTTCCTCCCTTAAATGCAAAAATATATTCATTAAGTATACTATTTTTGAAAACTGTGATCATCATCTGCGTTAATATAAATGTATCATCATCACTAAATAACTAGTTGGACATAGTATTAGCCATAACCCTAATCTAGAAGATAAAAAAAAAAAGATAGATATTAGGAATTTATATAATTAGATGCCATTAATAAAACCTCTTCCCTAATGTTTTCCAAAGGCTAATGTTCTCATAGTATGTAATACAGTTTTTCTCTTTCTCTCTTTTCATCTTTCCTGCCCTTCCATTTCCACTCTTCTTTCTCTCTTCCTCACTCTCTGCAGTCACAGACAGTTAAGCTAAGAATTTTTTTTGAGACGGAGTCTGGCTCTGTCACCCAGGCTGGAGTGCAATGGCGCAAACTTGACTCACTGCAACCTCTGCCTCCCAGGTTCAAGCAATTCTCCTGCCTCAGTAGCTGGGATTACAGGCGCCGGCCACTATGCGGGCTAATTTTTTTATTTTTAGTAGAGACGGGGTTTCACCATGTTACTCAGGCTGGTCTCAAATTCCTGACCTCAGATGCCACCCGCCTTGGCCTCCCAAAGTGCTGGGATTACAGGCGTGAGCCACCGTGCCCAGCCTAAGCTAAGAATTTTTATGCAAGGCAGTTCTACCTGTGTCTAAGATTTGTAAGGGTCTCCAACTATTTTCAACATTTACAATGGCTGAAAGGAAATTACATACTTCCAATTGCCATATGATACTAAAATCTTTACTTCGCTATTGGTTTCTGCCCTGTAGCCTATAAACATCCTCAAATTTCTTCTATTAGTTTTTCTCTTAGAATTGCTTTACTTCTAATCTCCCATTTTCTCTCTCTCCTTCACAGTCAAGCTCCTTAAAATAAGCCTCCACTTACTATCTCTACTTTTCTACCTTCTGTTCTTTAATAATAAAGTAAATGTTCACTGTATAGAACTTATTGTTCTCATCTCGTGCCCTTACATTTTTCAAAACCATTATATATTAATATATATTATAAAATATAATGTGTATATTATTTAAAATATATTATTAAAATATATGTATGTATATATTTTAAGAGACAGGGTTTCACTCTGACGCCCAAGCTGGAGTGCAGTGGCATGATCACAGCTCACTGCAACCCTGAACTCCTGGACTCAAGTGATCCTCCTGCCTCAGCGTCCGGAATAGCTGGGACTATAGGCATGTGCCACCACTTCTGGCTAATTTTTTGTAGACACGGGGTCTCACTCTGTTGTCCAGGGTGGTCTTGAGCTCCTGGCCTCAAGCAATCTTCCTGCCTCAGCCTCCCAAAGCACTGGGATTACCGGCATGAGCCATGGTGCCCAGCCCAAAACCATAATTTTTAATGGTAGAAAAATATTCCCTTTGCTAGAGAAACCATACTTTACTAAGTGGATTCCATTTTTCATTGTACTATATAATCTTTTAGTAAATAAGCTCATTACTATACATAAAATCCTGTGTATTTCAGGATAGTTTTCTTTTTCTTTTCTTTTTTAAGAGAGAGGATGTCACTATGTTGCCCAGCCTTGCTTTGAACTCTTAGGCCCAAGAATTCCACCTCAGCCTCTTAAGTAACTGGGACTACAAGTGCACACTGCTGTGCCTGGCTTTTAGGACAGATTTCTAAAAGTGCATTACAAGTTAAAAGGCATTTGAAACACATTAAGTATCCCTTTTCTGAACTGCTTGGGACCCAGAAGTATTTAGAATTTTTTTCAGGTTTTTTTTTTCCTCCATTTGAGACAGAGTCTGACTCTGTTACCCAGGCTAGAGTGTAGTGGTGCAGTCCCAGCTCACTGCAGCCTTGACCTCCTGGTTCAGGTGATCCTCCTGCCTCAAGCTCCCACGTAGCTGGGACCACAGGCACATGCCACCACACCCCTAATTTTTAAAAATTATTTGTAGAGACGGGTCTCCCTGTGTTGCCCAGGCTGGTCTCAAACTCCTGAGCTCAAGCAATCCTCTTGCCTCAGCCTCCCAAAGTGCTGGAATTATAGGCGTAAGCCACCATGCCCTGCCTCATTTTAACCATTTTTAAACATATAATTCAGCAGCATTAATTATGTTCACAATGTTGAATGTTGGCCATTCATCTGTTAACATGCAGAATTCAAAACAGATGTCTACAGAAAAACATGCACCTGAATGTTCATAGCAGCATTATTCATAATAGCCAAAAACTGGAAAGAATTCAAATGCCTGTCAACCAAAAAATGGCTAATCAAAATGCGGTATATCCATTCAGTGGAATATTACTCAACTCTAAAAAGAATAAAGTATTGATACATGCTACAACATGGATGAACCTGGAAAACGTTATGCTAAATAAATGAAGCCAGTCACAAAAGGCACGTATTGTATGATTCCATTTATACAATAAAATGTCCAGAATAGGCAAAGTCATGGAAACAGAAAGCAGACTAGTGATTGCCAGGAGCTGAGGGCAAAGGGGGACAGACAGTGACTGTTACTGAATATGGGGTTTCTTTTTGTGGTGATGAAAATGTCATGAAATTGGTGTGTGGGCTGGGCACAGTGGCTCACTCTTGTAATCCCAGCACTTTGGGAGGCTGAGGCAGTGGATCAGAAGGTCGGGAGCTCAAGACCAGCCTAACTAACAAAGTGAAACCCTGTCTCCACTAAAAATACAAAAATTAGCCAGGCGTGGTGGTGCATGCCTGTAATCCCAGCTACTCAGGAGGCTGAGGCAGAATCGCTTGAACCCAGGAGGCAGAGGTTGCAGTGAGCCGAGATCACGCCATTGCACTCCAGCCTGGGCAACAGAGTGAGACTCCATCTCAAAAAAAAAACACACAAAAAAACACAAAAAAACAAGAAATTGGTGTGTGATGACTGTACAACTCTATGAATAAACTCTATGAAAAAAACCACTGAATTGTTCACTCTAAAAGGATGAATTTTCTGACCTGCGAATTATATCTCAATAAGTCTTTTATTTTTTTGAAAAATAATGAATAGTTTATATTAGAAAAATTATTTCAAAACATGGGATTTATGGAGGCAGAGTTAAAGGGAGTCTTTGGTAGTATTAACTACTGCATAAAAGTGAAATTGCTATTTTAAATTTAAAAATTACTTTTTTCACTCATATCACAAATTATACTTTTACTCTATATGTTTATAAATCAAAAGCAATTATATCATAATGTACTGCCCCATAAATGAGTATGCTGTTAATTTGCACTTTCTGATTGTAATTACTTATTGTATAGTTTCCATTTGGTATAAGGCAACCTGCTGTTTTTGTCTACCATGATTTCTGCACTTCATTCACTTTAGTAGAGATCTGTCCCAATAAAAAGAACTAATAGGAGATTTACTTCTTTTTAATAATAGAAGAAATCCATAAAGAAACACATTTTCAAAGGGCAATGAAGATATTAGATGGTATTTGTTGAAAAGCTAGTTACCGGGAATACTAGTTACAATACTGGCACATTTATTTACCCATTAAAAATATCCATTTACATTTTCTAATCAGTATTAGAAAACCAAATTTCATCAATCTCCTCAAGTTGTTTGGAATTTTAATATACTCTATGTCCAAGTAAATTTTATTTAAAAATTAAATTTGAACACAGTGCAAAACCTTAAACGAATTCACAGCCATCATTACGGTTCTAATTGCATGCTTTATCTAAAGACTGGAGAAGATTGTGCTAAATTATATGGAGCAAACTAGTGTTCACTATTTAGACTATCCATTAACTGCCAGTCAAACTAATAACAGCAATCTCTTCCCTAATTTTCCTGGTGCAGCTGTTTATAGAATATCCTGGGCGTGTTCATTTCAATAGATACATAATAATGCAGACATCCACAAATGAAAGCTGTTATTTTTTATTTTCAAATTTTCCTATGGACTGTAATATTTTTTCTACCTTGCATATTCAATCACTTTCTTTAACTACTTTAAATAATCAGTAAATAAATTTAATTGCTACACTGTGGTTTTAAATTTAAAATCTATATTCTGAAGCTCAAATTCCAAGAAACCAAACCAAAAAAAAAAAAAAAAAAAAGCCCCCACAACAAAAATCCTTTGTTCTTTTAAAAGTACAAAATAAAAACAAATCTCCAGCAGAGACTGATCACATCTTTACTTGTGGTTCACCAAGGAATGCCTATGTAACATTTACACTTACTTTTCTGTAATGGTCTTAAAATTAAGAAAATACAATTTCATCAGTACTAACCAAATCTGAATGCAGTCATGCATTGTTTAAGTATGGGAATACACTCTAACGAGTTAGGCGATTTCATCACTGGGCAAACATCACAGAGGATATAGTACTTACACAAATCTAGATGGTAATAGCCTACTATATACCTAGGCTATATGGTATAGCCTATTGCTTCTCAAACTTATACAGCATGTGACAGTACTGAATACTGTAGGCAACTGTAACACAATGGTTAAGTATTTGTGTTTTTAAACATATCTAAACATAGGAAAGGTACAGTAAAAATAAGGTATAAAAGATAAAAAATGGTACTTTTTTTTTTTTTTTGAGACAGAGTCTCGCTCTGTCAGCCAGGCTGGAGTGCAGTGGTGTGATCTTGACTCACTGCAACTTCCACCTCCTGGGTTCAAGCGATTCTCCTGCCTCAGCCTCCCAGGTAACTGGGACTACCACCACGCCTGGCTAATTTTTGTATTTTTAATAGACACAGGGTTTCACCATGTTGGCCAGGCTGGTCTTGAACTCCTGACCTCAAGTGATCCACCTGCCTCGGCCTCCCAAAGTGTTGGGATTACAGGCATGAGCCACTGCACCAGCCATGTTTTTAATATAATAAACTTTAAAATTTTTAAACTTAACTCTTTTATAATAATGTTTAGTAACGTTTAGTTTAAAACATAAACACATTGTACAACTGTACAAAAATATTTTCTTTCTTTATATCCTTATGCTTTTTTTCTTTCTTTTTTTGAGACAGAGTCTCGCTCTGTCACCCAGGCTGGAGTGCAGTGTCACCATCTCGGCTCACTGCAACTTCCACCTCCCTGATTCAACCAATTCCCCTGCCTCAGCCTCCCGAGTAGCTGGGATTACAGGCGCACCCCACCATGCCCGGATAATTTTTTTGTATCTTCTAGTAGAGACGGGGTTTCACCATGTTGGCCAGACCGGTCTTGAACTCCTGACCTCAGGCAATCCGCCCGCCTCAGCCTCCCAAAGTGCTGGGATTACTGGTGTGAACCACCGCGCCTGGCCTATATCCTTACTCTATAAGCATTTTTCTTTTCTTTTTTTACTTTTAAACTTTTTTGTTAAAAACCAAGACACGCACTAGCCTATGCCTACACAGGGTCAGGAACATCAAGGCATTACTAGATGATAGGGATTTTTCAGCACCATTGTAATGTTACAGGACCACCATCATATATGTGGTCCATTGTTAACTGAAATGTCGTTATGTGGCACATGACTGTATTTACCTTTACTAAGTACGTAACTCAGGCATTTCAATGCAAGATACATATACAAAACTATTTTTTGTTAATAGTATAATGCGAAGAACTCAGTCTTTTAAAACATTAAATTTTGGGGGGCAGAATAGGTGTAAAACATTAATTTTAAAAGAGTTATTAGACTTATTGATCTCCATCAGTAGTTCCTAGTAATTTGGATTTCAAGGAATGTAAAGACAAAAAACTAAGAGCCCCAATTTGCCAAATGAGGACATTATTTTATTTAAAAAAATACATACTAGAATGCTAGAAAGGCCATAAATCCAGAATAAAAGGCATCCTTTAAACTGTTAAGATTTAACAATAGGAAAACCTTATGCCAACCTCCTTATTTTTCTCATTTACTTGTGAAAACACTGACACAAGCTAGCAATATTTCCATAAGCTTAAAAATATTGTTTAGGTCACCTTTGGGACCATATAAATTCAATGAACCTCAAAAATCAGCAACTTACAATTCCTGCCTAAGCCTTCTTATCTTGGCTTTAGCATCTGCCAGTTCCACCGACAGATGTTGTCGACTTTCTGTTCGCTTCATGCCTGGAGAACCACAGGGTGACTGTGCAGATGAAGAGGCATGGGGTAGAAAATGGAGACCATCCCGCTCTTCAGAGAGTTCTATGATAGTCTAGAAATACACACAGAATCACTTTCAGTATTCTACATATTAGCAAACTAAACACATCAACATGATCCACTAGGTCTAAGAATTGTACTGCCATATCAAAAACAATTCACTGGTCAAAAACATCTTAACTATCATATTTAGTTGTCATTCTTAACTTTCATTCAACAGTTCATGCATGGGCTACTTAGCAAATGACACTTAACAAGATAATAATGCTTTTCCCTTCCTAGTTTTTTATTTATTTATTTATTTATTTTTAAAGTTCTGGGGTACACGTGCAGGGTATGCATGTTTGTTACATAGGTAAATGTGTGCCATGGTAGTCTGCTGCACCTAAAAACCCATCACCTAGGTATTAAGCCCAGCATGCATTAGCTCTTTTCCCTAATGTTTTCCCGACCTGGCCTCCCCTGACAGGCTCCAGTGAGTGTTGTTCCCCTCCCTGTGTCCGTGTATTCTCATTGTTCAGCTTCCACTTATAAGTGAGAACCTGTGGTGTTTGCTTTTCTCTTCCTGCATTAGTTTGCTGAGGATAATGGCTTCCAGCTTCATCCATGTCCCTGCAAAGGACATGATCTCATTCCTTTTCATGGCTGCATAGTATCCCATGGTTTATATGTAACACAGTTTCTTTATCCAATCTATCATTGAGGGCATTTGGGTTCATTCCATGTCTTTACTATTTTTCCCTTCCTAGTTTTTTTAACAAAAGAAATCAATTATGATGAAAATGATTAGATTAGACAGCCAGTGTTGGAAAGGCATAAAAGACCTGTTGACACAGAAAAGAAATAAACCCAAAAGTGATTTGGCCAGAACTATGTTGTCCAATGTAACAGCCAGTAGCATAGGTGGCTATTTAGTTAAAAATTTTTTAAGTTAAAAATTCAGTTCCGGGCCGGGCACAGTGGCTCACACCTGTAATCCCAGCACTTAGGGAGGCCGAGGAGGGCAGATCATGTGAGGTCAGAAGTTCAAGACCAGCCTGACCAACATGGTGAAATCCCACATGTACTAAAAATACCAAAAAATTAGCTGGGCATGGTGATGCGCACCTGTAATCTCAGCTACCCGGGAGGCTGAGGCAGGAGGTTACAATGAGCCAAGATTGCTCCACTGCACTCCAGCCTGGGTGACAGAGTGAGACTTCATCTCAAAAAAATAAAATAAAATAAAATTCAGTTCCTTAGTCACACTAGCCACATTTCAAGTGCACACAGTCATTACTGTATGCACTGGGACAGCCCAGAAATACAATCTTGGACAGCCCAGGAATACAATCTTGCCATCACTGCAGAATTGGACAGCACTGTTCTTGAATTATGAACAACGGTTCTTGGAGGGTCCTAACAATACCTCAAAGGTTTAGCTCAATCTCTTTACTCTGCAGTAAGTAACTGAGGCACAGTGATTGATTTCTCCATAATCACACAACTAGCTAATACACCATGACTCCAGGCCAGTCTAACTCCACATCTTATGCTCTAATAGTAGTTCCAATCTGCTTCCTATCTCAAAGATAGATTCCTTCCTTCCTTCTGCTTCCCATCTCAAAAATTCCTTCCTTCCTTCCTTCCTTCTTTCCTTCCTTCCTCCCTCCCTCCTTCCCTCTCTATCTCTCTCTCCCTCTCTCCCTCCTCTCTCTCCTCTCTCTCTTTCTTTCCCCTCCATGGGACACAAACCTCCCTTTCATTTTCCTAAGTCTAAACTTTAAGGGCTATAGGTACCTATTCCTCCATTCCCCTAATTTTCCTTTTGTTATCTGTAAATTCTCTTACTCTAAACCAATTTCTCAGGTTTTTCTTTCAAACTTCTCAGGCAAATAAACTGTCTTACATAGCAATTTCAGCTGTACTACTATTCTAGAAAGAATGGGTGGGGTTTACCACCTTGGGATCATGAAATAAGCATCCTTGCTTTATTTCTCATCGCCAAGTCTTATCTGCCTTCCCTGAATCATTACTTTTTCTTTTTTCAACATCTACCAGAATTCATTTCTTTATCCTCACAATACATTTCAGCACCTGTATCAAGGTCTGTCTTACCTTCCTGCCAGTAACTATTGCTTTCCGATTCCAGTATGTCTGTTGATGAACCTCAGAATGTTACCTCCCATTTTTCTCCCTACTAATTTCATGTCCACTCCTTATTCAATACATACAGTTTTCTCCAGCAAACAAAGCAATTCTTCTATTGTAGCACGCCTCCTTTACTATCATTTTCCTATGTCACCATATCTACTCCTGAACCTTTAATCACTCAACTCCTCCCCGCTTTTACTCAGTCCAAGAGATTATTCCTGGCTACTTTAGAGTTCCTACTCAGCCTGGAATTATAATTAAGCCCTTAAATGTCATCCTTACTGTGCTGTTACTGACTCACTCTTTGAAGAAAAAGAAAAAGGAATTAACATTTATAGAACTTGTGAGGGATTTTCCAACATGATCTCATCCAATACTATAATTTGCAATAGAGGTATTATGCCAGTTTTAGACATGATAAAACTTAGGCTCATATGGATTAAATAACTTAACCAAAGTCACCCAACCAATGATATGGATAGCAGAGATTCAAATTCAAGTTTGACTCTATCGCTGTTATCCTCCTGGTCCACCATCAGTTTTCTCTATTTTTGCTCCAAGATGATAAAGCTCTAACAGAAAAACAAGAAGTTACACAGTCCTACTACAGATCTTGCTATCCATTTTCAATCAAACTCTCTCTACTGCCCATCTATCCTTTTATTGAAATCTTGCTGATTTCCTTTCAAATTTCCCTATGATGACTATGTAAATGTTACCTTTTCTCTACTTAAGCCTCCAACTGCAAACTGCTATCATTACTTCCAGTAAATGACCTCTCCTCCAATTTGCCAAAGAAACAAAACCACGTGGGATTAACTCCTTTATTCTTATGCATTTTTTTGCTCCTAATAGATAATCCTTACTTAAACATTTCCATTTCTTTCTTCTTATTGGCTTTTTTCTCTATGTTCTTCAAAGATATACAAGTTTCTTCAACCCAGGGAAAAAAAAAATCACAATCCCTTCTTGGCACTTTTTGAAGGATGGTTCCTCTGTCCAAGGACACTATTCAGTTCTATCCCTCTATCAGCATGCTCATCCCAACTTCCCTATCTCTCTGTGAGTAGTGTTATTAATCTCCATAGTAGCCCAGGCTCCACATACTTGGAGTCAACTTTTATTTGTGTATTTTCTTACTGTCTCAATTATCTTTAATCTTGCTTTCTAACATCTCCTGACTCTAACAAAGCTGACAGATAATAGTATTTAATATTTGTCTCATGCACAAATAAACTAGCACTTAATTATATGCTAGCTCATATTTTGTACTTACAAATAATGTAGTTTTCTCAATAAACCAGATACAATCTTTCTTACACCTCCTTTGTATCTCTCAATCTCTAATTTTATCTAGCATAGTATTTTACACAAAAATGGGTGCTCAAAAATATTCAATTAAGCAATTCACAAAATTAAGAACAGGAGAAAATACAGAAGACAGATACTACATTTGAACTTAGTAGGTGGTGAAATGGAGATATCTATCAAGAGCTTCTAGAAGTCAATGAACTACATATTACAAAATATTAAAAAGAAAGAAAGAAACCTGGTATTTTAAAAGTTAAGAGTTCCCAGAGTATTTTCCATTAAAGATTATTTAGATATTTTGACATTTCTCTAATGGCAGTAACTTCTTGAGTTCAAGGCTTCCTATACATTTTCAAAATAGTCTGACTCAAAAACAAACAAAATAATCTGACGGGAAATGTTTTTAAAGCATAACGAATTTCGTATGCCCCCCCATTCCTGTAGCATATATATAAGAATATATATAGAAATATATACTATATGCTATAGGAATATATATAAAAAATGATATATATCATTTTTGTACTTATCACTTTCAAAATTTTATTATAGTTATTTTATTAAAATAACTTCCTTATTAGACTATAACAATCTTTGGTTCTTTTTTGAAATAGTTTGTCAGTTTTTTGCTCCCAAGCACAAGACCTTGCAAAAACCAGGTGTTTCTTAATTTATACTGAAGAATGAACATAAAAAGATACATCAATGCTAACAACAAAAACAGGTGACCTATTAATTCTACTTGTAGAACTCATTATTAAGGAAAAGAAATTAGAGATGTGCTCAGTACAATCATGGATTTAGGCAAAGGTATTACAGTATTATGTTTCTAACCATGGGCAGTGGAGTTAGATCTGGCAAGTTACTTAACTACTTGGGGCTCAAGTATCTTCATCTATAAAATGGGGTTTTCATGCAGATTTAATAAAACAGTATGTGTTAAACTTGTAGCACAAAGTGCATAAAATAAATAGTGATAATAAAGAGATCTTAAATTCATTAAAAATCTATTTGGGTTTTAGTAAAAGGAGAGGACTGAAGACATACTTGTTCTATAGCATTAAGAATACGAAAGAGAAATGTTAAAAAGGGTGACCAAATATATACTTTTTAGACTGAAGTGAAACAATTATAACAAAAGCTAATCAAAACAAAAAAAGTTAAAGAGAAACTCTAAATAACAACTTGTTTCAATCTAATTGAATGACATAGAATTAGATTTACATACTACCTTTACATTTGTCTAACATTTTTCACAATTTTTTAAATGACCTTTTCAAGTTAGTCTACTGGTAGCCCAAATTGAGGGAAAAAAATTTCCCGGATAACTGGATATCTCTCCTCCACCCTCTCCCAGCTAGCAAGTTGTTTCCCAAGTATCTGAGACAGAAGAGTATGACCACTTTTTCTTCCTTATTTGAAAAAGAAATTCAACAAAAATGCTTAATTGGCAGGATAACACATTTTAAAAGGTTTTTCAAACAATCATTCTATATAGTATTTCATATTCCTTTTAGTTTACCAGAGGCATGTAATGATAAGTATTCTGTTCACCCCATATTAATCAATTCACTTAAATGGGATCAAACTTTTTTTTTGAGATGTCCAGCCTGAGATCAAACATTTTATACGCACCCATCAGTCATACAAAACCAAAGCATAGGTTGGGTGCAGTGGCTCACACCTGTATTCCCAGCACTTTGGAAGACCGAGGAGGGAAGATTACCTGAGGTCAGGAGTTAAGAGACCAGCCTGGCCAACATGGCCAAACCCTGTCTCTACTGAAAATACAAAAATTAGCCATGCGTGGTGGCGCGTGCCTGTAATCCCAGCTACTTGGGAGGCTGAGGCAGAATTGCTTGAACCTGGGAGACGGGGGTTGCAGTGAGCCGAGACCACACCACTGCACTCCAGCCTGCACAACAGAGCCAGACTCCATCTCAAAAAACTTTAAAAAGTAAAATAAAATATAATAAAATAAAACCAAAGTATAGATTTTTAGGAATAATTCCTCAGAAACTGGAGGATACCTTATTGTAATATCTTTAACAACTTGAAATACAAATAAATAAATGTTCTAGAGAACGCATAAATCAGTAAAAAGACACTAAAAAAAGATAGCATAGAGTTAAAAAATCTGATTGAAAATGAAATGATCTAAGTATCTCAGGATAAATTTGATGCATAGTAGGAATGTTTTCCAATTTATTCTTTCCTTCCTTTGGTCTCAAAGTCCTAGCTTTTTAAAAAATTTAATTGTTGCTCTAAAAATGTTTATTTTGTATATTTTCTTTTTGTTTAATGCCTGAAGAAAAATTGAAAATTCACATCAGAACTGACTAACCCCTAGAGAGACAAGAAAGTTTTATTCTGAAAAAAATCTTTAGGAATTTTCTCTATGTAGTCTTTCATTGGTCTCAAGAGTATTGATACAAATTCTCTATAAATAAGCTCAAAACTGTCTCTCACATGTAAACGAAACTGATAAAAGCTATATATTCTGCAGAATGGCAGAGTACTTTGCTCTGCTATTAAGAAAATATTACCCACCACCACACGCACTAAAGTCTAGACTCTTTAAAATTATAAACTGCTTTCAGACAGTGCAGATAGAAAACTTGGTACACTGTGACTCTTTTTAAAAAGCAAAGCTCTGTTTTAACGGACTTAAAATAATTCTCTTTTTAAAATCACACCTCATTTGAGATCTTTTTTGGGACATTTTATTCAGAACACCTGTTATTCTCCTTTTATTAAAACTTACTTTTCCAACCTCAACATGTGGCAATAAAACTACGAAATTAGCCTTAAGCAAATTCTTATGCTTCACGGCAATGATTTTTCCACTTACATCAACTATATTTTCAGTTTCACACTTTTGTATTGTTGCCAAAGCTGTGGGGATGACTTGAAAAACACACAGGAAGAAAATCAGAATAATACTAATTTAAAAGAAAAGGAGAAGAGAAAACCTAACTGCAATCTGTTTACTAGCAATTTGGGGTTCTTATACATCCTTTCAGGTTCCTGTGTTCCACACAAAAAAAGACACTCCTGTATCACCTGTCTCTAAGAAATAGTATCGTTTCTGAAAAGTTCCTAAAGCTACTATTTTCTTTTTTGGAAAGCAAACTTTCACAATATACTGAAAGAATTTTACAAACCTCTGAATGTTCATCTCTCTCATCTATAAGTCTTTTTAGATGCAATGCCATATTTTTCAAGAGTGGTTCTATGTCCTCCTGCGACATATCAGTCACTTCCATCCATTGCAGGTCAAACACATTTTCCTGATTATGAGTTACCTTTAGAAAAGTGACCAAAATAAACAACCAAAAAAGTGGCTAATACTTAAAAATCTATTTCACTATAGTACAATATTAGCCCAAGTATTATATAACCCATATAAAATATGAAAAGCCAATATGATGTTAAAAGGAGAACATTTGAAATGATAAAAACACTACAAATAAAAATTATTTTAACTAAATATAAACCTTAAATGAATTAATATTCATTTTCTAGTCAACAAAAATAAAATATTAATATTTAACTCAAGGCATTCTTAAAGGAAAGTAATGTTGATATATCCTGATGACTTCTTTAACAAAATCAACTGAATTCTGTAGATAAGACTTCTAATTTATTGTACTTGAATTCAAGAGCAAAAGGTTTTTAATCTTGTAGGATATATGTTATTGCATTGTTGTTACTGAATATCTAGGTCTTTATAGATTCTGAAGATGACACTGTCACAGAAGCTTAGGAGAAAGGATTACCAATATAAAGATCTTGAAAAGAATGGAAAAGTTATATAAGTGCCTTCCATTTCTCAGTGTAATTCTAATAACTTGCTTTAACTTTCATAACAAACAGCAAAAATAATTACACTTCCAAGGATGGTGGCAAATTCAGTAACTTGCAATACTTAGCATTTATTCAGAATAAAACAAATCCATATAACTAGCATAAAGCAAGTATGTCTCTATAATGGGAGACTACCTATAAAACTACATCTTGTAAAGTACTAATATGCTTATTGTTGATAATAATGTTACTGATAAGAAATCTGGGCTTTACAAATGCTAAATAAGAGAAAAGATGTCCTATGGAACACAAAAGTCTTTTGAACAAAGAATATTTTAAATACTACCAATTTTCACTATAAAAAATTTTCTTTTCCCTTTTCTAATCAACATGTAAAATTTAACATACTAATTCTAAAGTGTCTTTATAAGATTAAAAGCCCAAGAATAGACAGACATAGAAACAGCAGCTTTTAAAATGAATCTTAACAAATTTTAATTTCAATTATTTGACACTGCACAATATGCCCTAGACTTAAGTTTTTATATGAATGCTACAAATCATTAATGTGTTTATAATTCAAGTAATATCTTTAATAAAAATTATGCATCTATTCTTTCAAAAGAAAATCAATGGAATAATACTAAGCTTGTCATCTTACCTCACTATCGTTTTGAATTACAAGCAGTGTTCCACTTTCTGCTGTTTCCATTTACTGCTTTGTAATCCATTCTAACAAAGACATATACCTCATTCCTCAAATAACACTTTCTGCCTATGTCACTATAGAATAAAGGCAAGAGTATATTTGTAGTTAACAGTGTGCCAAGTGTAAGAAACTATCTCTAAAGAGAAGACAATTTGTATAAAAGCAGGGTCCATCTATATTTGTTGATTTGTTCTTGCTTATTCTATGACTTTGAAGTATTTTAGGAGATAGACAAATAAACACACCACAAGCTTCATAAATAGCACGTAAAATTGTATATATGTCATTACCTCTTGAATATGTGCGGCAACCGCTGCTTTTGTATCAAAATCTAAACCTTGAATTCTTTCAATAAATTCCTCTTTTTTCTGACACTAAAATAAATGAATAAAATAGTTATTCATACTTTATAGGGTATGGTCCTTAAAATGTTATATATAACTAAAACTTTATGAGGTTTGCTATATTTTGAAAAGTATAGTAAGAGTTTTGTTTTGCATTTAAATTGTCCAACATACTTACCTAATAAACAACAATTTAGAAATAATTATTTTAAAAAGCAAGGCACTGAAAATCCATACTATTTTTATGCTGGAAAGTTCTAAAGTGGGAAACCATTACACAACCCATCTGAGGTTAGCACAATATTATTATGCTAACTTTACACACAGAGAAGTAAAGAATCAAGAACTTGTTTCAGTGAGGATAAGTTACTTGCCAAAAAACACAGTGAGTCAGTGGCAGAATTCGGAATACAGCCAAAATGCTCAGTCAGTCCCTGACTATTACCAAACAACACAGCCTTTCTTCTTGGAAAAAAAATTTAAGCAATTTTTACTTCAAGCTTACAATTCATTCTCACATCTTCATCCTATCAAGCTTAATAAAAGAAACCCACTTTTGTGGCCCAGTTCAACATTTATAACATAATCTAATAAATATTTGATTTGTTTCTAACAGAGCAAAGTTACCAGAGGCAAACTTAAAAAATATATACATGAGTACACACGTAACCAAATGGAATAAAGGGGGTAATTCTTTATTGTGTAACTTTTAAAAAGCTTTATATAAATTAAAAATATTAAAATGCAAAACAATCTTTTCCTTCCAGTCAGCATTAACAATTTAACATGCATTTTAATCTCCACCTTCACCTACATCTCTAATGCTGCAAACCAACTGCTAGTATCACTGTATTCTTACAGCTAACAAATGCAAAGTGCCTACAAAATAGACAGCACTGCCTTGTCTAACTTAGATGCATCTCCTGGGCCAATTACTGAACTACTAGTGAGGACAATATAGTCACAAAATTACAAACTAGCTCTTTGATCATGAAACTTATAAGGCTCTGATTTATGCTTTACGTGTTTATTTTATCAAACTGTAATGCTATATTTTCTACTACTATACAATTTAAATACACTTCCATCAATGCAGAAAGTTCTATATCTTGTAAACACAGAATTATTAGGATAATAAAATGGTTAAAACTAAATTACCAGAAATGTATAATTCCTAGCTGTGATTAGGAAGTCAGAGTTTTGGGTGGATGGAATAAAACTTAGTGGGTTTAAACTCAAGAATTTTTTTCTAGCAAATAATACTTGACAGGCCTTGTAAGAACAATTAAGAATTACGTTCTAATCATAAATTCATAGCATATATAACATAATTAACTTTTCAGGTATAGTAACATCAATTTTAAAATTTAACACTACCAAAATTGTTGACCTACACAGTTTCTGAACCTATCAGAACACAAAACAGCATAATTATTATCAAAGGTAATGACTATGACTCACCAAAGAGTTCCTTAATTCAACTGCCGTATCTTTCTCTGCCTTCAGTTTAGACTAAATAGATATACTTCCCTTTTCTAAGCCAGAGCCACTTGTTTTTTACTTGTACTATCTTTAGGAGCTCGTCCTTTAGCACAATCTCAACACAAATCAATGAAAATTTTCCCTTTACTCTTGTAACACACACGATTTCTACTAAATCTCACACCTTAATTTAACTCTTAGAAGCTAAGCATTCTCAAAATGTTTTATAAACAGGTTGGGCTTCCCTAAGGATACAGAATAAATTTCATAGGCTTTTGAAGGCTAAAAAAGAGAAAGACTGTCAAGATGGAAAAAAGAATAAAATATTCACACTTTGAAGCTGAATAATCAGATCAAATTTCTATATGAGAGCTGCCCAATACGGTGATCATTAGCTATATGCAGCTACTGAGTACCTGAAATGTAGCTAGTGCAACTGGGAAACTGAAATTTTAATTTAATTGTAATTAATTTTAATTTAAATAGCCACATGCGGCTAGTGGCTACTGTATTGAATAGGCCAGCTCCAGAGCATGAGAAAGTCTGGTGTTAAAAACAGATATATAGCTTAATACCAGCTGTGAAGACTAAATAATATCAGCAAATTGTTTTTTCCAATTAAAATTAAGCTCTCTTATCTTTATGTAAAGTTCTTAAACTATCATGGGCACTAAAATTAATTTTTTAACTCTATTGTATTATAGTAACTGATTACTAAGCCAGTAGATTACCATGATATTCTAAGAATACGACATGGAGGCCAGGCGTGATGGCTCAAGCCTGTAATCCCAACACTTTGGGAGGCTGAGGCAGCTGGATCACCTGAGGTCAGGAGTTCAAGACCAGCCTGGCCAACATGGTGACACCCTGTCTCTATTAAAAATACAAAAAATTAGCCAGGCATGGTGGCAGGCGCCTGTAATCCCAGCTACTTGGGAGGCTAAGGCAGAAGAATTGCTTGAACCCAGGAGGCGGAGGTTGTAGTGAGCCAAGATTGCGCCACTACACTCCAGCCTAGGCAACAGAGCAAGACTCTGTCACACACACATACACACACACACACACACACACACACACACACACACACACACAAGATATGATGTGGAAACTTGGACATAGGAAAAAAGCAAAAAAAGTGATTAGGGTGGGAGGTGGGTGGGAGAGATATGCATAAACCCTAAAGTTGTACATCTTCTACCAGAGATCTTAAGCCCTTAATACTTTATTCCTCAAATTCCTCATATTTTCAATACCTGCTCTATGATCTTAAAGAAAGAAGACAGGTTTATATGGAAAAGCTATACTAAAATAGAGGAAATGGCACCCAAAACAAGCTATTGAACAAGAAAATAATAAGACAAGGAACACATTATAGTGTTTTAAATAAGAAAACCGATAATATAGGTCTAAACAAATCATAGTTCTACCAAAGAGCAATAAGCAGGGATTCAAACAGACATTTGTACACTCATGTTCATAGCAACATTGTTTACAAGGGCCAAAAAATGGAGGCAACTCAAGTGTTCATCAATGATGAATGGATGAACAAAATTTGGCATATATAAATAATGGAATATTATTCAGCCTTAATAAGGAAGGAAACTGACACATGCTATAGCATGAAAAAACCTTAAAGACATTACGCTAAGTGAAATAAGCCCATCAAAAGGACAAATACTGTATGATTCCATTTATATGAGGTACCTAGAACAATCGAATTCATAGAGACATAAAGTAAAATGGTGGTTACCGAGGTCTGGTAACAAAGGGAGTCATCATTTAATGGGTACAGAGTTTTAGCTTCAGAAGATGAGAAAAATTCTTCAGATGGATGGTGGTAATGGTTACACAACAATGTGAATGTACAGCAATCAGAATACCACTGAACTATATACTTAAAAAATTGTTAAAATGGTAAATTTCCTATTATGTATTTGAAAACAATACTTGTATCAACAAAAGTCTCCCTCTTTGAGCTATATTTGTATTTTTAAATATTCTCAGAAAAACAAATGCCTTGCTAGAAATTGTTTTATTTCCTTGTTTTTTTTTAAGAGACTGGGTCTTGCTACGTTACCAGGCTGGAACACAGTGGTTATTCACAGGCATGATCATACCATATGGCTGCCTTGAACTCCTGGCCTCAAGTGATCCTCCCAAGTAGCTGAGACTAAAGGCGCATCATTGAACCAAGCAGAAACTTGTTTTATTTCTAAAATGTTAACCTTTAAGATGCTTTACAGATCATTGATAAGTAAACAATAGATTGTAGCCATCAAACTAACCAAGTTCAAAACTGGTTTTCAGAATCAAATACTAACGGTAGATTCCTTCTAAGGGTACATAAAAGGGTCAAAATTTTAATTCCAACCACACTTGACACTCAGTTACTTTCAGCACTACCCAACCTGGCCAAAGTCCAAAATAAGTAATATTTCTGGATACTAAGCAGCCTGCACTGATAGGTATTATGTAGGTTTTAAGTTCTGCTAAAAAGAGATGAATTTCACATAGTCTTAGAACAAAGAAATTTCCAAACAAAACACTGCAAAACTTTTTCTTCTGCATAGGATGGTTTCACCTAGGACTCTCTAACTACTTCAGGGCTAGGATGAAGAGTCACAGATGTGTGAAAATTCTAGGTGATGCTCAGAACTGGTTCAGAAGACTTGGGTTGCCCATTGAAAAAGATTCTGGAGGAACTTGACTGAGTTGGACAGCCAATAACAAAAATACCCAAGCCCTGGCCTTGGATGGTTTTCTTCATATTTAAAGTTATTTATGTGGCTTTTACTTACATATAATCAAGGATTAAAAGTCATAATTTATTTTGTCAGGTAAGATCTTTGGATAATGGTTAACTTTACTGTTTTTGAATGCTGCTTCCTCTTAAGAATTTCATTTTTTTTCTTCAAAAGAAGAAAACATTTTTCAATTTCCCAATGCTTGTTTCTCTCTCTCTTTCCCCCCTCCCTCTCTCTCTCTTTCTCCCTCTTTAATTAAAAAAAAATTTTTTTTTGTATAAATAGAGTTTCCTTATGCTGCCCAGGTTGATCTCAAACTCCTGGCCTCAAGCAATCCTCCTGCCTCAACCTCCCATAGTGCTGAGATTACAGGCATGACCCACTGCACCCAGCCCTATTTCTTTTCATGAATATAGTATCTCTTGAAACCTGTGGTCCACTGATTTCCTAAACTTTAGTATCAGCAAATTGTATCTTGCTATTTCTATCTACAAATAACAATTATAACAGATAAAATTGATTGACCTAGATGTGGGAAAACATGCTATTTACATATTAGAATTTTAATCTGTTCAACTATAAGATGAACAAATTTTCTGAAATAGAGAGGACATTTTACAAAATATTCCAACAATACTTGTTGGCTGATTGGTTTCCTCAATAGCTTCTTGTCCAGAAACACATTCTGGCTATTAAGTATCAACAAAGACTTCTAATTGTTTATATGGTCACAGCTGAAGGCTGACAGATTTTGGTCACACATTTTATATTATTAGTAGTAGTGGCTCCAAAACACCCACAGAATAATTTTTTTCTTTTTTTTGAGATGGAGTCTTGCTCTGTCACCCAGGCTGGAGTGCAGTGGCACAATCTTGGCTCACTGCAACCTCCGCCTCCTGGGTTCCAGCAATTCTCCTGCCTCAACTTCCCGAGTAGCTGGGATTACAGATGCCCACTACCACACCCGGCTAATTTTTGTATTTTTAGTAGAGACAGGGTTTCACTATGTCAGCCAGGCTGGTCTGGAACTCCTGACCTCAGGTGATCCACTGTTCCGGCCTCCCAAGTGCTGAGATTACAGGTGTGAGCCACCATGTCTGGCCTGAAATCTGAACTCTATCTTAAAGTGGCAAATCCAGTCCTTCATAACTCAATTCATGTAAACTCTCCAGTCTAATACCTTGCCACTCATCCCCATGAATCCTACGTTTCAACCACACTTTTTTTTTTTTTTTTTTTTGAGATGAAGTCTTGCTCTGTCGCCCAGGCTAGAGTGCAGTGGAGCCATCTCAGCTCACTGCAACCTCCATCTCCCAGGTTCAAACCGTTCTCCTGTCTCAGCCTCCTGCGTAGCTGGGACTACAAGCGCAAGCCACTATGCCCAGCTATTTTTTTGTATTTTTCTTTTGGCAGAGACAACGTTTTACCATGTAGCCAGACTGGTCTTGAACGCCTCACCTCAAATGATCCACCCACCACCACCCCTGGCCCAACCACACTTCATGTTCCTTGAATAGGGTGTTTTCTCAACATCTTTGCTCTCATTTCAAATATTACCTTGTCAGAGGGCTTTCCTAATACTACCAGTAAACTTAAGAAAATACTTCTTCAATGCACCAATGTATATTACATTACGGTAATTATCACCTCAAACTCGTACTGTTTACTCTTGTCTTCTCTAAAATTCAAACTCCTTGAGCTTTACGTCTTTTTTCTAAAATCCTTGTCCCTGTCCTTTACTATAGCACCCATAAACATTAAAAGAAAAAAATTAGGTCACTAACATTTTTGAAATGCAGAATGATAACATTTTTCAAAATTGGATCCTTCCTCTTTTCTTGGTAGATACATCATTCTGGCACCACAATAGATGCAAGTCTTAAGGGCTCTCAAGTAAAAGCATAATTCTGCTATGACTACATGGACATAAAATATATATAAAGATGGGTCTTTAAGTTTCTTGACAAGCTGATATCATATCAAAAACCAAGGTCTGACACCCTTTCCATCTCCTCATTTCTAAAAAACCTTGAATGATGTTAACATAGGTTAGAATGATGGTCTCCTTGAGCCTTTGCTTTGTTTTCTACAGTTGATAAAACCTATTCTCTCTTCATATGAAAAAAATTAGGCCGGGCATGATGACTCAAGCCTGTAATCCCAGCACGTTGGAAGGCCGAGGCGGGCAGATCACCTGAGGTCAGGGTTTTGAGACTAGCCTGGCCAACATGGTGAAACCCTGTCTCTACTAAAAATAAAAAATTAGCCAGGTGTGGTAGCACACATCTATCATCCCAGCTACTTGGTAGGTTGAGGCAGGATAATCACCTGAACCTGGGAGGCAGAGGTTGCAGTGAGCCAAGATAATACCATTGCACTCCAGCCTGGGCAAAAAGAACGAAACTCTGTCTCAAAAAAAAAAAAAAAAAAAAAAAAAAGAGAATTAACTTGCATATAATTAGTCTTTCTTTATTCTCAGATAAATTTACCCTTTGGGGCCAGGCAGGGTGGCTCATGCCTGTAATCCCAGTACTTTGGGAGGCCGAGGCAGGAAGATCACTTGAGGTCAAGAGTTTGAAACCAGCCTGGGCAACACAGTGAGGCCCCATTTCTTAAAAAAAAAAAAAAAAAAATTAACCAGGCATGGTGGCACATGCCCGTAGTTCCAGCTGCTCAGGAGCCTGAAATGGGAAGATCATTTGAACCCTGGAGGTCAAGGCTGCAGTGAGAGGCGTGATCATGACACTGCACTCCTGCCTGACAGAGTGAGACCCTGTCTCAAAAAAAGGTCCTTGGTTCTGCTCCATTCCTACTGTGAATTCTAGTAATCAGCAATAACCACCAAGCAATAACCAGCAATAAAAACCATATTTATGCTATTGCTATGTAATCTAAATTTACGCAACATTCACCAACACAGGGTATTTTTTAAAGCAAATATAGTACATAAAGGCTGTAAATACGAGTTGTGTTTCTAACTCAAAATCTGATGACCAAATTAGAAGACCATATTCAACTTAATATTTAATCAATTGTGAAGTAAACACCTGTACATTACACAGCATGAAATTTTAATAACATATATTATGTAAGATTATAGCTCCCAAGCAGTCAGCTCTAAAAGCCAACACTGGGACATATAATTTCTGTTATATGTATGTAAAAAAATTACTAGTAATCATATTATTTGTTTATAAATAACCTCATTCCACAAAGAAGTGAGACAGTTTAAAATGACACTGTAATAATTCATCCAAAAAATGGCTGAAATGAAAAACATAGTATAATAGATTTTGAAGTCAGAGCAGAGTTGACTCACAGTTCTTTGGACTACTAGCAATATGACCTAAATTTAAACTTAGAGTAATCATCCTGGTTTGCCTGGGACAGTCCCAGTTTACACATGCCATTCCACTGTAATTATTATATGTATTTAAAACAGAAATGGGGTTTCATTATGTGCCCAAACTGGTCTCAAACTCCTGGCCTCAAGTGATCCTCCCATCTTAGCCTCTCAAAGTGTTGGGATTACAGGCATGAGCCACCACGCCTAGCCCACTCTATAATTATTAACAGTACCTTCTTTGACTTTCGCAAGTGTCCCAATTTCGATAAAAACTTAAATATTACCCTACCCAATCTCCTGACCTGAAAGAAGATATTATGAGAAAATCTATGTAAGGGATAATATCTGACACAAAGTAGGTATTCTATAAATCATAGCTATTATTATAGTCATTGATCAAAGAGCAATATAATAATAAACAAGATTCCTAAAACACTTTTCATAAATTCTGCCTCCTTTTTTACCTTTTTTTTCTTTTAAATAAATTCTGCCTCCTCCCTTCCCTTCTCTTCTCCCTTCCCTTCTCCTGAAACATACACGAGTACAACATAAATCACAAGGATGTTTTGGGAGCGGTTTTTAAGGGCACCTCTGAAAAAACCTCAAAAATTTAAGGTCATTATAAGCCTCAGAATAAGGAAAAGAGTAATTAAATATTTTAAATGATATGACTATGATAATGTAACTAAATTCTGAAATAAAATAAGTGGTTTTTTTCAATGTAATCTCCTTAGGAGGTTATACAGTTATTGAAAATTTTCTAACATGGACTTTGAAAACCAATGGTCCATCCTTAAGTCTTTCAGAAACTACAGCCTGATAAAAATATATAAAGAGGTTGTTAAAATGAAAATATGAAAAAATATTTTAACTTACCTGAACTGCACAACCCAATAAAAGTAAAAGCAGTTTTTTAACTTCTTCTGTGCCTTGTTCTAAAATAGAAACAATTATTAAGGACAACATTCTGCTATATTTTCAACTCTATTATATTTGGAGAATCACTTCTAGAGGTAATTATGCACAGTAACTTGAGTGAAGGATTCAGTCTAAGCATATGTAGTGGAGCATTCAAAATAGCAGCTCTGTGTATGTACACGGTGGTAACAGCAGAAGAAATGGGGAAGAATATCAATTTTGAAGGGCTAATGGATAAAGAGGTTTCAAGGCTCTGTGCAACAAGTATGCTAACTATGAATCTACTCCTTTTCCATAAATGATTGTACTACCCCAGCCTGACAAATCAAGAACCTGCCAAATCAGGTTGATACAGGGACATGCCACAAAGGTAGCCAAAATGGCTCCTAATAGGTTTGGCTCCTCTTAGGCCTATTAGTGTTTTCTTACTTAAAACACAGATCTTATGATTCATCTCCTTATAAAATTTAAATGGTTTTCCACTGTGCAAGTTCATGAAGACCAGAATCTTAAATGTCTGTTACAGTGAGGCTGTTAAAATAAATGTATATAACAAGTCAGGTAAAAGTTAACAATCTATAACAGAAATGGAGAGAATATTCCCTGTCCAACAGCATTCAACTAAGATTTTCTTAAAATATTCAACTGGAAAAAAATCACTTCTTTGGGCCAGATTTTCACCACTGGGCCAATCTGTCTATGAAAAAGTCCAAATCTTCTTATCAGACATTTCCTTCTACTCTCCATGAAACAACCTACTTTCTAGCTATGCTGAGCCATTAATCACCATTCTTCCCAAATATGCATATATACAACTCCTCTGCCTTAATACTACTCCCTCTGTCTGTCCTCCTTCCCCAACCTCCTCATCCCCCTAGTGAACTACTTGCTAATCACAATCCTAGGCACAGCTCTTATCATCTCTGTGTAGTCTTCCCTGATCCAATCATCAATGGTCCCCCACTCTCACTTATACGTCAACTTTAAGAATAATTAATGGCTCCAAATTTTATATGCCAGAACATTTGGTACATATTTTTACTTCATACTAATTATTACATGATTTCCCCATAATCTGTGTATCCTTCACCAAACCATAAGAGCTTCTAGAACATAGACCATTTATTTCCACTCCTGGTCCCAGTAACTTGGTAGGTACTTACCAAATGTATGTACGATGGGAAACAATTCCATCCTACACGCAATTTTTTTCATTTTTAAATTTATATAATCAAACATCCCATGGTATCTCTAAAAACTAAGCTGCTAATTCACACATCTAATTAATAGTTTCCTCTATAAAAATAGCTACTTGATTTTAGTTTTTATTTTGGTTTTGTTTGTTTTGACTGAGAGGGGGTATGGGCTGAAGAAAATACACTAATTTGGATAACATGTAGACTGTAAGGATAAGCCCATTGTTGAAACTGTTAGGTAGCTGCTAATTTCCTCAACTGTTCAAAAATTACAATTCTAAAATATCACATTTAAAATGTGGTATAAAGGGCAGAACATTTTGAAGAAAAAATTAAATGATCTAAGAAACTGCCTCTCATCTTTCCATTCAGAAGAAGTTTAATATAAATTAAAACATATCAGACTGGGCGTGGTGGCTCATGCCTCTAATCCCAGCACTTTGGGAGGCCGAGGCGGGCAGATCACCTGAGGTCAGGAGTTCGAGACTGGCCTGGCCAACATGGTAAAACCCTGTCTCTACTAAAAATACAGAAATTAGCATGGTGACCACGCCTATAATTCCAGCTACTTGGGAGGCTGAGGCAGGAGAATCGCTTGAACCCAGGAGGTTGAGGTTGCAGTGAGCCAAGATCATGCCATTGCACTCTAGCCTGGGCAACAAGAGCGAAACTGCATCTCTAAATAAATAAATAAATAAATAAAACATATCAATCAGTAAAACTTAAGATTCAAACAATTTTGGCAATGGTAGATAGTAGATATATGAATAGAAACCTGGAAATTATTTCAAAATCATTTCTTTTCTAAGGTAATATTCTTTTAAGTTTGTAACTACATCATCTTCTATACTTCTCTATAATGAGACACTAAAAATCATCACAAAAGTATCTGTTTGGTATAGTAGAAAAAATACTGAATTTAATGTAAAATTTATGTCTGGTCTTACCTATAACTTACAAATATTCTAAGCTTGTCTCTTTCTATAAAATGGAACATCACCTCCAACGTCTACAGTTGTGAAAAATCTAGTGAGTTAATGTATATAAGCTCTTAGTAAAAAATAAACATCATAGTATTACACAAAGGTTAGACATTACTTTCACAGCTTAATTTTAATACTTACCAGAAAAGGGATTTTTGCCAATGATTAAGACATTTGGCAACGACATCATGATCAATTGCTGCAAAGTCTCCTGTAAAAAAATATCCAACACTTGTTATATGGGTAATGCTAACTAGATAATTATTCATCAAGCTATAACTTATGATTTGTACATTCTTCTGTAGGTGTGCTATATTGCAATTAAACAAATATGGAAAAAGTTATATAAGGTCTTAAATCTTTTGTAACTTCAATGAATTAAATAACTAAAATTATAATACCAGATAGACTTCAGTTAATAATATATGAGGCTGGGTGCGATGGCTCATGCCTGTAATCCTAGCACTTTGGAAAGCCAGGGTGGGAGGATCACTCAAGATGAGCCTGGGCAACATAGTGAGACCTTCATCTCTACACACAAACAAATAATAATAAAAAAGCTTTAAAAATATCAGATGTCCCCAAATTAAAGCATTCAAGTCAAAATGGTCTAATTATTATTTGGAAATCTGAAGTTTTAGGTGCTAGAAAATTAAGAAACATTCCTCAGTAAAAGATCGAGCAAAATTAAGAAACATTCCTCAATAAAAGTTCGAGCATGTGTGCTCTTTTTCTTCTTGTTAGTTCTCACTGAGGAAACTAAAAATACATCAAATTTATAAGTACTGTCACTGTACTATATATATATATATATATATATATATATATATATATATATATGTATGTATGTATAAATATGTTGGGTTTTTTTTTGAGATGGAGTCTCGCTCTGTCAGCCTGGCTGTAGTGCAGTGGTGTGATCTTGACTCACTGCAACCTCCGCCTCCTGGGTTCAAGCAATCCTCCCGCCTCAGCCTCCCAGGTAACTGGGACTAGAGGCGCCTACCACGATGCCTGGCTAATTTTTGTATTTTTAGTAGAGATGGGGTGTCACCATGTTGGCCAGGCTGGTCATGAACTCCTGACCTCAAGTGATCCACCCGCCTTGGCCTCCCAAAGTGTTGAGATTACAGGCATAAGCCACCACACCAGGCCATATTTTTAATATAATAAATAAGAGAGCTATATTTTTAAAATGTCAACTGATATTAAAATTAAGAAACCTAACTGCTTTATTAAAAATGCTGTCTAATGATCATTTCATGAAAGTCAGTTCCTCCTCAGTGAAACATTATTTCTCTCCTCTACAACAGATGTTTAACTTCTATAAAACTTTAGTTACAAGAATACATGTAGATTCTGAACGTACAAGGTGATTCAGAAAGAACTGAATTCTTTCT
Organism: Homo sapiens; assembly: GCF_000001405.40. NCBI lineage: Eukaryota > Metazoa > Chordata > Mammalia > Primates > Hominidae > Homo > Homo sapiens. The sequence continues at coordinate 55,376,073 of NC_000002.12, forward strand.
AATTCTTCAATTTAGTTAATACATCAAGTATGCACCTTCTGTTTATACCACCTCTTCTTTGAAGAAATGAAGAAATACATTGTATCTGCCATTACAACCACTGACACTGATGATATGCAAAGGGTCTGGGATGAATTAGACTACAGGATGGATGGGTGCCATGTGATAATTACTGAATCTTTGCAATATTAAGGAATAACTATGACAGATTCTTCATAAATTGACTACATGTTCAGATATAACTAGTTGCTGAGGAATACGTTTTTGAAGGTATTCAACTCTTTCTGAATCCTTTATTTAACTTAATACTATGATGAGAAAGCAAATAACCATGAAAAATAACTATAAAAAGTTAACTTGTGCCACTTTTTAAAAATTTCTAATTTTAGATCCACTAGAGCACTTACCCATGGTCAGTGGGTGGCATGACACCAGATGTTAATTAGAATTCATCTCTTATCTATAATTCTTTATAGATATATACAAGAAAGTTTCAAAAAAGTTTTCCTCAGTATTATATTAGCTCTTTAAAAAACTATTGCCAAAATATGCCTGCATTTAAAGAAAAGTACATACTCAATATATGCATCATGTTAGAATAAGCATCGAAAATTGCTAAAATCACTTATTCCAGAAATGATATAGAGTTTGGATATTTAATGAATTAGTTTTCCAATTAAAAGCAAGTTATCTCAAGAGAGAATATGCTATAACTATGTGTGTAACAGCTAAATGGGCTTAAAAGAATAAATTTCTGCTTCATTCAATTTTTTTTTTGAGACGGAGTCTCGCTCTGTCACCCAGGCTGGAGTGCAGTGGCGCGATCTTGGCTTACTGCAACCTCCGCCTCCCTGGTGCAAGCAATTCTCTGCCTCAGCGTCCCGAGTAGCTGGGATTACAGGCGCCCACCACCATGCCTGGCTAATTTTTTTTGTATTTTTAGTAGAGACAGGGTTTCACCATCTTGGCCAGGCTGGTCTTGAAGTCCTGACCTCATGATCCACCTGCCTCGGCCTCCCAAAGTGCTGGGATTACAGGCATGAGCCACCGTGCCCGGACACTTCATTCGAATTTTTAGTTTCCTTGCCTTGAAGCAAAATTATGAGGACTGTCACTATAGACTTTTTTTTTTTTTTTTTTTTGAGACAGGGTCTTACTCTTGTCACCCACATGGGAGTACATCGGTGCAATCACAGCTCATTGCAGCCTCGATCTCCCAGGCTCAAGCAATCCTCCTGCCTCATTTGTTTTTATTTTTTATTTGTTATAGAGACAAGGTCTCGCTATGTTGCCCAAGTTGATCTTGAACTCCTGGACTCAAGCAATCCTCCTGTCTTGGCCTCCCAAAGTGGTGCGATTACAGGCATAGGCCACCGTGCCCAGCGAGATTTTTTTTTTAAATCATAAATAAGAGAGCTGTATTTTCTTAAATCACTGTTTTGTCTATATCCTACTTTGTGAAGATAACCTAAGTCAGACGAAAGAGCCTTCAAATTCACCTTCATAAAGAGAAGTTTTAATTTTTTATTTATTTTTATTTTTATTTATTTATTTAGAGACAGAGTCTTGCTCTGTCGCCTAGGCTGGAGTGCAATGGCATCATCTCGGTTCAATGCAACCTCCGCCTCCCAGGTTCAAGAGATTCTCCTGTTTAGGCCTCCTGAGTAACTGGGATTACAGGCGCACGCCACCATGCCTGGCTAATTTTTGTATTTTTAGTAGACAGGGTTTCACCATGTTGGTCAGGCTGGTCTCTAACTCCTGACATCGTGATCCGCCTGCCTTGGCCTCCCAAAGTGCTGAGATTACAGGTGTGAGCCACCGCACCGGGCCGGGAAGCTTTAAATTTTAACAGACACTGAATTTTTTTTAAAGCTTTATCTTAAAGATGTTAGAGATAAAACTCATTTACGTCACTTATTTTTGACTAACGAGTCAAAATTGATGGATCAACCGGAAACAACAACTTACATTCCCAAGGCAACTAGTTTTACTGACTTACTATGTAACATTCTATGTTGGTACACTGTTATAAGCAAAATTGTCCCAATGGATAGTAATCTTCAATGTGGTCCACTACCTCTTTCCTCCACCTTCTTCCTCAGCTGATTCTCCACTTCCTGCCTACTCTGTTTCCCCATGCTCTACTGTTAATTTAGTCCTCCCACAAAGATGAAAGCAATCTCACACACTCTTTACACCATATGGTATCACCAAAGACTTTTTGTTAATACAATTTCATCTTTACGCTATGAAGTCTATGTTTGGATGATGCAAATTGCTAAATTCAAACTTACCTCCATATCATCTAAAAATGTACTCTAGTATAGTAGAATCTAAATGACCAGTACATTGTATTTGGGTAGAATGAAGTCAAAACACCCAGGCTTAAATTTTAGCTCCATGATGTACAATACATATGCCTTTTTTGGGAGAGGGTAGGAAGTGAAACAAAAGTAAAAAGTTTCAAAAATGATGATAATTTAAAAACCTTAGAGTTAATGAGGAAAAACTCTATTTTCAAGTATTAAGTTATGTCTAAAAGTACTAACATTAGGTTGAAAAAAGGCAGCTAAAATTATACAAATTTTTAAAAAGCAAATTATTCTAAAATGTCTTATTGGTTACCCTATGGGTTCTTCAGAGGATTTTTTATACACATATACTTTTTTTTTTTTTTTTTTTTTTTTTGAGACGGAGTCTCGCTCTGTCACCCAGGCTGGAGTGCAGTGGCACGTTCTTGGCTCACTGCAACCTCTGCCTCCCAGGTTTCAGCGATCCTCCTGCCTCAGCCTCCCAAATCGCTGGAATTACAGGTGCCCGCCACCACATCCAGCCAATTTTTGTATTTTTAGTACAGAGGGGGTTTCATCATGTTGGCCAGGCTGGTCTCAAACTCCTGACACTGAGTGATCCACTCACCTTGGTCTCCCAAAGTGCAAGGATTACAGGCATGAACCACTGCGCCCGGCCTGGATTCTAGCTATATTTTTGTAAAAAGTCTTTTTATTTCCCCATTCCAATTTTATGAGTAATATTAAAAAATATACAAGACATAAAAGAGAGTAGATGCTTAAAAACTGACTGCTATTGTTAAGATTTATTATATCATCATAGACTCCCCAGACTCAACTTAGCTCTAAAGAAATTCATCATTAAAGTATTAAAGAAATGGAAAAAGAATATATAAATGAGCCCAAGATGAGTTTACTAAGACGAGGAACAAATTAACAAACAGGTCAAAGTTGATAATGCATGTATATAAACTAATGAAGATACTTCAATTTGTTAACTCAAATTATAAGAAACCTATAAAAATAAACGGAGAAATAAAGTATTTCAGCAATTCAATTGAAAGAGAAAAAGGTTTTGAGAAAATCAGGGCAGTCATTTATTCAACAAATATTTATTGAATATCAATTATCTGCCAGACATTCTAGACACTGAAAATACAGCAGTGAATAAACAGAAATCCTTGTTCTCATGGAATTTACATTTTAGTAAGAGAAGAAAGACAATAAAACAAGTAAGTGTTTTTGGTGATAAATGCTAAGGATAAAAATAAAGCAGAGGGGCTGGGCACAGCAGCTCACGCCTGTAATCCCAGCACTTCGGGAGGCTGAGGTGGGTGGATCACCTGAGACCAGCCTGATCAACATGGAGAAACCTTGTCTCTACTAAAAATAGAAAATTAGCCAGGCGTGGTGGTGCATGCCTGTAATCCCAGCTACTCAGGAGGCTGAGGCAGGAGAATTGCTGGAACTCAGGAGGCATGGGTTGCGGTGAGCCAAGATTGTGCCATCGCACTCCAGCCAAGGCAACAAGAGTGAAACTCCGTCTCTAAATAAATAAATAAATAAAAAAGCAGAGGCCATGTGCAGTGGCTCATGCCTGTAATCCCAGCACTTAGGGAAGTCAAGGCGGGTGGATCACTTGAGGCCAGGAGTTCGAGACCAGCCTGACCAGGATGGCAAAGCCCTGTCTCTACTAAAAAAAAAAAAAAAAAAAAAAAAAATAGCTGCATGTGCTGGCACACACCTGTCATCCCAGCTACTCGGGAGGCTGAGGCACAAGAATCACTTGAACTTGGGAGATGGAGGTTGCAGTGAGCCAAGATTGCACCACTGCACTCCAGCCTGGGCGACAGAGCGAGACTCCATCTCAAAAATAAATAAATAAATAAAAATTAAGCAGAGAATGAGAAAGAGTATTGGTGGAGGTGGAGATGAGGAGAACGTTAAAATTTTTAAAGATATGCAAGTATTCAAATATAGAGATTTTGAATGTTTTCAGGGCCATTAAAGCAAAGTTTCACTAAATAAGTGGAAATTCTATTCTGGCGTGAAGACATTTCAGAAAGATTTGGAGAACTACAATCATTAAGAAAAGACAGAAAAAAGAAAGAACTGGCAGAGATTATGGTAATAGGAAAATAATAAGCAGATGTTCCTTGAAAGATATTACAATTTCATTTCCACCACATGTTAGCTGGCTTTGTATAACTTTTTTCATTTAAAAATAGTATATTAACCATTTTTAAAAATTTTTTCTTTATTTTTTTGAGACAGAGTCTTGCTCTGTCACCCAGGCCAGAGTGCAGCAGCATGATCTCGACTCATTGCAACCTCTGCCTCCTGGGTTCAAGTGATTCTCCTGCCTCACCCTCCCAAGTAGCTGAAACTACAGGTGCATGCCATCATGCCCAGCTAATTTTTTGTATTTTTATTGGAGACAGGGTTTCACCATGTTGGCCAGGCTGGTCTCAAACTCCTGACCTCAAATGATCGCTTGCCTTGGCCTCCCAAAGTGCTGGGATTACAGGCATGAGCCACTGGGCCCAGCCAACCACAGTTTTTAGTTGACCATCTAAAACCCCTTTTTATTGATATATAGGCATGTACCGTGTAATGACATTTTTGGTCAACAATAAACCATATATATGATGGTGGTCACATAAGATTATAAAACCATATTTTTACTATACCTTCTCTATGTTTAAATGCACAAATACCATTGTGTTACAACTGCCTACAGTATTCAGTACAGTAACATGCTATACAGGTTTGCAGCCTAGGAGCTATAGGCTACACCATATACCGTAGGTGTGTAGTAGACTATATCATCTACATTTGTGTAAGTACACTCTATGATGTTCGTACAATGACAAAATTGCCTAATGACACATTTTTCAGAACATATATTTGTTGTTAAGGTACACAAGACTGGCTGAGCATGGTGGGAGGCTGAGGCAGATGGATCGCTTGAGCTCAGGAGTTTGAGAACGAGGCAACATGGCAAAACCCTGTCTCAACAACAGCAACAACAACAAAATTAGCCGGGTGTAGTGGCATGCGCCTGTATTCCCAGCTACTAGGGAGGCTGAGGTGGGGGGATGGCTTGAGCCCAGGAGGCGGAGGTTGCAGTTAGCCAAGATTGTGCCACTGCACTCCAGCCTGGGCAACAGAGTGAGACCCTGTCTCAAAAAAAAAAAAAAAAAAAAAGTGCACATGACTATACAGACTATACATTACAAATTTTTGTGAGTTAAAGCTTATGCTGCTAATGCATTGTAAGAAAGACTACTTCACAAATATGCCAGATATAAACATTATTTAGTTACTATTCAAAGATAATTTAAATTAGCCTTTCCTTCTTCCAAGAAATTATCCATAATTCTTTCTTCACAGTAAGAAGTTAACACTTCTGGCAAAGGTCAGGCCTCACTTCGCTTTCCTGAATCACCACACAGAGTAAAACACTGTTACTAAAACTGCATAATTCTACAGAATTAAAAATATGTTCAAAGAATTCTAAAATACACAGAAATGACAGTCCCTCTTTTGAGACTCGTATAATCTACTTCTAAAATTCAGTACATGACAACATTTATCATACTATTACATATCTGTCAGTTTATCCATGTTACTAATGAAGAGAATTAAGCCTATTTTATCATATTTTAGTAGACTATAGGAAAAATTAAATCAATGGCATTAAAAGGAAAGAATACCTGACCAGTGTCAAAAATATGATGGAATATAAAACATTTGTTTTATAACACACATAGAATCTCATTTTCTTGGCTACTGAATTTTATTAACACTCCAAATGTTGCTTATTATAACAGACATTAAAGAAAAACCTACAAAGTATCTATTTTTTTAGAAGTTAAAGAAAAACCTAAAAAGTGTCTATTTTCTGTAGCAACTGGATTAATGGTACTGGAATCTGTTCTTTGTTTTTGATACTAGTGACATCATACCATACAAACATTTCCTAATAAATTTCCTAATTGTAACATGTTCTTTCCTTTGCAGCCTCAAATGGTTCAGAGCATTATTTTAGTGGTGTTTGAACAACAATGTTCTTCATTTAATACTTATTCAAACTGCGGCCAATATAGTCACACCAAACACTGGCTATGACAGGGTTCTATAGACAACTAAAATTTGTTTACTTGTAAATGCTGTCTCTGATACTCAAATTCACCATCTCTCCCTTATTCACAGGGCTAAAAATAACTTTAAAGAAAAATAAATTTTTTAAGAGCCTAGGTAATTTTACATAACAGCTATAATTTACTTTATTTTCTGACTTGAAAACTTTTGAATACTCATTTGCAAGACAAAAAGGTGTTTGCTACGGATCAAGTGATTATTTGAAAAGGTCTGAATTGCCATTTAACCATAATGAAGTATATCTTTGATAAACTTTCTGATAATCTAATGTTACCACTTATTTCTCTCATGACCTCTCATATTACTACTTCATTAGTCTTATATTATTAATCACAACAGAAATTGTTTTGCTTAGTTTTTTACTCATCTATTATTCCTCTACTAGTACCATAGTTCCATGAAAATAGGGACATGGTATGTCCTATGCACCACTGTAGCACCAGTACCAGGTAGAATATCTGGCATTCAAGAAACGGGAGAGGGAAAATGTGAATGACATTAGAATTTGTATTGAGCTTTTACAGGTTCTAAATCATAAAAATGAAAAAAAAAAAAAACAAAAGAGTACTGACATTTAAATTTACCTATCATTACTGAAAAGATAAATTGAAATAATCCTCCCTCCAACAATCATCTTAGGGTATTCTGTCAATATTCTTTTCTCCCTGGGAATCATCTTTACAAGATGACCTTGATGCTTACCAACCTATCAAAAAAATTTTTTGGGAAACATACACTTTTGAATTTTAACTTATCCAAATTCACTTTCCCCTTTGTGAGTCAGAATAATCAAAATGTACTAAAATGGCCCGGCACGGTGGCTCATGCCTGTAGTCCCAGCATTTTGGGAGGCCAAGGAGGGAGGATCACCTGAGGTCAGGAGTTTGAAACCAGCCTGGCCAACATGGTGAAACCCCGTCTCTATTAAAAATACAAAAAAAAATTAGCCAGGTGTGGTGGCAGGTGCCTGTAATCCCAGCTACTCAGGAAGCCGAGGCAGGAGAATCGCTTGAACCCGGGAGGCGGAGGTTGCAGTGAGTCAAGATTGTGCCACTGCACTCCAGCCTGGGCAACAAAGCGAGACTCCGTCTTAAAAAAAAAAAAAAAAGAAAAGAAATACTAAAATACTAAATACTAAAATACTTCGCCTCAAATACATCTTCTCAGGGGCATATGACATACAAAAAATTTAAGTTTTCTACAGTCGTTCCCCAAAATCTGATTTTTCTAAGAGAAGGTAATTTAAGGGCTGATGAGAATTCCATTGATTTGGAAAATATTAACTTGCAATGTGTCATATATTAAACCACACCCTCTCTAATATAATAAGAACAAAAAAATTATTTCAGTAAGTCTATTAACTGTATATATAAAATGTCTGACCTATTTCTGAAGACAATTTAAAGTATTGGTTGGTGCGAAAGTAATTGCGCTCAAGACTACAGTGACCTATGAGCTACGACCATGCCACTGCACTCCAGCATGGGCGACAATACCAGACTCTGTCTCAAAAAATTAAAAAATATAGCATAGTGACACACATGTGTAGTCCCAGCTACTTAGGAGGCTGAGGCGGAAGGATTGCTTGAGCCCAGAAGGTCTTAGCTACAGTGAGCTGTGACTTAGGCAACAAAGACAGACCTTGTTTCAATCAATCAATAAAAAATGTAAACACATAAAAACATAATTTATAAACACATAAGGAAAAAAAAAATCCAGGTGGGGCAGAGGTTGCAGTAAGCCGAGATTGCACCACTGCACTCCAGCCTGGGTGACAGAGCAAAACTCCATCTCAAAAAAAAAAAAAATCCAGAAGTGTATATATATTCAGGTGATAACAGTGCTAATTTCCTGGCACTAGAACTATGTCTATATTATCTATTTTTTTTCTAATTTTCTACATTACAACAATATTGCTTCTATATGAACTTGCTTAAATATACATATTTAATTATATATTTAATTATATATTGAATATTATATATAAATTATATATATATACATATATACGTATATATGTGTATATATACACATATATACGTATATATGTGTATATATACACATATATACGTATATATGTGTATATATACGTATATATATGTATATATGTGTATATATACATATATATATATATATATTTTTTAAAGACAGAGTCTCGCTCTGTCGCCCAGGCTGGAGTGTAGTGGTGTGATCTCCGCTTACTGTAACTTCTACCTCTCTGGTTCAAGCAATTCGTGCGCCTCAGCCTCCCAAGTTGCTGGGATTACAGGCACGCACCACCACACCTGGCTAATTTTTGTATTTTTAGTACAGGCAGGGTTTCACCACGTTGGCCAGGCTGGTTTGGAACTCCAGACCTCCAGTGATCCACCCATCTTGGCCTTCCAAAGTGCTGGGATTACAGGCATGAGCTACCGCGCCTGGCTAAACTTGCTTAAAATAAAGGTGATTCAGGGTTGGTTGCACAACAAGCAACAAATCTGCTCTGAAGCAATGCATCCTTGACTTGAATACAAAGAATTGGCACAGATAAAGTCCCCCCAAAAAATGAGTTCACAATTAAAACACACACATATCACTGCCACCCCCACCACTGCCACTACTACTATCACCACCACTACCAAAAGAAACAGCAAGCAGAAAACAAAGGACAGATCCAGATCTGTACATATTTCAGATTTCTGAATAATCAGATATGAAATCTAAAACGGAAAAATTTTAAATATCTGAAGAAAAGAAAATGATTAATGAGCAAAATGAAAAGGTAATGTAAAAAGAACCAAATCTTCCAGAAATGAAAGATATAATCAATGGGTTAAACAGAAGATTTGACACAAATATGGAGTGAATTAGTAAATTAGAGAGTTCTGAAAACAAGACTCAGAATGCAGCACAAGCTTAATAAATAAAAGTTTAATAAGCAAGAAATAGAGTAAGAAAGTCTAACATATATCAATAAAAATATTTGAAAGATACCAGATTAGAACAAATATTAGAAGAATAAATACTAAAAGTAGCTTTGAAAGAAAAAAGACAGTCTAGCCGGGCGCGGTGGCTCACGCCTGTAATCTCAGCACTTTGGAAGGCTGAGGCGCGTGGATCATCTGAGGTCAGGAGTTCGAGACAAGCCTGGCCAACATGGTGAAACCACACCTCTCATAAAAATACAAAAATTAGCCGGGCCTGGTGGCACGTGCCTGTAGTCTCAGCTACTCAGGGGCCTGAGGCAGGAGAATCCCTTGAATCCGGGAGGCAGAGGCTGCAGTGAGCTGAAATTGCACCATTGCACTCCAGCCTAGGTAACAGAGTGAAACTCCATGTCAAAAAAAAAAAAAAAAAAAAAAAAAAAAAGACAGCTTAAGTAACAAAAATTAGAGAGCTAACTTCTCCAGAGCAAAAAGAATCCAGAGAGGCCAGGCATGGTGGCTCACACCTGTAATCCCAACACTTTGGGAGGCCGAGGCAGGCGGATTACCTGAGGTCAGGAGTTCAAGACCAGCCTGACCAATATGATGAAACCTGTCTCTACTAAAAATACAAAAATGAGCCGGGCGTGGTGGCATGTACCTGTAATTCCAGCTACTCAGGAGGCTGAGACAGGAGAATCACTTGAACCCAGGAGCCAGAGGTTGCAGTGGTCAAGATCATGCCACTGCCCTCCAGCCTGGGCAACAAGAGCAAAACTCCGTCTCAAAAAAAAAAAAATACAGAGACAGAAGAATTAAGTGTGCAAAGTACTGACAGAAAAATAATTGTCAACCTAAAACTGCATACTTAAAAGTATTTCATCCTAGTGCAATCACTCACGCCCATAATCCCAACACTTTGGGAGGCTGAGGCAAGAGGACTGCTTGAGCCCAGACGTTCAAGACCAGCCTGGGCAACATAGTGAGACTCTGTCTCTTTTTTATTTTATTTTTTGTAGATTGTATTTTATTTTATTTTATTTTATTTTTTGTAGATGGAGGTTTGCTCTTGCTGCCAAGGCTGGAGTGCAACAGCATGATCTCGGCTCACTGCAAACCCTGCTTCCTGGGTTCAAGTGATTCTCATGCCTCAGCCTCCTGAGTAGCTGAGATTACAGGTGCCCACCACCAAGGCTGGCTAATTTTTGTATTTTTAGTAGAGACAAGGTTTCGCCATGTTGGACAGGCTGGTCTCGAACTCCTGACCTCAAGTGATCCGCCCACCTCGGCCTCCCAAAGTGCTGGGATTACAGGTGTGAGCCACTGTACCCAGCCTTCTGTCTCTATTTAAAAACTAAAACAAACAAAGAACTATCTTCCAAAAACAAGAGTGAAATAAAGGCATTTTCAGACAAATATTCTCAAAGAAAAACATGCAGCTTGAGCTAAAGAAAAAGGGCTGGGCGCACGGCTCATGCCTACAATCCTAGCATTTTGGGAGGCCGAGGCGGGTGGATCACAGGAGGTCAGGAGTTCGAGACCAGCCTGGCCAACATGGCGAAACCCAGTCTCTACTAAAAATACAAAAAAATTAGCCGGGTGTGGTAGTGGGCACCTGTAATCCCTGCTACTCGGGCAGCTGAGGCAGGAGAATTGCTGGAACCCAGGAGGCGGAAGTTGCAGTGAGCTGAGCTCGTGCCACTGCATTCCAGCCAGGGCAACAGATTGAGATTCCATCTCAAAAAAAAAAAAAAAAAAAAAAAAGAAACATTGGTTTTATTTATTTAATAGTACTTCTCAATATTTAATTTGTAGGGTAAAGAAAAAAACCCGAAAATACAAGACAAGAAAAGCTTAAAAGTCATAAAAGAGAATGACTAGAATTAAAACATTCTAAAGTCATAGCACTATTCCATAAAAGGGTAAAGATACTCATTAATTTTGGCCTTTCCTATGTTTAGGTATAAAATGTATGATTTTGAAAGTCACCTCTGAAAAAACAGGAAGAGTGAAAAAATTTTAAACCAGGAGAAAGGAAAAACATGTAGAAACAATTACTGATAGGCCAGGCATGGGGGCTCATGCCTGTAATCCCAGCACTTTGGGAGGCTGAGGGGGGCAGATCACTTGCGGTCAGGAGTTTGAGACCAGCCTAGCCAACATGGTGAAACCCTGTCTCTACTGAAAACATAAAAATTAGCTGGACACGGTGGTGCACACCTATAGTCCCAGCTACTCAGGAGTCTGAGGCAGGAGAATCGCTTGAACCCAGGAGGCAGAGGTTGCAGTGAGATGAGATTGCGCCACTGCACTCCAGCCTGGGTGACAGTGAGGCTCCATCTCAAAAAAAAAAAAAAAAAAAAGAAAAAGAAAAAAGAAAAAAAAATTGGAAAAGAGACAATTACTGATAAATAATCAAATTCTTCAGGAAGATTTAACAATTTTAAATTTATTTGCACCTAATAACAGGTTCAAAGTCTATAAGACAAAATTTGATAAATTCATCATCATATGGGATATTTCAACTCCTCTTTCTCAATAACTAATCACTCAAAAGACAAATCAACAAGGCTGTAAAAGATTGGAACAATACAATTAACAAACAAGGTTGCTCTCACTCTGCGCCCAAACAATTGGAGAATACATACTTTTTCAAGCACACATAGAACTTTAAAGAAAACTGACAACGACATACTAGGCCAAGCTAAGTAATTCTTAACAAATATCAAAGAATCAGTATTATACAAACCACATTCTTTGACCAAAAATCAAAAGCAAAAAGGTTACTTGAAAAATACCATGTTCAAAAATTTAAAAGCATACTTCTAAGTAACTCGTAAGTGAAATAAATCATAGCAGAAATTAGAAAATGCATAGAAATAATCATCTTTTAAAATACGCCATACCAAAATTTATGCAATGCAGATATAGCAATTTTGAGAGGTATATTGAAATCCTCAACAATGTTCATATTTAAAAACGAAAATATGCATCCAATTCAGGTTTTTTTTTTAAAAAAAATGGAAGTACACTTTTCAAAGGCATAATTCAAGAAGTCTAACAACAAAATGTTACACTATGCAAGTTCTCAGGAAACTGGGACCTGATTTTTAAAACATAAAATACAATAGTCATTTGTAACATTAGAAAATTATTAAATGCTTGCTTAAGCCTTTAACATTCATAAAAAATAAACTATCTTATTTACTACTCTAACTCTAGCAAATAGATCAGAACCTAGCATATAATAAGCGTTTAAATATTTGTGAGATGACTGATACTAAATAATACAAAAATGTAAGTAGTTATTAAAACCCCAGATTTTTAAAAAGAGCACTTACCTGGTAATAAAATTTTATCTGTCTCACCAAAATGGATAGATTGTGCATTCTAAGTGAGGCATCATTATTGACTTTTTTATTTACTCTCTGACTCTCCAATTTAGGATTACTGTAAGAAATACAAAAATACTTTAAAATTACATAAAATACTACTATCAATCTATATATAATTAAAATTAATCATATAATACTTTTTTATTTAAATAAATTGTGTGCTCATCTGCATTAACAGAGATGGTCCAAAAGGGCAGATTATTACTTTGACATGTATTCCGTGCTTCTAATTAATACAAATGCAACTGATTTCCCAAAGCAAGAACAAAATTAATTTCAAACCTAAGTCAGATGTTGCCTTTCATTGTCATGTTGCCACTCCACATTCCTGGGATGAATAACTTACTATTTCCTTTGAATATATAGTTCTATCACACAAAATAAATCCATTTAAAATATGGGCTAATAATAACCAATAAATGTTATTTCTCCTCACTGGGTAATAGGGATTATATTTGAACAGGCAATGTCCCAGAGAAATTCAAGGTTAAAGTGGATGACACAGGTTAGTACTTTTATTTTGGGTAAAATTGTAGATTCAATGAAAGCAAAGGGCTCAATAATCCTGAGGCAGCAGAAACTGCAGAAGAAAAATAGTCAAGTCAACCATGGTTTAGAATGGGAAATTGCGGCACCTCCACACAAGGATGCAGGAAAGTCAAGAAATCGACACCCATCCAACAGGAAATAGAAACTGAATAGAAACGCCTCATTCTTTAATCTGTTCCCTTTCTACACAGTCCATTGCATTCCTAATGCCTTCAGTTCCTTCCCTAAACAGATTAGAATCTATGGTGCTTTATTTCCATAATTCTCAAACTTTTAGGTCTCAAGACCCCTTTGTAATCTTAATTGATGACTCCAAACAATTTTTGATGTTGTGGGCTATCTTTAATTAATACTTAGTGTGTTAGGAATAAAGACTGAGGTAGGGCACGGTGACTCACGCCTATAATCCCAGCAGTTTGGGAGGCCCAGGCTGGTGGATCACCTGAGGTCAGGAGTTCAAGACCAGCCTGGCCAACATGGTGAAACCCCATCTGTATTAAAAATACAAAAATTAGCCAGGTGTGGTGGCATGCAACTGTAGTCGCAGCTACTTGGGAGGCTGAGGCAGGAGAATCACTTGAACCCAGGAGGCAGAGGTTGCAGTGAGCCAGGATCGCACCACTGCACTCCAGCCTGGGCTACAGAGCGAGACTCAAAAAAAAAAAAAAATAAAAAATAAAGATAGAACATTTCAAAGTTATTTATGTATCAACTCACTTTAACAAAATAATAAACCCACTACAGGCTAACAAAAACCAAACAAAAACAACTTAGAAAACTGAGTGGTATCGTTTTACTATTTTTGTGTATCTCTTTAATGCGTGGTTTAACTTTTAAAAAACAGATTCTTATCTTTGCTTTTGCATTGAATCCACTGCTTATTATTTTGGTTCAAGTATATTAAGACATTTCACCCTCACACGTAGTTAGAAGTGGGAAGACCCTATGGATCCCCAAAAGGATCCTCCATCCATACTCTGAGAACCACTGCTTCAACTATTTGCTTTCCACCACTCCCAATAACTTGATTCTTTTGTCCCCTGACCACATTCTTAATCCCCAACCTTGGATCAATTCAACCACTTACGCTGAGATTACTCAAGGGACTAGTTGAGAAAATAATGCAACCAAACTGAGCTATTAATAAAATATGAAGGGGAAGCTATTACAAAAAGGAGGAAGATACCCTCTTGCCATAAAAAACTAGAAAACTGGACAAAGCATGAAAAAACTATTTTCAGACTTTGGACAGCAGGTAATGCAAAGCTAGGTTCTCTCTAGTAAGGCACTGAGGTGCTTTCCAGAATGAGGTACAGAAAAATGGGTAGCCCAAGTCTTGCTGAACTTGAGGAGACAAAGCTGGAGTTCATGGATGCTAAACTGACACATTCAGAAAAGAATACCAAAGAAAAGGGAGCTACACTAACAAAGGGCTCCAAAAATCTGCCTTTAAGATTTTGGCTTTGGCTTCACACAGGCATGAATGTAGTGGCTCATGCCTGTAATCCCAGGACTTTGGGAAGCTAAAACGGGAGGAATGCCTGAGGCCAGGTATTCAAGACCAGCCTGGGCAATATGGTGGAAGCCTGTCTTGAAAACAAAGCAAAACAAAAAACCAAGAAAATTTTGGCTAAACACTAAATTGTGCATGTATAACCTAAAACTCCACAAGGCTAAGCAAAGATCAAATACAAGAAAGCTGTAAGCTAAACAATTCTCAGAGCTCACAATGTAAAGAGAGAAATTTGAGTTCTGACAAGTAGAGTGGAGTAGACTTAATGAACATCCAGAACATACAGCAGAGACCGCAGAAGAGTCATGTGTTAGAAGGAGGACTAAATCAGCAGCTGAGTAAAAGCTATTCAAGAACCCCACCCCCAACAAAACAAGTCTTGAAAGGATCATGCTGATTGCAAGTAACTTGACAACCTGCCAAAACAAAGTTTGTCACTCTAAAAGGACAAGGTCCAGACACTCCAAAATATAATCATTACAATGTCCAGCATAAAATAAAAAAATTAATAGACACAAAAGATCAGGAAAATGTGATCTATAACCAGGAAAGAAAATGGAAACAGTCAACAGAAACAGACCCAGAAATGAAAAAGATCATGGAAATAACAGACAAGGACTTTCTACTAAAGGATTTAAAGAAAGACATGAACGTTAAGTAGGAAGAAATGTAAATTATGTTTTGAAAAACTCAAATGGGACTTCTGAAGCTGCAAAATACAACTATTTGAAATGAAAAATTCACCGCAGGAGCTTAACAATGGATTAGAAACTGTATAGCAAACGATTAGTGAACTTGAAGACATTACAATAAAAACAGTCCAAAGAAGCATGGAGAAGAGGGGAGAAAAAGCTGAAATGAATGAACAGAGACTAAATGATCTATGGGGCAATATTAAACACATATTACTACATAGTCCCATCTTAAGAATCCATTCATGTTTCCCTTCTTGTCCCAATAATGAATGGATGTTCTTTATAGGAAATAGATTCAGTTCAGAATCGCACTTGGCATGTGGTAGTCTGAACTGCAATCTTTAATCTCTTTCAGGCTGGAGGTTTCTCAGCCTTTTGTTGATGTACATGAACTAGACATTTTAGAAGGGTTGCAGGCCACATATTGCATAGAATGATTTTCAGTTGGGTTTGTCTGATAAGACTGTGTTGACTCATAATTAAGTTTAGGATATATATCCTTAACAGGAAAAACACAGAACAGATGTTGTGTTCTTCTCAATGCATCCTATTAATATATGGGCCTGGCTTTGTTTCTGTGTTCTCCTTTATGTTTCACTGGTCTACCTACATATTCCCATGTCAACAGCACCACCTTAACAACTACAGTTATTTACATCTTGATGTGTAGTAGGGCAAGACGCCCTGACTAAATTGTTTTTTTCAAATTTATCTTAACCATTCCTGCTCCTTGATGATTTTTAGGATTAGTTTGTCATATTCTGCATGAGCAAAAAACAAAACCTATTAAGATTTTGACTGAAATTGCACTCAATCTACAAATTTATTAAGAATAAACTGACAGCTCTATAGCATTGAGTCTTGCCACTGATAAGCATGGTGTATCTCTCTACATTCATTCAGCTCTTCTTCAAAACCATTTTATAATCTTCTCCAGGAAGGCCTTTTATTAGATTTATTCCTAGATGCTTACAGTTTTTGCCATTAAAGTTAATGTAATATTTTTAAAATGTATTTGCTGATAGGTTAATGCTGATATGTGAATGCTATCATTTTTTGTTTACTGTTCTTATCTTTAGCAACCATGCTAACCTTTCTTATTCTAACAGGTTGTCTACTGGTGCTCTTGAAGGTCCTCTTGAATTTAATTTGTAGCTTTTCCATACTGATAATCAATTGTGCCAACACCATTTACTAACGAGCTTACATTTCTCACTGATCTCAGATTCCCACATTAAGTGTAGGTCTCCTTTTGGAGTCTATTCTGTCCCACTAAGCCATTTGTCTATTTCTGTGTCATTAAAACCTTGTTTTACTATAGCTTATTACTATAGCTTTATTATGATCTCAATTCTACTAAGACAAGCCCCTTTCCTTTGTTGTTGTTTTTTTTCTATACCGTCTTCATTAATCGAACATAGTGATCTTTTCTATCATTTTAGGATATTTATAAAGTTCTACGAAAAACCTTGTTGGGATTTACTGACATTAGTAATATTAATTTGATTAAAAACTGGCATTTCATTTCCATTGGTAAAATTTTAAAATCTCCCCACAGAACTCTTACATATTTAAGTTTTTTTTTCTTACTTGGGTAAGAAAGTTTTTGTTGCTTTGTGAAATGGATTTTTTTTTCTCTTACATTGTCTATTGGTGCTATTGTGTAACAGGAATATAGAGTTTTGATTTTGGTTTTTTGGGTTTTTTTTTTTTTTTTTTTTTTTGCGACAGAGTCCCAGTCTGCCAGGCTGGAGTACAGTGGCATGATCTCAGCTCACTGCAACCTCTGCCTCCAGGGTTCAGGTGATTCTCATGTCTCAGCCTCCTGAGTAGCTGGGACTACAGGCACGTGCCACCACGCCCGGCTAATTTTTTTTGTATTTTTAGTAGTGACGGGGTTTCACTATATTGGCCAGAATGATCTCAGCCTCTTGACCTCAAGTGATCCACCTACCTCAGCCTCCCAAAGTGCTGGGATTACAGGCATGAGCCACGATGCCCAGCCAAAACTATAGAGTTTTTGAATGGTGAATTTCTAATTAACCACCTTTCAAAACTTAGTTTACTCAGTTCATGTTCTTGGGTTTTCTAGGTTAAAAAAAAATCACACCATCAGTAAAGGACAGTTTATTTCCACCTTTTCAATCTTGCATTACATTTCTATTTCTTTACTTGCTGCATTAACAAATAGAAATGGAGACAGCAGATATCCTTCTCTTGCTGTTCTCTAATAGAACTGCATTTAATGTTTCACCATTAATGCATGATGTCTGCTGTAATTTTCTGATAGATACCATCTATGAGACATTCCCTTCCATTTCTATTCAATGTCTGAATGGGTGCTGAACTTTACCCAGTATTATTTATTTCTTATTTTTTTTATTTTTTTGAAGGCAGTCTCCCTCTGTCACCCAGGCTGAGGTGCAATGCTATGATCATAGCTCACTGCAGCCTTTAACTTGTGAGCTCAAAAAATCCTTCTCAGTCTCTCAAGTAGTTGGAACTACAGATGTGCACTACCACACCCAGCTAACTTAAAAAAAAATGTTCTCATTGTTCAATTCCCACCTGTGAGTGAGAACATGCGGTGTTTGGTTTTTTGTCCTTGCGAGAGTTTGCTGAGAATGATGGTTTCCAACTTCATCCATGTCCCTACAAAGGACATGAACTCATCATCATTTTTTATGGCTGCATAGTATTCCATGGTGTATATGTGCCACATTTTCTTAATCCAGTCTATCATTGTTGGACATTTGGGTTGGTTCCAAGTCTTTGCTATTGTGAATAGTGCTGTAATAAACATACGTTTGCATGTGTCTTTATAGCAGCATGATTTATAATCCTTTGGATATATACCCAGTAATGGGATAGCTGGGTCAAATGGTATTTCTAGTTCTAGATCTCTGAGGAATCGCCACACTGACTTCCACGATGGTTGAACTAGTCTACAGTCCCACCAACAGTGTAAAAGTGTTCCTATTTCTCCACATCCTCTCCAGCACCTGTTGTTTCTTGACTTTGAGAACACATGGACACAGGAAGGGGAACATCACACACTGGGGACTGTTGTGGGGTGGGGGGAGGGGGGAGGGATAGCATTAGGAGATATACCTAATGCTAAATGATGAGTTAATGGGTGCAGCACACCAACATGGCACATGTATACATATGTAACAAACCTGCATGTTGGGCATATGTACCCTAAAACTTAAAGTATAATAATAATAAAAAAAAAAAGAAAAAAAATGTTTTTGTTTTTGTTTTTGTTTTTTTTTGAGATGGAGTCTCACTCTGTTGCCCAGGCTGGAGTGCAATGGCACAACCTCCACTCACTGCAACCTCCACCTTCTGGGTTCAAGTGATTCTCCTGCCTTAGCCTCCCGAGTAGCTGGGATTACAGGTGCACGCCACCACACCTGGCTGATTTTTGTATTTTTAGGAGAGATGGGTTTTCACCATGTTGGCCAGGCTGGTCTCAAACTCCTGACCTCAAGTGATCTGCCTGCCTCAGCCTCCCAAAATGCTGGGATCACAGGCGTGAGCCACTGTGCCCTGCCTAAAAAATGTTTTATAGATGAGATCTCTCACTATGTTGCTCAGGCTTGCCTCAAACTCCTGGCCTCAAGTGATCCTCCTGCCTCAGCCTTCTAGCTAGCAAGGATTTCAGGCACAAGCCACAGCACACCTGGCATATCCAATTTTTCCTACATCTACTCCCATCTGATCCTTCTCCATTAATATGTTAATGTAGTGAGTTACACTGTTACATCATCCTCAAAGTCCTAGACTATATACTCTCTCAGCTCCACTCTATGGTATAACTATTCCCTTTTATTGGTATATAACTCTGTCACAGGTCTTCCAATACTTGGTCTTTTTGACTCCCACTTTCTCACTAGGTTCTAAGTTCCT
This sequence comes from Homo sapiens, assembly GCF_000001405.40. Taxonomy (NCBI): domain Eukaryota; kingdom Metazoa; phylum Chordata; class Mammalia; order Primates; family Hominidae; genus Homo; species Homo sapiens. The sequence goes on from NC_000002.12 coordinate 55,395,501, forward strand.
TGACAAGAGGGACCATATCTTCTTATTCATGTTTTTATTTCTAAAAATTACCATATTTCCTAACACAAATATTGTCTGAATAAATAAAAATAAGAATAAACAAAGACTAAGCATAGTGTTTTTTAAACCATTGCTTTCTATCGAAAGTTACGAGCTGACAACCTCCAAGCTAACAACTCAGCTGGCAGCCTGGAATAGGTACTTTCATTAAGCTGTGTCTCAAAAATCAGTTGACTAATAGAGTCCTAAACTACAATTTGAGATCTGCAGAACAAGGAAGACTATTAGTAAGGTAAGCTAAATCTGACCTGTGACTGATTTATGCTTATTGCAAGAAAATAGTGAAAAACTCAGAATAGCCCAAGGCAAATGAGAGTTTAAATGGAAAAGTGAGTCTCTCAAATAAAAGCATCTACTAGAACTAGTTACTTATAAAAACAAGGAGACTATATTGTAGAAGTCAGATCACGTGTCATGGCAAACAAAGACAAACAGCAGCATGATCAAGAAGTCATAGTAAAACTGAAGGAAAAACCCTGTTTTATTTAGGCAATCCATTCTGGTATTTTTTTTTTCTTTTTTCTTGTCTGGTATCTTTTTTAGTCAGTAAGTTAAACAAATACTCACTGAGTACCTACTGTACTGGCCACATTACTTAATGCACAAAAGCTTGGGCTAGTCAAGCTATCATTGTGGAGAAAAGTATATTTGTAATTGGGAGAACAGAGTAAGAACAACACCAGTAACAAAAATTTTAGGTATATTTACAGTTACATAAATTTCATTTGCAAACATTTTCAGTAAATACCTTTCCTCTCTACCCTTCTTCTACCTTTTATTTCTATTTTCTTTATTCTACATTTGAATCCCTTACATACCTCTCATCTATGACTGTCTCCTATTCACACACTGACCACATTTAGACCTAGAAACACTTTAGAGATACCTGGTTTCACCATAAATCAGAAAGCCAAAGTTCAAACTAGTAATCTGCCTAGGATCCTAGAGCTCTTTTACTCTTTTAGTTTTTCCTTTTATAGGATCATTCAAGAAAACAAAGAAAAGTCTGACTTAAAAAAAAAGGTTGCACCTGGGTGCGGTGGCTCACACCTGTAATCCCAGCACTTTGGGAGGCTGAGGCGGGCAGATCACGAGGTCTGGAGATCGAGACCATCCTGGCTAACAAGGTGAAACCTCATCTCTACTAAAAATACAAAAAATTAGCCAGGCGTGGTGGCAGGCACCTGTAGTCCTAGCTACTCGGGAGGCTGAGGCAGGAGAATGGCATGAACCCGGGAGGCTGAGTTTGCAGTGAGCCGAGATCACGCCACTGCACTGCAGCCTGGGCAACGGAGCAAGACTCCATCTCAAAAAAAAAAAAAAAAAAAAAAAGGGTTTCAGCAATGTTTTTTCTAAAACCCGAGTGTACATCATATATCACTGTTTTACTGTATTGTTTGAGCATATTCCCAATTCTGTTTTCACATGAGTAATCAAACTAAAGATGATTAATTTCCTTCCCTCCTCCAGTTCACTGTGGTGATATTTTATTATAAACCTGGATATTTAAATCAAACAATAGGTACCTAAGAAAAAAAAATTTTTTTTGAGATGGAGTCTCGCTCTGTCACCCAGGCTGGAGCGCTGTGGCATGATCTCAGCTCAATGCAACCGCTCGCTGCCTCCTGGGTTCATGCAATTCTCCTGCCTCAGCCTCCCAAGTAGCTGGGATTACAGGCACCCACCACCACACCTGACTAATTTTTGTATTTTTAGGAGAGACGGGGTTTCACCATGTAGACCAGGCTGGTCTCGAACTCCTGGCCTCAAGTGATCCTCCCGCTTTGGCCTCCCAAAGTGCTGGGACAACAAGCGTAAGCCACCGTGTCCAACCTAAGAAAAATTTAATATTAGAACTAAAAATATATATAAATTTAAAAACTGTATTATTTGTAGTGCAAGCTCATTACTACATGACAATATACAATTTGGATTATACTAATTTGGATTATCCAAATGCATAATTTGGATAATCCAAATGCATAATTTGGATTATATTATACTTTGGATGCATAATATTCTAATGAACATATAGTAATATCATTATTTTAATACATTTTATAATGTAAATGCTATCTTTGTCCCTGACAGAGTTGTTGTCAAGTTTGTTTCCTTTAAAGTGATTTTTTTCAAAAAAAGTGTTAATGCTTCTTCTTAAATTTTGTGTCCAATATTCCTCACATGATATCTTGAAATGTATTCAGTTGTCAGGAAATTCTACAGTCGCTGCATACAGCTCTTTCAAGAATTAGCAAGTTTTCAGAATTTAGAATTTTGGTTTAATCAAAATCTTTTAAGAATTTTTTGTAAAAAAAATTAATGTTTTATATTAAGTTTTTTTAGACTTTGCAAAAGACTGCTTTTAACAATTAAAATAATTCTGGGTATAAAAGGAAGGAATTATATAGTTATATACTAATGATATCAGATGTAATTTTAGAAATCTGAAGAAAAATGAAAAATAAAATTTAAATATTTGAGAGAAAAGTACTTCAACACCTAAAATTAACCTCACAATCAAAAGGGATCTTAAAGATAGGTGAATGAAAATTTTTTATATCCCTTCACAAAACTGTGCTGCTTTGTGTCTACAAATCTATGAAATAAGTACGTGGGCTGTGAAGGGATTTCTATGCTCTGATTTGACTCTAGGAAAGCCAATAGAATAGCGGAGTTCTTGAACAGGCTAATACCTAAGCACCCCAAACCTCTATCTGTAACTTCTGTTCTACATTGTACCTACTCAAGAGTTATTTTAGTATGAAAACAGAACTGAAAAGTTCCTATTTCTTTATAATCATCAGATATTATATCATTATCTATTACTATAAACTATCTGTACTTAGAGCCCAGGATAACCATTAAGCACTCTCGGCATGGATCTAGAAAGCAATAAACTTCCCATTATAAGGCTTGAGTTTCCCATTTGATGCATGCCCAGTTTGAGTAAGGGCCATACTGACACATGTTAGGATCACGGAAAACAGGCCTTTTCACCCTAAGGATGTGATCTCTTTAGGTGAGAGGGACTGCCCTCAGGTGAAACTACCAGAAAAGTCCTAAGCTCCTGGGCTGGCAACGATGGCTTACGCCTGTAATCCCAGCACTTTGGAAGGCCAAAGCAAGAGGATTGTGTAAGCCCAGGAGTTCAAGACTACCCTGGGCAACACAGTGAAACCTCATCTCCACAAAAAAATTTAAAAATGAGGCAGGAAGATTGCTTGAGCCCAGGAGTTTGAGGCTGCAGTGGACTGTGATTATACCATCGCACTCCCACCTGGGTGACAGAGCAAGACCCTGCCTAACAAAAAAAAAAAGAAAGAAAGAAAAGTCCTAAGCTCCACCTCCATGAAAAATGGTTGACTCTTTAAGGGTAATTTATAGAAAATTATGCAAATCAAGAGAATTAGTAGCTTCGGAAAAATAATACCTGGCTTTGCAGTAAATATTATATAGTTATAATAATGTAAATACTGATGACTGATTTAACTAAACCTGTGTTAACTATATTAGAAAGATAGGGTAAGAAGAAATACAGGAGCATAAAAAAGATAAAATCTTATCTACCACTATCAGGAAGTCATAGACAATGTCTAAAAGGAATAAATCAAGAAATACCAGAATAGACACATTATCCCTATATATGGGCTAAATAACAGAAGAAATTGCTTTTAAAAAAGTTTAAAAAGCTGTCACTCTGGGCCAGGCACAGAGGCTCATGCCTGGGAGGTCAAGGCGGGTGGATCATGAGGTCAGGAGTTCAAGACCAGCCTGGCCAAGATGGTGAAACCCCGTCTCTACTAAAAATTAAAAAAAAAATTAGCTGGGCGTGGTGGTGGGTGCCTGTAATCCCAGTTATTCAGGAGGCTGAGGCAGAGAATTGCTTGAGCTGGGAGGCGGAGGTTGCAGTGAGCCGAGATTGCGCCACTGTACTCCAGCCTGGGCGACAGAATGAGACTCTGTCTCAAAAAAAAAAAAAAAAAAGTGGCACTCCAGAGAACTGAACTGAGATATGAGGAGAAATACAGCAGAGAATTTTTGTTTGTCACTGTGAACCTTTTGGTACTAATTAATTTTTTAAGCACGTAAAACATTTTTTAAGGACTTTTTATTGTTTCATGAAACCTATTTCATTTACCTGAGGGAAAAATATTAATAATTGTGTTGGATTGTTACTTAGCTGAAGCACATTTGATAAAGCTATCTCTGCATAGAATTCGATGTCAGGAATTCAGAGTCATAAGACATTTGTGAGACTAAGCATAAACCATAAGAAAAGAAAACAGTATTAAAAATTTCTTCTATAAAAAGAATGCATCCTATATAAAGACAGAAAAAACACTCATTCCTGTGTGTGTGTGTTTTTATCAGCTTCCTCAGGTTGAATCCTGTATTCTATTACTTTTAATATAATAAAAATCACAATACAGTAATTTAAACAAACAGTATGGTATGACTCCAGAATGCTCTAAAAAGAAATGTAGTCTATTAAGTATGACTCACAGAATTCTCTAAAGAGAAAATGTAGTCTATTAAATATTCCAAATATTCTGCCTTTCATTTTAATACTTAAAATGCAAAACAAAAATTAATTCAGAATAATCACAATTAATAAAGTTTTTATCAGGCTCTTTTTGAAAGCATACTATACCATTTTTTTCTAAAGAATGTATCTTTGGAAAGGCCGTTTTCTAAAATAAAAGATGAGCTACTGAACAATATACATGTGACATGTCAAACGTGAGCAAGTACCTTTCCAATCACACACAGCTATTTCCAAGGCAACACAATTTCAAGTCAACCATCTTCTTTATAAGATGAAAACTAAAAAAATGCTTTAGTGACAAATAGCCTAGCAATATGGCTCAAATCTGTCCAACCAGGAGTTAAATGCAACATGGCAGTAAAAGAGGGCCTCAAGCAATTTCACATTTATAAATGATCTACTTATGACAAGTTGCATTAATTTCAATTAAAATAATAAACGGACAGTAGTATTATCAACCACTGTATATAAAAATTTGTAAATCAGGAAAAAAGATGAAGTTAAAGTTAGCAATTTTGCAACGCTAATACTCTGAGATTTGGTCCTTGTATGATCAAGGATTATATCTTTACTTATTCATTAACTAATATATATAAGAAACAGAAATCTGATAGCTTTAATGGCTCTATGCTCTTCTCCTCCAGAATGTAAACCTGTTGTATGTCCTCTTGGACCATCTGTTCTGTGTTGGTGCTTAACTGATGGTGGTTTTTGATCATGGCACTGTAACTTAAAACTATGGTTGTAGTGTGGTCTTTTAATAAATTTTTGAGATAATTTATAAAATAACATAACTATGTAATATTTGCATGTCACTATGATACATCTGAAATAACTAATTTATGTATCTAACTTTAAATGTGCATAAACCAGAATGTTTGCTTTATGAAAAATAATTAACTGGGTAAACAGCACCACCATTAAGGGTTATCCAAGTATCCAAGTAGTAAGGTATTTCAGGAAAATTAATGGCTTTTTTATTTTGCAGCACTGGTCTGAGGGTACATAGAAAATTAGTGGTTTTAAGGGAAAAAATGTATTGGCTAGGGGAGGTGGCTCATACCCATAATCCCAGCACTTTGGGAGGCTGAGGCCAGAGAATTGCTTCAGGCCAGGAGTTTGAGACCAGCCTGTACAACACAGCAAGACTCCTTGTCTACAAAAAAACAAAATTTTAATTAGCTGGGGACAGTGGTGTGTGCCTGCAGTCCTAGCTACGCAGGAGGCTAAGACAGGAGGATCACTTGAGGCCAGGAGTCAGAAGCTTCAGTGAACTATGATCTCACCACTGCATTCCAGCCTGGATGACAGAGAAAGACTCTGTCTCCAAAAAAAAAAAAAATATATATATATATATATACATATGTGTGTGTATGTATGTGTGTGTGTATACATATATATATATATATATATATATATATATATATATATATTCCTTCAACTTAATTTCTCCCCCCCATAAATTCAAATTCAATTACTTTGCATGACAGCCAACAATAAATCTAATATTAATATAAGCTTTTACCTATCTACAGAATATTTTCACATATATTAACTATCTTGAACTTCACATTGACTGAACAGTCATTCTTGGAGAGGTACATGACATATAATTACCATACAGAGATTACAGACACAGCCTTTCATGTTTTTGTTCTCATAATTTTGGACACATTAAGTTACCTTTTCGAAAGTTGGAAAATCTATGACATTTTCTAGTTAGCCCAAGATTAAGCTAGCAGTAGGGCATGATATTCACTGATTTAACAAACAGAAGTAATGCTTTAATTTAAAAACTGCAAATGGACACAAAAATAATTAAAATCCAGTACTATACATATACTTTACTTTGGTTTCATCTAAACTTAATAAAATGGCTGAACCCACCCTTTATTTCTTTTAGAATAAGTCAACTTAGCCCTTCAAATATTAAGTTAGCAGTTTTTTAACTTTTGGTCTCAGAACCCCTTTTTACTCTTTAAAATTATTGCAGACTCCCAAAGAGCTTTTGTTTATGTGGGTTATAACTATCTATATTTACTATATTAAAATTTAAAATAAAGAATTTTTAAAAATATTAATTCACCTAAATGTAACAGTGTTTGTTAACATAAAGAACATTTTTATAACTTTTCAAAACTTAACATTTTAGTGGGAAATAACATTCTTTCACTTCTTTGCAAATCTCAGTGTTTGGCTTAATAGAATACAGCTGTTTTCTTAAACCTGCTTCTGCATTCGGTGGTTGTGATACATTGTTTTGCTTTAAGTATAAGAAATATGACCGCACACAAGTATGTAATTAGAAAAAGGAAAATTATTTGATTGGCATATTCATACAATTATTGATATTCTTCTTTGATATTACCAAAATTCAGTAAGGGTTATTTCTTAAAGGTTAAGTGCAATATGGAATCTGAAACTCTATCAATGAACTTTTCTTTCTCTGTTTTACATTAAAATCCATTGGTCTATCTGGCACGTTCAATGGATCTTTTAACTATGTATGCATAACTTCTTAACATCGTGCATTGGTCATTTAGAAATTATTGGTTCTTTGAATTATACAGATCTTCCAAATGTCGGCACATTTTATTACTATTTAAAAAAAAAAAAAAACCGGCCAGGCGTGGTGGCTCATGCCTGTAATCCCAGCACTTTGGGAGGCCAAGGCAGGCGGATCACAAGGTCAAGAGATCGAGACCATCCTGGCTAATATGGTGAAACCCCATCTCTACTAAAAATACAAAAAATTAGCCAGGCGTGGTGGTGGGCACCTGTAGTCCCAGTTACTAGGGAGGCTGAGGCAGGAGAATGGCGTGAACCCAGGAGGCAGAGCTTGCAGTGAGCCGAGATCACGCCACTGCACTCCAGCCTGGGCAACTGAGCAAGACTCCGTCTAAAAAAAAAAAACCACATTCATTAATATCACCTCCAATCTCATCAGAAAAGTCTTTAAATATTGAGTAGCTGTCAAGCCCATGTTTTCTATAAATCAAATTTCATCATTGACAACAAATACAATCAGTTGTTTTCCCTGAAGTGACAGGCTCACTTTATTCATTTCTGAGGAACTGTCTGCCCAGTACTCAAGTATTAACAACCAGTTTGTCTGTCATTCTTTCAAGTAAAAATGGTGTTCCAAAAAACAGAGACTACTTCAACCTTGGAACTCAAAAACCATGAGTACTTTTTCTTGAGATAATCATCGCACTTTGTTATGCAAGAACATTATGTATGGTTCCCGTTTTGCCCACAGAATGTTAAAAAGATTCAAGGGTCAAGACCCAACAAAATAACTTTTATTGCTTCATCAAGGACATTTTTAAGTGAAACTGGGTTTATTTATTATACCTTACAAGTGTGTAACGAGAAGAATACAATGATTGCCCACACAATTTGGTACAATTCCTTGATTCATACTAAAATGTCAGCAGTTTTACTTACCTTTGCTTTTGCATCATCAGTGCTTTAGCAACACACGCATAAAAAGGCAAAGGACATCTTAGTATTATTATGAAAATAATTCTGACCTGACAGACAACCTTGAAGGAATCTCTGTGCTAGCAGGGGTCTGATCTCATTTGAGAACTACTGTATTAGGCAAATCAATTCCTGTTCTTGGTATAGAGACCTGGGGACTTAATATTATGCTAATCTAGAACATTCACTTACATGGTTGCCAACCTCATGACCAGTAACTGAAACAAAAGAAGATTGTTTAATAGATTCAATGGACAGCACTGATCTGTGATGGAACATTTTACCCATTGTCACTAAGCCTTAAGATTGGGTCACAGAAGTTGGTTTTAATTTGTTTTAATCAGTATTCTGGAGTAGTAATTGCTCCAGATCTACTTAGGCCTAGAGACTCAAGAAATTCCAAAGTGGGCTGATATACAGTCACGTATTTCCCTTGACCAGTGACAGACTTATCTACTATGGCTTTCACTCCCATACTATCAATTCAGTATAGTAAGGCTTCTTAATCTGTACTCCCCTCCTAAGGTAATTTAAATAGTTCACTTGATTAATTATGGGTGACAAGTATCACTTTCTCTTTTGAGATGAAAGCCCTTTAAAATGAGAGAAAAATCCCAAAGAACAATGTCTTCTAATTAATGAATTAAATTTAGTCATAGAAACTTACCTTAAGTAAGCAGTTTTTAAATTTGGTAAGAAAATCTTTTTTCCAATCATCAATTTCTCTAATTTTTTAAAAAGTCCCCACACAGGACAACTCTAAGTATATAAATTTCTATTAGTGAGAGTAGAATAAGATTACCACAATATCGGTTTAATTTGTCTTTTTCAGTGTACCAGAAAAGTGCTCCAAAAGGCTCAATGCTAACTCCATTATAAACCCACCAATTAAAGGCAAAATAATAGATACCTATTACAAAAGCACTAAGACAAACAAAAATTAAATTAGAAATATAATAAAAAGTAAAATAGAAGACAAAAAATAGCCACACATACATTTGAGATGCAATGAACCAAGTTAGAGGAAAGATACACATACAGAAAGGTAAGGAATTATTAATAGTCAAGTTAACAAAACTTTCAGTCATGGTCTACAAATGGTCCATGAGAAAGAAACTGTTTTGGGGACCTCCAATTTAGCAAAATAGTTGTTTTTTCGAGACAGAGTTTCACTGTGTTGGCCAGGCTGGAGTGCAGTGGCATGATCTCGGCTCACTGCAACCTCTGCCTCCCGGGCTCAAGCAATTCTCCTGCCCCAGCCTCCCCCGAGTAGCTGGGGTTACAGGCATGTGCCACCATGCCCAGCTAATTTTTGTATTTTTAGTAGAGATGGGGTTTCACCATGTTGGCAAGTCTGGTCTCAAACTGACCGCAGGTAATCCGCAAGCCTCGGCCTCCCAAAGTTCTGGGATTACAGGCATGAGCCACTGCGCCCAGCCGCAAAATAGTTTTTAAAAGGCAAAGGAATAAATGACCTAAGATTTTAAAATACTGTATTGTACTATTCCTCAACTTGGTTCCTCCACTAAGGCTAGTCCCCTCACCATTTCCCAAATCATACATGCAGTATGCTTTTCCCCTAAAACGCTTCCTTGGCCTAAAATACCCTCCTCTCCTCACGGATAGCTATCCAAGTTCAGTCACCTTTCAAGGTTTAAATCAAATCTAACTTCCTCCACAGATAGGTTTCCCTGACTAAACATACCTTCAAAGGCCAAACCTAACTTCTAGACATCAGGGCTCCCTAATTTATTCCAGTTCACACACCCACACAACTCACTCTCTCAGCACACTCTCTCTCTCTCAAAAGAAACATGAAACCCATACAGATTAATGAAAGAAAAGAAAAGAAAAAAAGCAACCTAATAACTAGAGATTTGTTTTCAAATACCTGCTTGGGATCATTCACTATTAACTACAGGTTTGTCTTAGTCAGTATACACATTCAGTACTATGCTTCAGGGTCCCCAACCCCTGGGCCGAGGACCAGTACAGGTCTGTGCCCTGTTAGGAACCAGTCTGCATGGCAGGTGAGCGGTGGGCAGGCAAGCATTACCACCTGAGCTCTGCCTCCTGTCAGACTGGCGGCAGCATTAGATTTTCTTAGGAGCACGAACCCTATTGTGAACTGCCATACAAGGGATCTAAGTTGCCCACTCCTTATGAGAATCTAATGGCCCCCGCCCTGGTCCGTGGAAAAAACTGTCCTCCATGAAAATGATCCCTACTGCAAAAAAGGTTAGGGGCTGCTGCTATACTTAATACTTAAGTTAAAAAAAAAAGATACAGGCCAGGTGCGGCGGCTCACGCCTATAATCCCAGCACTTTGTGAGGCTGAGGCGGTTGGATCACGAGGTCAGGAGATCAAGACCATCCTAGTTAATACGGTGAAACCCCGTCTCTACTAAAAATACAAAAAATTAGCTAGCTGTGGTGGCACGCGCTGTAGTCCCAGCAACTCAGGATGCTGAGGCAGGAGAATTGCTTGAATCCGGGAGGTGGAGGTTGCAGTGAGCCAAGATCGGGCCACTGCACTCCAGTAGCCTGGGCAACAGAGTGAGACTCTGTCCTGAAAAAAAAAAAAAAAATACAAATTCTGAATCATTACATGTACATTCTATTTACAAAGGTGGAAATATAGTCTAATTCATTTGCAAAGATATGAAATAAGGAGTTGGGAAAAATTAAGTTAACCTTCAAATATGAGAAAACTCACCCCATTTTCCCTAATTATTCAAGTTAACTGGGATATTACTATAATTCACCCTTTTAAACCAGTCTTGGTAAAAATAGATTGGGGGTTTTGTCTTTCCATTGATATTTCCCTGTAAATTCTCATCCTCCACTACTTTGTAATAGTTCAGGTCTTAATCAAGGACTAGTGTCCGGGCATGGTGGCTTACACCTGTAATCCCAGCACTTGGGAGGTTGAGGCAGGCTGATCACTTGAGGTGAAGAGTTTGAGAGCAGCCTGGCCAACATGGAAAAACCCCGTCTCTACTAAAAATACCAAAAAATATTTAGCCGGGTGTGGTGGTACACAACTGTAATCCCAGTTACTCGTGAGGCTTAGGCATGAGAATCTCTTGATCCCAGGAGGCAGAGGCTGCAGTGAGCTGTGACCAGACCACTGCACTCCAACTTGGGTGACACAGGGAGACCCTGTCTCAAATAAAAAAAAAAAATCAAAGACTAGTATCCAACATCTAAAACTAAACCAACTTCCGTGGTCCTTCACCACCCAGGGAAAGGAGACATTAACAGTTATGTTATCGATGATAATGTGAAGTTCAACTTTTTTTCTAGCCTTCACCAGGAAAATCAGTCACATTAAGAATACAAGCCAGGCACAGTGGCTAATGCCTATAACCCCAGGACTCTGGGAGACCAAGGCGGGAGGACTGCTTGAGCCCAGGAGTTCAAGACCAGCCTGGGAAACAAAGTAAGACCCCATCTCTACAAAAAAAAATTTTAATTAGCCAGGCATGGTGACATACACCTATAGTCCCAGCTATTCAGGAAGCTGAGGTAGGAGGATCATCTGAGACTGGGAGGTCAAGGATGCAGTGAGCTGTGATCATGCCACTGCATTCCAGCCTGGGCAACAGGGCAAGACCCTGTCTCAAGAAAAAAAAAAGAATATACTGTCTAAAAATTTTCCATGAAGGACTACTGAGATATCTCACAAAGTCTGATTTTTAACATAAGGATTATGTTAATATAAAAAGTTATGGGCTGGGCAAGGTGCCTCATGCCTGTAATCCCAGCACTTTGGGAGACTGAGGCAGGTGCATCATTTGATGTCAGGAGTTCGAGACCCGCCTGGCCAACATGGTGAAATCCCGTCTCTACTAAAAATACAAAAATTAGCCAGGCATGGTGGTGGGTGCCTATAATCCCAGCTACTTGGGAGGCTGACACAGGAAAGTGGCTTGAAACCGGGAGGCAGAGGTTGTAGTGAGCCAAGATCGCATCACTGCACTCCAGCCTGGGTGACAGAGCAAGACTCTGTCTCAAACAATAAGTAAATAAAATAAAATAAAATAAAATGTTATAAACAATTACCTTTTTTTCCTTCCCCACTATTACATTATTTCTTAATTTATTCATTGCCCAGCTTTCTAGTTTAATTTTTTTTTTTTTTTTGAGACAGAGTCTTGCTCTGTCTTCCAGGCTGTAGTGCAGTGGCATGATCTCAGCTCACTGCAGCCTCCACCTCCCAGGTTCAAGGAACTCTCCTGCCTCTGCCTCCCGTGTAGCTGGGATTACAGGCACCCACCACCATGCCCAGCTAACTTTTGTATTTTTAGTAGAGACGGGGTTTCACCATGTTGGCTTGGCTGGTCTCGAACTTCTGACCTCAAGTGATCCACCTGCCTCGGCCTCCCAAAGTGCTGGGATTACAGGTGTGAGCCACCGCGCCTGGCCCTTTCTACTTTAATTCAAAATACTAACTTCTACCTCTAGTGTTAAATCAAGAGATCATAGTTTCATTAAAAAAATAAGGAAGAAAGTTCCTTCTCCACTTTACGTATCTTCATTTTATTCTATTTTATCCACCCATTAGTACTGTCTAATCTTGGTCCTAATCACTATTCAGAATTGCAACCTCCAAAATCTCAAATTCTGAAAATCTACTCTGACCTTGACCTCCTATCTTTTCACCCTCTCTCATGCCCTCACTTCTAACCTACTCTTCCTTCATTCTTATTACAACTCTCAGAGGCGTTTGAACCAGAGCAACTCCATCTCGAATAGGGGCTAGGTAAAATAAAGCTATGACTTGCTGAGCTTCATTCCCGGACAGTTAGGCATTCTAAGTCACAGGTTGAGATAAGAGGTTGGCACAAGATACAGGTCATAAAGACCACGCTGACAAAACAGGTTGCAGTAAAGAAACTCACCAGAGCCCACCAAAACCAAGATGCTGACAAGAGTGTCCTCTGGTTGTCCTCACTGCTACACTCCTACCAGTGCCATGACAGTTTACAAATGCCATGGCAATGGCAGGAAGTTACCCTATATGGTCTAAAAAGGGGAGGCATGAATAATCTACCCCTTGTTTGGCATATCATCAAGAAATAACCACAAAAATGGGCAATCAGCAGCCCTCATGGCTGCTCTGCCTGTGGAGTAGTCATACTTATATTCCTCTACTTTCTTAATAAACTTGCTTTCACTTTATAGACTTGCCCTAAATTCTTTCTTGCCCAAGATCCAAGAACCCTCTCTTGGGGTCTGGATTGGGACCCCTTTCCAGTAACACAACCTTTACTCTGTAAGTTCCTCCTGATACTTGCTTTCTTCCTCACTTTAATGCTCACACATTATTATTCAACTATTCAGCTAAGAATCTGTAGTATGTTTTTTCTCTCATCCCACGTCTGTTTATTCAGAATTTCCAATTCTGAATAAATTCTACAGGTATTTTCGTCAGTTTCTGAGCAGCTAAGCATTACTGGTTACTCAACCATGCTATGCTCACTGGCTCAACTACAAATGTGTGGTTTCCAAATCTCAAATAAGCCATCAACCCTGCATGACAATACTTGTATTCATCTTTAACTGACACTCTTTGTGATTTCCTCTTAGCAGCCTTGTAAAATGTTTCCACTTTTCTCAAACTTCCTAATTCCTCCACCGTTATTTACATCTTCATGCCTCTTTTTCATGCTATTTTCTTTGCTTAAAATGTCCTTCCTTCCACTCTCCCACTACTTATGACTCCTGTTCACTCTGATTTCTCCTACGGAGCTCTCATGTCCAGCTCAAACATCATCTCCTCCAAGAAGCCTTTCCTCCATGTAAATCATCACTTCCCTTTCTGTGCGAACACTGTCTCAAGAACATAATTCCTTATCATGGCACAGATACCACATTGCAATTTGTTTACATGCACCTCCCCCTTATTGTGGGCAAAGCATCCTATTCCTAGCATCTAACAGTTTATTACACAGTAAGTACTTAGAAACTATTCCCATATTAATTGATCTTTGAATGAACTAGCCCTTCATCCCTCTCACTGAGTATTACATTTAGATCCTGATGAGAGAGCTCTGCCCTGAGTCCAACTCCGGCCCTCCTCGGCCCACATGCTTCCACTGGGAGAGGAGTCCATGTAAACAGGGGGATGTGCCTATATACCTCCCTTTTTTTTTTTTTTTTTTTTTTCAGACAGAGTCTCACTGTCACCCAAGCCGGAGTGCAGTGGCGCAATCTCGGCTCACTGCAACCTCCGCCTCCCAGCTTCAAGTGATTCTCCTGCCTCAGCCTCCCGAGTAGCTGGGATTACAGGGGCCCGCCAACATGCCCTGCTAATTTTTGTATTTTTATTAGAGACGGGGTTTCACCATATTGGCCAGGCTGATCTTGAACTCCTGACCTCAAGTGATCCACCCGCCTCAGCCTCCCAAAGTGCTGGGATTACAGGTGTGAGCCCCCAAGTCTGGCCTACCTCCCCACTTTTAAATGACACTCCAGGTGCCCAGAACTTTGCAATTTCTTGCCCAAGCACTTCTAACTCAATTTGAAGGCCCACACAGGCCTCTTTCCTAGGTCTGTCCTTAGAAAAGACTGTGCTACACTTGTGTACACCCTTGGGCCAAGGAGTACTTGTTTGGGGATGGGAGTACAAGAGCTTAGACCTTGTGCGTGCATGCAAGGTGTTCACAGCATGTACAGGAGACCTCTTTGTGGTGCTAGAAAGAGCCAGAGATGACGGGAGGAGGTTGGGCTTAACCACACTCTGCTGCAAAACTGTGAATTTATGAATTCTAAATTCCACAGATTTTAAATTTGAAACTTTCAAGTCATTATGAAGGTATATTTATCAAGAGAAAAGACTAGAATATAGATAATGATTTGTTGGCCTGGTTTATAAGCTTTAAATATTTAGGCCTATTGTGGTAAATGGATGCTTATCCTGGATCTTACAAATGTTAGGGGCAGATCTCCTCTCACTCAGAGTGAAGTTGATGGGTTTTATCCACCTATTTTTATTAATTATTAAAGTAGGCCAGGCACACTGGCTCACGCCTCTAATCTCTGCACTTTGGGAGGCTGAGGTGGTGGATAGCTTGAACCCAGGAGATTGGAACCAGAATGGGCAACACAGCAAAACTCTGCCTTTACAAAAAACAAAAAACAAAAAAAAGAAAAGAAAAATTAGCTGGGCATGGTAGTAGTCCTAGCTACTCAGGAGGCTGAGGTGAGAGGATCGTTTGAGCCCAGGAGGCAGAGGTTGCAGTGAACCAAGATCTCGCCACTGCATTCCAGTCTCGGCAAGAGAGAGAGGCCTTGTCTCAAAAAAAAAAAAAAATTATTAAACTAGTAAAATAGATCTAAGAAGGCATAAAAATAGAATCAGGAATAAAGAGAACATTTAAAGTAATTTTCCAGTTTCAATAACTAGCTAAATATTAAATGATTGATTCAGGATTTAAACTTTCAAGCCCATGTTTTTGTTTTTGCCCTCCCACCACTCTGACTCTCCAAAAGCAGCCAGTTTACTAATTAATAAATTAAGTATTATACAGATGTCCCAGTACCAAGTATAATCTCAAATACTATTTCTGAATATTGAAAACTTAATGCCTAGAATGGTATCAAACTGTTTCATGGATCCTAAAAGAAAGTCAGCTGGTGTCCTTTTGAAAGAACTGGTCTTCCTTTCCATTTATCCTGTGAGAACTAGTCTCCCATAATATATATTAAGAGAAAATTTTCAGTTAAAAAATTTAAAAATACTCTCAGGTATAACAACTAGTTCACCTGTTCTTCTCTAGGTTCTCATCATTTCTGTAGTTTAACTACATATGAATCATATTGAGAATGAGGCAATCACAATGGACTTTTCTTGAAGACAGTCCAATACAAAGCTGTGGACAAAAAAATCTCAACATGGCCCAGGCACGGTGGCTCATGCCTGTAATCCCAGCATGAGATTTTGGGAGGCTCAGGTGGACAGATCACTTGAGGTCAGGAGTTCGAAACCAGCCTGGCCAAAATGGTGAAATCCCGTCTCTACTAAAAACACAAAACTTCACCAGGCACGGTGGTGGGCACCTTGTAATCCCAACTACTCAGGAGGCTGAGACAGGAGAATTGGTTGAACCTGGGAGAAGGAGGTTGCAGTGAGCCGAGATCACGCCACTGTACTCCAGCCTAGACGACAGAGTAAGACTCCGTCTCAAAAAAAAAAAAAAAAAAAAAAAACTCAACATATTGGACAGGAAAGTTATTGGAAACCAAACTGAAAGCACTGTATATTCTAATACTATAAAAAACCATGGACCATGAAATCTTGCTCCTATCACCTTGCCTCAAAGGAGATATAACATCGGTGGGAAAAATATCCAATAAAGGTAATTAAAACAAATACGGGGAAAGAGAGAGAACAAACAAAAAGGAGAAACAGAAGACAAACTAAAAAATAAACTAAATTCTACAGTACTAAAACTAGAAGGTATTCTCAAAATTTTGAAAATTAATAAAATTGCAGCTATCTTCACTTATTCCTTCAACATTTACTTACAACTTACGACATGCCAACTTCTATGCTAGGTGCTAGTGATACATGCTAAGTACTAGGTTAGGTGCTAGTAATATGTGAGACAAAACATCTAGCCCCTAAACAGTAATACTGCAAAGCAATAGCTACGCAGGTGAAGGTACTTCCGAATCATAAGGAAGAAAACAACTCTGCCTGGGGACTTCACAAGGTATTAAAGGAAGAGCAGGAATTGGTTAGTCAAAGAAAAGGGGAAGGATAGTCTAGAGCAGGAGTCTCTAACCCCTGGGCCATGGATTGGGTCCATGGCTTGTTAGGAAAGCCACACAGCAGATCAGTGGTGGGCGGGCAAGCATTACTGCCTGAGCTCTGCCTCCTGTCAGATCAACAACAGCATTAGATTCTCACAGGACCACAAACCCTATTGTGAACTGTAGATGCGAGGGATCTAGGTTGCACTCTCCTCATAAGAATCTAATGGCTGATGATCTGAGGTAGAACAGTTTCATCCTGAAACCATCTCCCCTCAGCCTTGCTCCATGTAAAAATCGTCTTCCATGAAACCAGTCCTTGCTGCCAAAAAGGTTGGGGACCGCTGGTCTTGAAGAAAATAATTCTAATGATAATAATATAAATAAAACAATAAAGAGCTAACATTTATTGGACACTTTCTATATGTTAAGCATTGTACATACATTATTCTATTTGATTCTCATAACAATCCTGTGACTTTTTATCCCACTTACAAATTAAGTAACTTACTAAAGATCATACAGCTATATAGAGGTGACACTAACAGAGATCATACAAAACTAAGCTGTCGGCCAGGCGCAGTGGCTCATGCCTGTAATGCCAGCCACTTTGGGAAGCTGAGGTGGGAGGATCACTTGAACCCAGGAATTCAAGACCAGCCTGGGCAAAAAAGTGAGACCCGGTCTCTATAAAAAAAATTTTAAAAAATTAGCCAGGTGCAGTAGCACATGCCTGCAGTCCCAGCTGCTTGGGAAGCTGAGGTGGGAGGATTGCTTCAGCCTAGGAGTTTGAGGTTGCAGTGGGTTGCGATTGTGCCACTGCAGTCCAGCCTGGGTGACAGAGTGAGATCCTGTCTCAAAAACAAACAAACAAACAAAAAAACTAAGCTGTGAACTATCATGATTTACTTGAGGAGCCATAAGTAGGTAGATATAGCATAGCACAGGATAATAATAATGACAGCAACCAGCACTGGGGATATAGTGGGTCAACAAAACAGAAAATAGACTTATCTGTCCCTGCCTTAGTAGATAATCCTTCCCCATCAGGAAGGGAAACATTATCTCCCATCTTATAAATGTAGGAACTGTAATTTGGAGATATTAGGCTCACATACCAATAAGTAGCACAGCTAGAACTGAACCCAAGTCTATGTCTATCTGACATAAGGCTCAAATTCATTCCACTTTACTACACATGGCTGTATTATTCAATCATTCAACAGAAATATATCAAGAATGTACTGTGTGTCAAACACTGTCCTAAGAATACAGAGACAAAAGATAGAGTCCCTGGCTTCAGGAAACTCACAGCCTAGTCAATAGAGTCAAGCAAAGAGTCAGGCTGGTTTGTGCCTATAATCCCAGAACTTTGGGAGGCTGAGGTGGGTGGATCGCTTGAGACCAGCCTGGGCAACACAGTGAAACTCCATCTCTACAAAAAATACAAAAATTAGTCAAGCATGGTAGCGCGTGCCTGTGGTCCTAGGTACTTGGGAGGCTAAGGTGGGAGGATAGCTTGAGCCCGGGAGGTGAAGGCTGCAGTGAGCGGTGATCATGCCCCTGCACTCCAGCCCGGGCAACAGAACAAGACCGTCTCAAAAAACAAAAACAAAAACAAAAAAAAAAAACAAGCAAACAAACAAACAAAAAAGGGCAGATGACTTCTGAAGTCCCTTCAAACCCAAAATTCTAAAGGAAAAGCCATAACAAGTTTATCACAATTACCAAGTGTTCCAAGTACAGCTCTCTATAACTATCTAATAGGGTTGAATCATAAATAATAATTCCAAATATTGTTCTGATACTATTAACAATTTTCTCAGTACTTAAAATCCTAAGACATCCATATTTTCAACCGTTTGGGTAATATGAATTGGACGTTTTTAAAATTTTAGGAGTATGAAATTAACTACAATGTCACAAATTCCTTAAAAACTCACAGCAAGTAATATTCAAAACTGGCTCCAGAATTAAATGACATCTCAAACAGGAAAATAATTATTTCTACTTCACTGTCACCAAGCCCTACAACTGATAACAATAAAGAAAAAAGATTTCAATCCACTGAAGTAGGAAAATGCCCTACAGCGTACAGAAGAGCTGGCCCATCATTCCAGATCTCTGAATAGCTTTCCTCTTCCTTCCCATTAGTTTAAGACGATTGAAGTCATGTTACAAGTTCTAACAGAGATTATTTGCTTCAAAAAGCTACTCAATGAAATTCAGGATTCATCTCTGAATACAGTAAATCTCAAGTCAGTGAAAAGACTTCAAAATTGTGAGGCAGAGTCAGTAAACAGTGTCATGAAGAAGTTAGCTCTTCACTTTCAGAGTCTGGGTGCAAAACAGCAACAACAGAGTCATTAAATTAATCAATTTTCTTAGTCTTAATAAACATTTTAGATGAAAAAACTTATATAATAAGGTTCCTGGCCAGGTGTGGTGGCTAATGCCTGTAATCCCAGCACTTTGGGAGGCTGAGGCAGGCGGATCACGAGGTCAGGAGATCGAGACCATCCTGGCTAACACGGTGAAACCCCGTCTCTACTAAAAAAATACAAAAAATTAGCCAGGCGTGGTGGTGGGTGCCTGTAGCCCCAGTTACTCGGGAGCCTGAGGCAGGAGAATGGCGTGAACCCGGGAGGTAGAGCTTGCAGTGAGTTGAGATCACACCACTGCACTCCCGCCTGGGCATGGAGCGAGACTCTGTTTCAAAAAAAAAAAAAAAGGTTCCTATAAAAAAAGTCCATCTCACATCTAAAAGCAGTAATATAAGACTAGCAGAGCAAAAATGTAATTAAAAGTATATAAACAGCCAGGCATTGTGGTGCGCGTGCCTGTAGTCCCAACTACTCAGATGTTTAGGGTGGGAGGATGGCCTGACCCCAGGAGTTTGAGGCCATAATGCACTATGATCACATATTCCAGCCTGAGCAACATAGCCAGACCCCATCTTGAAAAACAAAAAAGTATACAAACATATTTCTACTGGTGGCCAGAGACCAAATTTGCCCTCCTCCCTGAAACAACTGGGGGGAAAAAAAGACAAAATACATAAAACGTTTTTCAAGACATTGGACATCAGGCAACAAAAGACAGTGATCCCCAATCGATGGGAAACAAGCATGAATCCAACAACTGCTCCAGCATTATGGCCTTGAAAGAGTTTCCAGGCCACAGAACAGGAAGAGGGGAATCCAGGCAGAGCACAATGGTCTGAGCTGAGGGGACAGAACTGAGTCTGGAGACAGCAAGGTAGCTAAAGTACACAGGGCAGAGTACTTAACAGAGTTGAACAGTGAGAAAGATCTGCAGAGGGTATCCCTCAAGTCTGAGTACTTATCAGAATATAAGTGTGAGGAAACTACCCAAAGATAGTGAAAGAACCACCAAAAAGACTGAGAGCGAACACCACCAAGTAGGTCCTGTTTCCACCAGCTGGAGTATTCAGAGGGGTTTTGCCTCAACAGTGTGACAAAGTAGTACTGCCTAACAAATCTTAAAAGCATGTCCCCAAAAGATCAAACTGTTTTCAGGTAACTTAATGCATCCCAGAACGAAGCTCAAGATTTTTGTATTTAATGGAATACAAAAATATCCAGCGCCAAACAAGCTAAAATTTCAAATGACTGGCATCAAATTAAAAAAAAAATCACCAGGCATGCAAAAGCAACAGAATCCATAATGGGAAGAAATATCAATCAACCGAAACCAACCCCAAAATGACACAGACAGAATTAGCAGACATAGACATTAAGCCAATTATAACTGTATTCCATATGTTCAAGAAGCTAGAGAAAAGACAGAGCATGAAAAACATAGACATGGAAGATATAAGACAATTTCTAAAGATGAAGTTATAATATCTGGAATGAAAAATATGGTGGGTGGGATTAAGAGCAGACTAAACATTATAGAAGAAAAAATTAATAAATTTGGAGACATCACAACAGACTATCCAAAATGAAACAAAGAAGACTGAAAGAAAATTGAATTAAACATCAGTAAGTTTTAAGACAACATCAAAGCTACTAATATATATGTAACTGGACTTCCAAAAGGGTGAAGAGGTCAAATAAATAAATAAATAAATATATATATATATATATATATATATATATATATATATATATATGTATATATTTTCTTCTAGGAATAATGACTGAAACTTTTCTAAATTTGATAAAAACTATAAACCCACAGATCCAAGACACTCATTGAATTCCAAGCACAAGAAACATGGAAAATATATAAATAGTTTCATTTACAAAGGGTTCTTGCTCACAAATTCTGTAACTAAATGTACTGTAGAAATTAGACTAGGCCTAACTTTTACATTTACTAGGTATAGAGTTACAACTGACACTTTATAATAGAGTACATTAAAGCATACATTAATCTAAGTAAAGTGCTTAACAGAAATCCTAATGACTTCAAAATTAGCAAAATACAGCTTATAAAACAATGTATATTTTGTTGCCCTATCAGTTAAATAATTTATTAAGATAAATTTGATCTTATTTTAGCAAATTATTCAAACAAAGCAAAAGTATACTTTTTTTTTCTTTTCTTTTCCTTTAATTTTATAGGTCATTTACAACAGAATTAGGACACCGAAAAAAAATCTAAAGAAACTGAGAGGTGGAACTGAAAATACAGAAGCAGATTTGTGGTTTGGAAAGGAGCTAGTCCTCATGAAAAACAGCAACCTGACAAACACTATTTTGGAATACCGTCATTTTCAAAATATACATATATTTTTTAAGCATAAAACTGCATTTGAAGTGGAAATTAACGTATTTGTTTTTAGCACCTCAGCTAAGTATTTAGGATGCAAAAAAAAAATCTAAATTTTTCTGGAAAAAGAATCATTCAAATAAAAACCATTAAAGTGGAAAACTAAAGTAATATATTTCCCTATTTTTGTGAACACACATTTTTAGCACACAAATTCAAAATCTTCCGTCTAAAAATAAGCACAATAAAGAGACACAGGGGAACAAATTCTGAGTATCTACTGTAATGGCTACCCTTTCTGTCATG
This sequence comes from Homo sapiens, assembly GCF_000001405.40. Lineage (NCBI taxonomy): Eukaryota > Metazoa > Chordata > Mammalia > Primates > Hominidae > Homo > Homo sapiens. Next base: position 55,417,396 of record NC_000002.12, read on the forward strand.
TAGGTTCCCCAAAAGAGAAGTCAGTTTATTATCCTACCATTTTGCTTAGGAAATAGTCAGATATTTTGAGGATAAAAAATAATTCCATTACACAGCTGTCAAAAATACATTTACTAACCCTGGAAATAATTGATGTCTACGCTCTTTTTTCCTTTCTTAAGGAAAAAAATAAATATATACATATTTAGATAACATATATATTTCTTTGGGTGCCTATGAAAACAAAACACTGGTTGAAAATGTATAATAGTATAATACTTCCCTGTAGGATCAACATGTACATGAAAAACAGCCCACAAATCTCTTTGAGCACACAGAGAAGTTAACACGAGAGCAATTTTTTATAGATGTGACTTCTACCCTCTTAAACATAAAAATCTAAACCAATAAAATACAAAATTGATAAGGTTATCAGAGCAGAATGGTAGACTTATTCTCTAGTAACAACTATTTATTGATAACACACCAATTTCCCATACATATAAAAGTTCCAAACTACCTCTTCTCATCAGATTCTATTAAAGAGAAATAAGACTAAGTATACATTACTTTGAGCACAACTGAAAAATTCAGTTTGATAAACTACATTAGCGTACTTAGAATACACGTATGCTACAATAGCTGTAATTAGATAAAAGCTGAGTTTTAATTTTACTGATCCAGCTACCAATATACTTTCACTATTCAATTCCCATCTCAAAAGCATACTTTCCTACTTAGTACAAACCCAATATTATAAACACAAAAGACAAAGATTTGCCCAATAAGTCGTTATCTAATTGTTATCAAGACTTGTTATTTGCATTTCAAAACCTGTAAGAATACCTTAAAATGATCCCTAAAATATTAAGCAACCTAATAATTCACACAATAAATCATCTCATCAGGCTTTAGTTATTACAGGCATTTAAATTATTTACTACAGCAAGAGTCCTCACCAATCAGAACTGTTTGAAATTTTCTCTTCTGAAATCTGCTATTACTTAACGAGTTTCAAATTTTGAGCCATTTATTTCTAGATATAAAGGTTAATAAGAAACATTTCTGCATCAAATGCACATAACTTCACAGTAAAGTCTTTTTTCCTCTCTTAGGAAACCAGATTCTCATTTTCTCTCTTATTTTACCAAATTATCAAAGAATACACAATGTGGCTTGGATTTCAGTACTGAAGACAAGTGACAATACATGGTTGACAGAATGAAAAACTAAAGTTTCACAATTTTAACAGGTAAAATATCTAGGTTGTGATAATGGGCTGAGCCCATAACATTAGCATTCCTTTCAAGATCCAATTCTTAAACCACCTGAATATTTCTGGCCAATGAACCAAATTAGGGGCTTAAAACATCGTGTCTCAAAGTTCACCATATGCTATTTCTCAAAGAAAACGTTACCTAGGAAAGAAGGAAGAACTTACATTTGGAGCATGACCTGGTTCAAGAATACCCCATCCACCAAAGCCACATATTCATCAAGGTTGGTCCCATTTCCTGCGGCCAGAGGTCCAAACGTTTTAACCTAGAACAAACAGAAGGATCACCACGACATGAACGCCCACCTCCATCTCTGCAGCCACAAATAACTCAGCAAAATATACAATAAAGGACACCCCACTTACCCAAGTGACCAAAGGGCTGGTCATGAACTGCTCCAGAAGGGGAGTAAAAATTTCGTTCTCCATTTTACAGAGTATGTATTTGAAAAAAGGAACTACCACAAAAATACGCCTAGGGAATTGGTCACTAAACGTGGAAGTAAGTAGAAATCAATGAAAGTCCATTTCGGCAAGGGAGAAAAATCCCATCGTGGAGGAGGGGGGCACTCTCCCTCCTCAAAAAACACCCCAGAGTGAAACGAGCCGAAATCCCAAGAAGTGGCTTCGACGACGGACACCACGAGCAGCAGCCTGCGCTGGAAATGTCTGTACCGGGCGAGGAGGGGCAGAGAAAAGGCATCTGGAGGAGGAGGAAGGGAAAGGGGGCTGGAACCCAAGACAAAAAGCCCGTCAAGGTTGTCCAGCTCCTGGAGGATCCAGACCAGCGAAACTGCTCCCAATGAATCAATCCCAACGGGGGCTAAATGAAATACGTTAAACAGAGACCACGTTAAGGATACCGAGGCGCCACCAGACTCGACCTCGGCGTTCCGACCTCTACACGTTCCACCCACCGATGGGCATGGAGCCGCTTTCGACCCGCGGAGCCTCCACTGCCCGCAGCCCCTCAGTACCAACAGGCAGGGCTCGCCCCTTCCCCCCGAGCAGACACCATTCCTCCGCCGCCCTCAAGCCTCGCCTCCAGCCCCCTTCCCCTCCCGGGGGTGGGGGCTTGAATGTGTGTCCCTAACCCCCCAGCTTCCTAAGCCCTGCCAGCCTTTCAGCGCGTCTCTGGGAATCCCTGGCACAAAATCACCGCCGCGCTCCAGCCTTCTCCGCCCTCTATGGAGAAGCCGGAGTAACGGCCTCAGAACCGCAGTGCCGCATCACACCCCACCCCTCGCCGCCCGCCAGCGCCGCCCGCCAATGCCGGGGGCCGCCGTCAAAGGGAGCGCGCTGCTCCCTCCGCGCCGATATCCTTCCGCCGACTCCCCGCCCCTCCCGTGCAGCTGCCTCTGGATTGTGGGAGAAGAAAACCGCTGCATGAGCGCGCTCCCGAGCGAGCGCGCCCCCGGGCTAGCCTCGCCGCCGCCCAGATCCTGGCGGCGGGCGCGGGCTCGGGCGTGGGCGCGCGCTCGCTGCAGCTGCTGCGGAGACAACCCGCTCCTCGGTTGCGCCCAGGACGGTTGCCTGGTGGGCGGGGACAGGGAAGGCAGAGCAAGGGGTCTGTCTGCTCGCTCGCTCATGCCTAATTATGGTTTATTTCCTCCCCGAGTGACTTCTTTGATACGTGAAGGAAGGGGAAAGAAATCCTTCTCTTATAAACATGAGGGATGCAGACAGCCTTTTTCGGACAGTTTGATGTGTTCTGTAAAGCATGCCTTCTCCCCAGCAAAATGGAATAGGAAAACTCACTGCAGCAAATGGCAGAGGGACTTGAGCCACAACTTGGTGGGGGTTTTTTTCTCCTTTTTGTTTTCTTCCAAATGCAGTCCACTAACGCATGAATGTTCTTCAAAGTTGCAAGTGACATACAGTAAGATTTTTTAAAAACCAGAGCTGTCTGTCAGCACGTTGGTATTCCCTGACTGGAGCAAACATGACTCAGACATTGTTTTTTGGTTTTGTTTTGTTTTTTACTATTTGGGCATGGGTCGGGGGAAACCCAAGCAAAATCAAGAGCTACAAAGAAGAAACATTTAGAAGTCATCCAAGTTGGGTGACAAATAAACAGATTACATATTTGTCATAAATCTCCATGCCACGTACGACTGGGACCTTGAAATAATTTTAAGTTCCCTGGCAAAATCAAATGCTACTCCTCATTTCAAAGGAAAATAAAGACCTTTTTCCCGGGGTAAAATGGGCATATAGAACGCAATCTTTTTTTGATAAAAGATAATATTATAGTTTTATAATGTGTGCTATGTTTACATTACATAAATATTTACACGGAGTATATATTTTAAATTAGCAGTAAAAATGTTTTTGTCATAACACAGTTAAGAAAGAGCAGAATTTCTTAATTGGGTAGTTGAGAACCTGGACTCTGAAGTCTTCCTGCCTGGTTCCAATATGCACCAGCTGTGTGAGCCTACGCACGTTATTGAGTCTCTTTGTGCTTCGATTCCGTCACGTGTAAAGCAGGGCTAATAATAGGGTTAAATGAAATGGCAGCTTATAGTTAAGTGTTCTATAAATGTCATTAATGTTGTTTTTAACATTATTCCTTCAAAATAAAGAACCTTTATGAAAAACTTGAAATATAACCTCTCTGCTTCAGTTACAGGAGAAAGGATCTTGCTTTGAGGAGGGAACTAAATGCCCTTTGAAAATCATCTTAATTAAAATTAGGATGCATTCATGTGGCACTTTGCTAGGTGATGTACAAGTAGAACCTTGCATTTCCCTAGCCAGTACACAAGCCTTCAGACATCCTTGTTGCTAGCAATCTTTTCCATCTGCTCTTGATGACTTTTTAAAAAGCCTTTTAGAGATGGGAGTCTCACTGTGTTGCCCAGCCTGGCCTCAAACTCCTGGCCTCAAGTGACCCTCTCACCTCAGCCTCCCTAGCAGTTGAGACGAGACGTGTGAGCCACCACGCCTGGCTTGGTGACTCCTTCTTTTTTTGTTTGTTTTGTTTTCTGAGACAGAGTCTCTATTACCCAGGCTGGAGTGCAGTGGCACGATCTCAGCTCACTGCAACCTCTACCTCCAGGGTCCAAGCGATTATCCTGCCTCAGCCTCCCAAGTAACTGGGATTACAGGCACCCGCCACCACCCACTGGCTAATTTTTCTATTTTTAGTAGGGACGGGGTTTCACCACGTTGGCCAGGCTGGTCTCGAACTCCTGACCTCAAGTGATCCACCGCCTCGGCCTCCCTAAGGGCTGGAATTACAGGTGAGAGCCACCGCGCTTGGCCTGATAACTCTTTCTTAATAGCAGTTCTTTATTTGGCAAATGAAATACAGACAGAAGGAGAGTGGGCACCAAGGAGACAGCATTGCTTTCAGGAGCAGCCCAGTGCTTGACATACCCACTTTTCTTTGTAATCCCCCAGACGCTTGACAAAACAATATGGAAGTAATTATGCCTATACTGGGTTTATCCTAGGACAAATCAATCTGCTTCATTCATAGGCGAAAAACCAAAAAGTATTAACACCAAATACAGCAGGTTAGGGGCATTTTGAAGTGGTGACTGAAGGGTTAGCACAGGAGTCATACATTAAGATAGTATTGTTTATGCAATTTAGTACCCAGCCCTCACAGAAATCTGGATTCTTCTCTAGAGCCAGATGGCCCCAGATGCTTTCTGGTCTATCTTTAGGTTTTGCGCGCACACACACACACACACACACACACACACACACACACACACACTCAACAAAGAAACATGAGGAGTTAATTGTAAAAACAGGAAACTTTAGACCAGACTGAGGTCTGGAGGAACTTATTTGAAAACCTACCAATTCACAATTCCCTAGTTTAACAGCAGCCTTAAAAATGCTTTATAATATCTCAAGAGTACAACCAGTAATCTTCTCTGTCTGGCTAAAGAGGGATTGTACATTATACCCAGTTTAATGGTCTTTGAATTGCAACATCCTGTAAGATTAAATCCAAAAGTTTCCTATCCACCTTTCACTTAGGAAGAAATTTCTTAAGATTTCTTCAAAATACTTTTGTTTTGTACTTTGTAGTCATTTATGTGTCCTGAATGCATCCTTTCTTGGAAGGTTAAATCCAGCATGAAAGGAGTTTGGAAAAATCATACCCACCTGGTTAGGATGTAAGTTATTTGCTCAGCTGTCTTCTAATCTGAAACTAAATGGTTAGAAAGGACCATGGTCCCATTTAGAAATCTCTAGAGAAAGACTGTCTCCCGTGTATCACAATTGAGGCTTTCTCCTTCAGGTTGCATATGAATAACACAACCCATGTACCAAAAGCACCCATATGAACTTCTACCCATGTCTATCTTGATCTACACTATAGGAAGTGATAGACTCATCCAGAACCAGTTTCCTTGGTGACAAATATTTTTAAGTACGGATTTGCAAAGGTAATCACATTCGTAAGCTAGTACAAGAAAAATACCACAAATGCAGCAGCAGAATGGCACCATTGTTTATAATAGACAATAAGTGGAAACAACCCACATGTCCATGGACTGATGAATGAATAAATAAAATGCAGTATATCCATATAATAGGATACTATCTGGCAATAAAAAATAATGAAGTACTAATACATGCTACAACATGGATGATAGCATTATGCTAAGTGAAAGTCATAAAGAACAACATATTGTATTATTCCATTTATGTGAAATGTCCAGAAAAGACATATCTATAGAGACAGAAAGTAGATTAGCCTAGGGCTGGGGGAAAGTTGGGGGAAAATAGGAGTGATGATTTAGGGATGTGAAATTTCTTTTTGAGAAAATGAAAATATTCTAAAACGATCATGGTGATGGTTGCACAACTCTGTGAATACACTAAAAGCCATTGAGTTGTGTACCTTAAATGGCTGAATTGTATGGAATGTGAATTATGTCTCAATAAACCTTTGTAAAAAAGAATGGCACCATTGCCTCATGAAGATTTTTTTTAAGTCATCAAGAAATCTAGTCTCTAATAGACTTTTTAAAAGGGTGCCTTGATCTAATAATTAAGATTTTTAAATCACCTAGGAACACAGAAGGCTTATATTTTAATTACCCAAGATAGTTTTAAGAGGAAATATAATACAGGGAGAGAAAGAGAAATTAGGCAGGTTGCTTAACTTTTTTGAGCATCAGTTTCCCCAGTAGGGAATGAGCACACTGATTTCATTCTCTACTGGACTTCTGCTGAGACCAGTGGACTCGTTGCTCTGTCCTGTACCTCAACTGAGGAGAGGAGAGGAAAGTTGGAAAGATAAGACAGGGAAGAGAGAAGGGGTCCTCCTTTCAGGCCAGTATCAATTGCTCTTCTCAAACATCCTACTTCTGTGTTCCAAAGTGAACCTTCTCAAATTCACAGTAATATCCCATATGCCTGTGCCTCTGCATATGCTACCATCCCTGTCCAGAATACCCTTTTCTGCTTGCTAGCTAGGCCAACTCCCACTCATCGCTCAGGATTCAAGTGTTAACTCTCTATGAAGCATTCCTCTACTTCAGACTCAGGTGACCACTCCTTTTGGTGCCTGCATAGTATCAAATCTTCCCTTCATTTCTGCAACTTGCTCTAAATGGCATGTATTTGCCTGCAATTACTTCTCCTTGATTCATCTTTATGTCCCTGGGTCTAGGGCAGTGCCGTGCAATGGAGGGCACTCTCAGTCAGTGGATCAGAGTCTTCCTCACACCACGATGACTAGTATAAATTCCTAACAATAGGCAAGAGCTCACAGCAGAGTGACTTCTGAAAACGGTTTCATTAACTAATGACCTTGAGGAGGCATTAGCTAGATTCTTGCTTGCCAGTGAATTTGAAGAACCAAAGGTCTTGCCCAGGACATTGAGGTCATAAAATAAATAGCTTCCAAGAGAGCTTTTTTCCAAGTAAATTTTTTTCAGAGAAAAGCTTAGAGGAATACATAAACATCATATCATCTTTTATTTCTCAGTCAGCATGTAATGACATATATCCTTCTCAACACTCAAACTATTTTTTATTTTTTATCATGTTGATGGAAATTTTGTAAAAATGTATCTAAGCTTTGTTGAACAGTATATTCTGAACTTAAATTGGTCTTTTAATTGTATCGCTACATTTGACCTAATTGATTGTGTGGTGCTTTTAATGTTGTGATCAATTCAGAGGTTCTCAAAAGTGCAAGGGTGTGGCCGGGTGTGGTGGCTCATGCCTGTAATCCCAGCACTTTGGGAGGCTAAGGGGGGCGGATCACGAGGTCAGGAGTTTGAGACCAGCCTGGCCAATATGGCGAAACCCCATCTCTACTGAGAATACAAATATTAGCCGGGCGTGCTGGTGGGCGCCTGTAGTCCCAGCTACTTTGGAGGCTGAGGCAGGAGAATCACTTGAACCCAGGAGGTGGAGGTTGCAGTGAGCCGAGATCGTGCCACTGCACTCTAGCCTGGGTGACAGAGTGAGACTCTGTCTCAAAAAAAAAGAAAAAAAAAAAAGTGCAAGGGTGCATTCACAGTCTCCAGATAACTAAGTTTTGAGTTTTATTTTACTTTGAATAGTTTTCCTATCTTCTATTGTGGCTGTCAGTATCTCCACCTACCTATAGTCCCCAGCCAAATATGCTGCTTCTGATTTTCTGGATGCTAGGAATACACCGACTGTTAAGACACTCTGAAAGAATTAATAGTCTTCGAGTGAAGTCCTGATAGGCTCTTCAGGGAGTAGAATTGATGGATTTGTGATAGGCCTGAAGTGTCTCTTGGTATAATGTTTTTGCTTACGTTCAGTTTCTTGGTCTTTATTTAGGTAAGTGTGGTGCTACTCAGTTTATTTAACTAGTTTGCTATGGTGTGTTGCAAAAGTTCTGAATGTTAATGGTCACTTACAAAGTATTTCCAGGGTGTGACTGGCCTATCACATAGTCAGTCATTGTGTTGACATTGTTCCTTCTTTAATTCTTCAAATCTAAGCAATAGGCAGTGACTCATTTCCTCTTAAGATGCTGCTTGGGCAATATATATAGTGAGACCTTATCTCTACAAAAAAATTAAAAATTAGCAGAGCGCGTTGGAGCACAGTTGTAGTCCCAGCTAGCTACATGAGAGGATTGCTTGAGCCCAGGAGGTGGAGACTGCAGTGAGCCTGTGATGCACCACTGCACTCCAGCCTGGGCGACACAGTGTGTCTCTAACAAAACAAAACAATATGCTGCTACCGGAAAGATACTAAGCAAATGAAAACCTTATAGAGCAGTGGTCCCCAACCTTTTTAGCATCAGCAACGGGTTTTGTGGAAGACAGTTTTTTCCCTGGGCAGGGAGGGGGCATGGTTTCAGGATGAAACTGTTCCATCTCAGATCGAGGTATCGTATTCTCATAAGGAGCACGCAACTTAGATCCCTTGCATGCACAGTTCATCACAATAGGGTTCCCGCTCCTATGAGAATCTAATGCCGCCACTGCTCTGACAGGAGGCAGAGCTCAGGCAGTAATGCTGGCTCGCCACCCAACTCCTGCTATGCGGCACAGTTCCTAACAGGCCATGGACCAGTGCCGGTCCACAGCCCAGGGACTGGGGACCTCTGTTATAGAGGAGAAAATAAAAATGCGCAGAAAAGGACAAATACTGTAAAACAAACTTCTAGAAGTTGAAAAAAAATTAACTCTTCTATTCTAATCATAAGCCTATTCCCAACCTCTACTATTCAACTATTTACATCTTAGAGACAGACATTAGCAATACCTAGTTGAAAGAGAACCTAGGCAGAACACCTGATGGATCATTAATAAAATACATAAACATTCCATGTAATGGGCACTTTCCTCATGGTGAAGATCACAATTATAACTGATGAATAGCATAACACAAAAGCTTAAGACCTTCTAATAAAAGAAACACAAACTGGGCATTCTTGGGTATAATAATACCATCTTTAGAACATGACTTAAATTTTTCACACAGCATTCCCTTTAAGATAAATGAGCAAAAAGATTTCCACATAAAGAACCATTGGTAGTTTTAAGGGTACTGAAAATAAGCCTGAGTTAAAACAATTAAATACTTTGAACCATAGGAAAAGCAAAGATCTGCTTCCATATTAAAAAATACAAATTACAGATTATAATAAACATTACAAGTGAGGATATCTGAAGATATTTTATTTCCTTCTGGTGAATGGTAGTAGGAAGATATTTAGAAATGCATACATTCTTAAGCGACTATGTAATTGATGTTCTGCTGTTGAAAAGTTAAAATTCACATGAAACGTTTTAAAAATTTACAATTTAAATGTTTTTTCCTAATTTTCAATCAATACATGCTAATTGATTATTTTCTTAAAATATCAGTTTGAGAAGAGTTCTTAGACTCAATTTTATTGCAATAATTTTTTAAAGTAAAGATCTGTCTTTGGTTTCTTCAACTAAAATAGCAATATAAAATATTCAGTTACATTAGGTTTACCATTTTGCATATTTTGTAAACTATTTTATTTTCTCATAAAAATAATACATTTCATCGTCATATTTGGAAAAAAAATCCACAACACATAAAGAAAAAACATAAAAAAGAATAGACCAGGTGTGATGGCTCACACCTGTAATCCCAGCACTTTGGGAGGCTGAAGCAGGTGGATCACCTGAGGTCAGGAGTTCAAGACCAGCCTGGCCAAAGTGGTGAAACTCCTTCTCCACTAAAAATACAAAAAATTAGCCGGTTGTGGTGGCGGGTCCCTGTAATCCCAGCTACTTGGGAGGCTGAGGCAGGAGAATTGCTTGAACCCAGGAGATGGAGGTTGCAGTCAGCTGAGATCACGGCACTGCACTCCAGCCTGGGCGACAGAGTGCCTATCTCTATAAAATAATTTTAAAATTAGCCAGATGTGGTGGCACATGTCTATAACGCCAGCTACTCAGGGGGCTGAGGTGGAAGGATAGCTTGAGACGGAAGGTCAAGGCTGCAGTGAGCCATGATTGTGCCACTGCACTCCAGCCTGAGTGACCCAATGAGACCCTGTCTCTAAACAAAAACAGAAACAAGGCTGAACATGCCTCTCAGTTTGAATTAATCAATAAATAGAATTCAAATGCATTTTTAGTAATGATATTTATCATATACTAAATGCGTAGTACTGCCAGGTCAACAATTTTTTTTTTTTTTTTTTTTAAGACAGAGTCTCGCTGCGTCGCCCAGGCTGCAGTGCAGTAGCGCGATCTTGGCTCACTGCATCCTCCGCCTCCCAGGCTCAAGTGATTCTCATGCCTCAGCCTCCCGAGTAGCTGGGATTACACGCATGGACCACTGTGCCTGGCTAATTTTTGTATTTTTAGTAGGAGATGGGTTTTGCCATGTTGGCCAGGCTGGTCTCAAATTCCTGGCCTCAAGTGATCTGCCTGCCTCCACCTCCCAAAGTGCTGGGATTACAGGTGTGAGCCACCACACCCAACCCAGGTTAACAATTTTTACAAAATCAGAGTTCAAATTCCTATAATCATGTATACAATTTGGCTAATAAATCTTACAAAAAATTAAAATATGTTCTCCATGTTTATCACAAAACTGACGGTCATGAGTTCTAAGTTTGTCAGTGCATTCCCAATTTCTTCACTAATCAATATTTATTGAACCACCATATGTATAAGATAAGCATACTGAGCACAAAAGACTGTGTCTAAATGAGGCCAAAAGAAATAAAACTACAAACTATATATCATTCAATCAATTAGTTCAGAGGTCGGCAAACTTTTTCTGTAAAAGGCCAGATAGTAAATATTTTAGGCTCTGTGAGCCATAAGGTCTCTCTCACAATGACTCAACTCTGCCATTGTAGCAAGAAGCAGCCATACACTATAGGCAAAGAAATAGGCGCGGCTCTATCCTTGTTGAATGCATAGGATGCAAATAAAACAAAACAAAAAACAGGAATGACTTTCTTCCCTGTGAATTAACTGACTACAAATAATTAAATAAACTATCCAACTATATTGTATATAGTTACCTTCTGGAATTGCAGAAATGGTCTACAAGCTCCTTGGAAGCTGAATTTCATTACTCTGTTGATTCAGATATAGTTCGAATTGCTTTCATTCTTTCAGCATGTTACCATTGATAACTTTTCTTCTGTATATAAAATTTTTGTTTGTTTGTTTCTAGTCTTCTTGAGTTCTAGCAGGAAGCAGAGGGCACACTTAAAGTGTTTAACTTTAGGCTGCTTCAGACAAAAAAAAAGCATTTAAGTGAAAAGAAAGTAATGAAGGAATGATTTAGAGAGGCATGAGAAGGTAAGTGAATGAACATGGGGGCAGGGAACCACCCAAGGATGAACGATAGCAAGGAGCACTTCTCACCCCTAGGCCTGAAGGGGCAAGAGGAGGAAACTGTGCTGCCAGAACCCTGAAAGACCTGGAGCCTTGGAAGAGGAGTCTTTAAATAGGAACTGTGTCCATACAGTGTGGAGCCACTGCCATAATCATGATGCAGAAGAAAGGCAAATAAATATCCCAATCTCTCCATCCTCCTCACTTATATTTCAGGCCAGTGCTTCCCTTCTGGCTGAACCCCCTGGAAGTAAAGAATAAGAAGCCCCATATGATGGTGTCCATAGAGGTCAACCTTCAGGGCACAGAAGACAGTGGGACCAGAAGCCCCAGTAGAAGACTGTGTAGCACAGAGCTGCATGTGAAAGGTGTGGAGAACACCTAGAACCATTTCTGTAGATTTTCTGAAAGTCATATAAGAAGGCAATTATTTTCAATTTAACAGAAGCTTAAGCTTTTGGTAAAATGTCATGAAGAGACAGAGGCAGCTGATAAGAATGTTAAACTGCCATAAAATTTATGGCGTATAGGTCAACATCTATGATCGATTGCTGCAAGGTATTAATTTTTTTTTTTTACAGTGTCTTGCTCTATCACCCAGGTTGGAGTGTAGTGGCATGATCACAGCTCACTGCAGCCTTGATCTCCCAGGCTTAAGCCACCCTCCTACCTCAGCCTCCTGAGTAGCTGGTACTATAGGTGTGTGTCACCATTCCTGGCTAATTTTTTTTTTTTTTAAGAGATGGGGTTTCACTACATTACTCAGGCTGGTCTTCAACACATAGGGTCTAGGGTCAAGTGATCCTCCTGCCCTTGCCTCCCAAAGTGCTGGGATTACAGGTGTGAGCCACTGTGCCTGGCCAACAATTTTATTTTAACCGACAAATATATAGTATCAGTGTCCTGCAGTGTCTTGCAGATAGTATGTGCTCTGTATTAGTGGAATATATAAATTTGTTGAATTAATTAATTTTCAATCATTATGAAATTAACATAGTAGGCCGGGCAGAGTGACTCACACCTATAATCCTAGCACGTTGGGAGGGGAAGGCGGGAGGATCGCTTGAGCCCGAGAACTTGAGACCAGCTTGGGAAACTTGGTGAAACCCCTGCTCTACAAAAAGTACAAAAATTAGCCAGGCATGATGGCATGCACCTGTAGTCCCAGCAACTGGGGACACTGGGGTGGGATGATCACCTGAGTCCAGGAGGTCGAGGCTGCAGTGAGCTGTGATCACACCACTGCACTCCAGCCTGAGCCACAGAGTGAGACCCTGTCTCAAAAAAACAACAACAACAAAAAACAAAACAAAACAAAACAAAAAAAACAAAGGGCCAAAAAGTCTCCTAACAAATCCTTTTTTCTAATCATCAGCTAGATTGCTTATCTTTTGCAATACATTCATCATGTGAGGATTTCGACTCTGAATTAGGAAGAAACTATCTGTGTCATGTATCACAAACTCCTACACACTTTTTATGGAAATTTACTAGTAGACAGACCTCCAAGCTCTGGACTGGATTTATTTCGATCCCAAAAGGCAGCCTACTCTTAGTTTTAGATCTTAACCTCCTCCTTCTGTTTAGTTTAAGACATGGCAGTAGTATATCAATTTTATTATGGTAGCTACAAACAGTTTTGATTTAGTTACAATTTTGAATTACTCAGCTGTCTCAGTCTTTTTTATTTTCACCTTTATTTACTATAACCCTATCTAACTCATGACCGAATTTTTTTTTTTAACAAGGGTCATAAGGACAATGGCCATATTTTTCCTGCAGTGCAATGTGAAAGCATTTTTCTCTTACTCAATTAGCAAGAGCATATCAAATTACATAGAATTGGCAAAACTCAACATGATTTTGTGAAGAGCAAATCCTGCTGAACTAATTTCTTTTTTTTTTTTTAAACCAACTGCAAAACCTGGCAGATGGTATAGCAATGATCACCTCTGCAAAACATCAGCTGTGTCTACTTACTGGTATATACATCATGTGTTTTTAAATGTATTGCAGTGTACAAGTCTGAGGTAGAATCATGAAAGGAATACCTTCTTCTTCCGTCACTGTGTGAACGCTAATCTCAGCAAACAGACATAAATGAGACTGGAATTGGTTATTGAGTATGCCAAGTACACACAGACTGTAGATCATCCCTTGTCTCCAGAGAAGCAGGAAAGTAGAATTCCACCTGGCTTAGAAATAGGTGACCTCGTGCAACCAGGATTTCTCTAAATTGTAAGTAACATAATATCCCTGTACTTCTGCACCAAAGAACCTCCATCTTAACTATACTACAAAAAAAATCTGGCTGCTAAGAGGCAATAGGGAAATTAAAATTCTCCAAAAACATCTATATATTTCAAAAATAATCTTTTGGTAACATCTGATGCTTCCTGATCTTGTGAGAAGCACCATCTACAAGCCTTAGCTGCAATGTCTGTCTAAAATTTTACACAAGGTGTTTTGTCCAATATGAGAACTCTCTATTTAGTTCCTTTTCTTTGTTCATTCAACAAACACACATTATGAGTATTTACTGCATACTAGGCATTGGAGACATGAAGATGAATAAGACATTTCCTTTTGACACATGAACCCTCAGAGACCTTGTAGTCTGCTAAGGAATACAAACTAATTATTCTAAAACAATTCAATCTGTAGTATATGCTATTTGTGGGAGAAACAAGGTTCAATAATGGAAAGTCAAGAAAGTCTCCACAGAAAGATGACTTTTGAGCCAGGCCTTGAGTGATAAGTAAGTGTTTAATGGGGAGTGGAAGTACAGGGAATTTCAGGTGGAAGAACCACCAAAGCAAAGCATCATCAAGGTATAGAAGAGTATATTGTGTCTGAGGAGCCATGAGTAGCTTGACGTGGCTAAAGAAGTTTCCAAATGTGGACAATGGTGAGAAATGAAAGTTAAAGTCATATTAAGAAGAAACCCAAATATCACACTAAAGAACTTGGCCTTTTATCCTATTGGTCGTAGAGTACAACTGAGCTTTAAAAAAAAAAATCAAGGGAATGATATCAGATTTCTCCTTTAGAAGAAATTTCTAGCAGCACTATAGTAGGGGGATTGGAAAGAGGTGAGACTGTAGGCAGAGAAACCAGACAGGAGCTCCTCCTACTAATGTTTTATAGTTTCAACTTCTACTGCTTTTGTTTGTCACAAGTTTAATACTGTCTTTTTTGAACTTTGCTGAGACAGGAGGTTTGAACACTGCCATCAAGTCAGCAACTTGTTCATGTTGCCCTCTATTGGTAGAAAGGAAAAGAAATTACTATCAAGGGCATTATTTCACATTTCATTTGTTGATGGTATTTCGATTTTCCTGAAATAATGTTTGTTATGTTTTGTAACATAAAAAACATATGCTGGCATTATATTACAATTACAGGAATACCTCTGAAATTACACTTCGAGTAGTAAGGGGATAGTGTAGACAGCAACAACCACAGGAGTTCAAAGAGAGAAATGAATATGGTCTAGCCTGGAGACCTCTCTCTAAATTTCACTTACCTCTAATAATATGAATAATCATGTCTTGATTTATCTGCTTAGAATACACATGCAGATATATTTTAAGCAAACAAATTAAGACATCATGATTTTAAGTATAGCCACACCTTGGAGTAGTTTGGTTCTAGACCACTGCAATAAAGCGAATATTGCAATAAAGCAGGAGATACAAATTTTTTGGTTTCCCAGTGCATAAGAAGTTATGTTTATACTATACTGTAGTCTATTAAGTGTGCAGTAGCATTATGTATAAAAAAATATATATACCTGCATTAAAAAATACTCTATTGCTAAAAAATGCTAATGATCATCTGAGCCTTCAATGACCCAAAATTATTTTGCTGGTGGAGGGTCTTATCTTAATGTTGCTGGCTCCTAATCAATCAGAATGGTAGTTATTGAAGGTTAGGGTGGCTGTGGCAATTTCTTCAAATAAGACAGTAATGAAGTGTGCTACATTGATTGGCTCTTCCTTTCACAAAAGAGTTCTTTGTAGCATGAGCTGCTGCTTGATAGCATTGTACCCACAGTAGAACTTCTTTAAAAATTGAGGTCGATCCTCTCAAACCCTGCCATTGCTTTATTCACTAATTTTATGGAATATCCTAAGTTCTTGTCGTCATTTCAACAATGTTCATGGTATCTTCACTTGAGAGTATATTCCATCTCAAGAAACCACTTTCTTTGCTCATCTATCAGAAGTAACTACTCATTCGTTCAAGTTTTATCATGAGATTGCAGCAGTTCAACTACTTCTTCAGGTTCCACTTCTAGTTCTCTTACCATTTCCACCACAGTTACCTCCTCCCCTGAAGTCTTGAACCCCTCAAAGTCAACCATAAGGGTTGGAATAAACTTCTTCCAAACTTCTGTTAATATTAATATTTTGACCTCCTATGAATCGTGGATATTCGAAAAGACATCTAGAATGGTGAACTCTTTCCAGAAGGTATTCAAGGTATTTTTTCCAGAACCATCACAGAAATCACTATCATTGGCAGCTATAGCATATTTCTTAATGTCATATCATGAAATGTATATTTGGGCTTTTTCCCCATTTCCTGGCACACAACTCCTAAAATCCTTGGAATCTCCAAAGTGCTGTCTCTTTGTACGGCTAATATTGAGTAATAGCTTCAGGTTGGGAGTGGTCACTGGAAAGACCAAAGCATGATTAGAGGATAGGGACTTTCAACCCCATCCCCCAACCTCCGGTGAGGGGATAAGGGGACAAAGGTTAATTGAACACCAATGGCCAATGGTTTAATTAATCATGCCTATGTAACGAAACCTCTCTGAAACCCAAAAGAGCAGGATTTGGAGTGCTTCCAGATAGCTGAATATGTGGAGGTTCCTACAGTATGGTGCACTCAGAGAAGACATGGAACCTCCGTGCTCCTTCACCTATACCTCACTGTATACTTCTCTTCATGTGTATCCTTTATAATGTCCTTTATAATAAACCAGTAAATGTATTAATAAATGTTTCCCTGAGTTCGGTGAGCCACTCCAGCAAATCAATTGAACCCAAAGAAGTGGTTGTGGGGACTCCAACTTGAAGACAGTCAGAAGTTCACCAGGCCCAGACTTGTGACTTGTGTCTGAAGCTTGGGGATTAGCCTTGAGGACTGAGCCCTCAACCTGTGGGATCTGATCTGTCTCCAGGTAGTATCAGATTGGTGTTCACTGCTTGTTGGTGGGCAAAAATCCCCACACATTTAGCCACAGAAGCCTTCTGTGTTGATTGTTGTGGTGTGAGAGCAGAGGGAAACAACACTTTGAGACTTTTTCTCCAAACAAATAACAAGATGAAAGTTGAATTATTCCTTGATCTGTGGGCCGCAGAATGGATGTTGTGTTAGCAGGCAGGAAAACATTAATCTCCTTGTATACCTCCAGCAGGGCTCTTAGATGACCAGGTACATTGTCAGTGAGCAATGTTATTTTTATTTATTTACTTATTTATTTTAGATGGAATCTTGCTCTGTTGCCCAAGCTGGAGTGCAATGGTGCAATCTCAGCTCACTGCAACCTCTGCCTCCCTGGTTCAAGCGATTCTCCTGCCTCAGCCTCTCGAGTAGCTGGGATTACAGGCACACGCCACTACGCCATGCTAATTTTTGTATTTTTAGTAGAGATGGGGTTTCACCATGTTGGTCAGGTTGGTCTCGAACTCCTGGCCTCATGATCCACCCGCCTCAGCCTCCCAAAGTGCTGGGATTACAGGCGTGAGCCACTGCACTGGGCCCTAGCAATGTTATTTTGAAAGGAATCTTTTTTTTCCTGAGCAGCAGGTCTCAACAGTGGGCTTATAATATTCGGTAAACCATGCTGTAAACAGATGTGCTGTCAGGTGGACTTTGGTGCTCCTTTAATAGAGCACAGGCAGAGTAGATTTAGTATAATTCTTTCTTTTTTTTAACTAGGCAAAGAACTTTATTAACCTTTGTTTCAAACTTGATTCCCAAGTTTCTTTGGTTTAATTAGCTGCAAAGAATGAACTGTGTATAAGCAAAAACTGAAAAGAGCTGCAGTGTCCAAGGGGCTTGGGCTTAAAAATATTAGAGATCTAGATTTTATCAGATCCATAAACAAAAATTTCTTAAAAAGCAGTCATAATATAAAATAGCAGCTCCCAGTAACTTTAAGTTTTATCTTCAGAAGTTGACTCAATTCAGTTTGCCCCATTCTTGGAAGCCTCTTCAAATTTCTCCACAAGATCTGGAACTTCATCATCATCATCCTCGCCAGTAGCAAGTGGTGCTTTTCCATCCACAGATTGTTGGGCAGAGCTTCATCCAGTCTCCTTAAATTAGTCAGACTGCCTGTACCAAGCTGGTTTAAGATGCTGGGTAGCATTTCTGCCAGCTGCTTTATCTGAGCATGGCCTGTAACGGTGAAAGTGTTCGCTGCCAGAGATGCCTGAACTTTAGGGTTGTTAAAGTGGTTACTGTTCCTTGGTTTGTAAACATATTCACCTCTTCAATACCAGAGATATTGTTTACCCCTAACTTCTTTAAGGAGAATTGAAGTTTTTTATCATCTGCTGCGGCTGCTCTATGAACCACCTTCTTTCTGCAAGCAGTTCTTTCCCACCAATGCGCACTTGTGCCTGCAGTTTGCGAGTTTTTCCTGGTTCATGATTGCTTCTTTCATCTTGTCGGAGTGGATAAGGGGCCACCCGGGGGACTAGGGTTGGTGCTCAGGGGGTCTTGGGTGGACCAGCTGAGATTGGGTGTACACACCAATTTAGCGTAATTCTTAAGGGCCTTATAATTTTTGGAATGCTAAATGAGCATCGGCTTCAAGTTAAAGTCACCATCTGCATTAGCCCCCACCAAGAAAGTCAGTCTGTTCTTTGAAGCTAGGCATTGACTTCTCTCTAGCTTTGAAAGTCCTAGATGGCATCTTCCTCTGATAGAGGGCTATTTTGTATACATTAAAAATCTGTTATTTAGTGTAGCCACCTTGATCAATAATCTTAGCTAGGTCTTCTGGATAATTTGCTGCAGCTTCTGTATTAACACTTGCTGTTCACCTTGCACTTTCATGTTATGGAGACAGCTTCTTCATGAAATTTCATGAACCAACCTCCACTACCTTCCAACTTTTCTTTTGCAGCATGCTTACCTGTCTCAGCTTCACAGAACTGAAGAGAGTTAGGGCCTTGCTAACTTTCTTGCCTTAAGTTAAGGGAATGTTGTGGCTGGTTTGATCTATCCAGACCGCTAAAACTTTCTCCATATTGGCAACAGCCTTTCTCACTTTCTCACATTCTCACTTTCTTATTTGCGTGTTAATTTCTTTCAAGAACATTTCTTAGACTTAGTGCAGTGGCTCATGCCTGTAATCCCAGCACTTTAAGAGGCCAAGGTGGGCACATTGCTTGAGCCCATGAGCTTTTGACCACCCTGAGCAACATGCGGAGACCCAGTCTCTATAAAAAATTTAAAAATTAGCCAGGCATGGTGGCTTACGTCTGTGGTCCTAACTACTTGGGGTAGGCCAAAGTAGGAAGATGGCTTGAGCTCCGGAGGTCAAGGCTACAGTGAGCCATCATCATGCTACTGCATTCCAGCCTAGGTGACGGAGAATACCCTGTCTCAAAAAAAAAAAAAAAAAAAAAAAAAAGAACTTTTCCTTTTCATTCACAACTTGACTGTTTGGCATAAGAGGCTAGCTTTTGGCCTATCTTGGCTTTTAACATGCCTTGAGAAGATGACAACTAACATTAATCTTAGTTGTAAAATTAATCATTCCTGGCTTTTGATTTAAAGTGAGAGACATCCAACTCTTTCTTTCATTTGAATACTCAGAGGCTGTTGTAGGGTTATTAAGTAGATTAATTTTAATATTGTTGTCTCACATGAAGGCCAGAGGAGAGAGACAGAGACGGGATAATAGCTAGTTGGTGGGACAGTCAGAACACACACAACCTTTATTGAGTAAGTTTACCATGTTATATGGATGTGGTTTATGGTGCCCCAAAACAATTAAAATAGTAACATCAGAAATCAGTGATCAAAGCCAGCCATTGTGACATATGCCTATAGTCCCACCTACTCATGAGGCTGAGGCAGAAGGATCACTTGAGGCCAAGAGTTTGAAGCCTTGGCCTCCCAAAGTGCTGCAATTACAGACACAAGTCACCATACCAAGCCTGAAGAGTCTATTACGTATTAAATAACTTAAATGTATTATTATAAACCTTCCCACAAATAAAACCTCAGTCCCACATGGTTTCACTGGTACGTTCTTCCAAACATTTAAGGAAGAAA
Organism: Homo sapiens; assembly: GCF_000001405.40. Classification (NCBI taxonomy): domain Eukaryota; kingdom Metazoa; phylum Chordata; class Mammalia; order Primates; family Hominidae; genus Homo; species Homo sapiens. The sequence goes on from NC_000002.12 coordinate 55,437,253, forward strand.
TAACACTAAGCTTACATATATTTTGGAGAAAGAATAATAGTACCCCAAAGATGTACACCTCCTAATCCCTGAAAACTGAATATGTTACTTTTCAAGGGGAAAAAGGCTTTGCAGATGTGACTACATTAAAGATCTTGGGATGGAAAGAGTATCCTGGATTATCCAGGTGGGCTCAGTGCAATCACAGGGGCCCTTATAAAAGGAAATAATGTGTCAGAGAGTGAGAGAAATTTGAAGATGTTATACTGTCAACTTGGAAGATAGAAGATCTTCAAAGGGATCATGAATCTTGAAATATAGATAGCTTCTAGAAGTAGAAGCTGGAAAAGGCAAGGAAACAGATTTTCCCTCAGAACCTCCAGAAGGAATACAGCCTGCTAACCTATTTTAGACTTCTGACCTCCAGAACTGAAAGATAATATATATGCAGTGTTGCAGGCTACTAACTTTGTGGTAATTTGTTACAGCAGCAATAGGAAACTAATGCTGGTGGCAGCAGCGGCCCATCTAGACTGGCTGCTGCCATGATGGCTGCAGGAGGGAGGTGCTGCCCAAGTCTCCCTGGGTGCCACCACAGCTACTCTGGTGCAGGTCCAGACCCCAGCATCTCTGTGGTCTTGGGTGCCCAGGAAGACCTCCCTTCCCCCTGCAGGCTCAGAAGTGCTTGCTCTCATTGCCTGGTTTCTCCTGCTGTCAGTGCCTGCTCCCATCTCGGAGGTGTGGCTGGGACTGCACATTCCATGGAGCTGGCGGGAGCTGGGGACAAATGGGAGCCTCACCCCTTCCGAGTTAGTGAGGCAGGATCTCCCTGGGTGCAGCTGCAGCTGCCCAAGCCTAGCTTTGGAACTGGGCATCTCTGTGCTCTTGGGGGCCCAGGAAGGCCCCCCACAGGAACAAAGTGCCTGCTCCCACTGCCTGGCTTCTCCCTGCTCCCAGTACCCACTGCAATTGTGGAGCAAGGTTGGGGCCGAGCCCAGGCACTGTCACAGCCCAGCCAGGTGGGCACATGATTGGGGCAGCCCTGACATGCCAGCCCCCTGCTGCCTCAGTCCCCTCCGGACTTTGGGCACCCACGAGTGCGGGAGGGAAGCCGAGGGGAGGCTGAGGGCAGCTCAGCATTGGCTTGCAGGTGTCCCTTGGCATGAATAGCCTGTGAAACACGAACAGCAGCCGGAGGCAGACAGGTTCCTGGGCAGAAGGGGGCAGGAAGCTGGTGAAGCCCCACCTTTACACAGGGGAAGGCCTCAAAGCTGGGGGCTGGGCTGCCACTCCTGTGTACTGGAGGCAGAACTCATGGCGCCTTTTCCTGGGCTCACCCATGGCTGCTCGTGGACCTATCAGCATGCATTTCACCCCTCTGAAGACCATAAAAACCCCTAGACTCAACCACAGCAGGGCAGACACTGGGAAAACCAGCTGCAGAGAGGAGCTATCTTCTCCAGGGCCTCCTCTCCACTGAGAGCTGCAGACGCTGGAATGACCAGCTACAGAGAGGAGCCACCCTCTCTGCTAAGGGCTGAATGTTTATCAGGACGACCTGCCTGCAGACAGGAGTCACCCACTACAGGTCTCCTCTGAGCTGTTCTAACACTCAATGAAGCTCGTATTCATCTTGCTCACCCTCCACTTGTCTGTGTACCTCATTCTTCCTGGACACAGGACAATAACGTGGGCAAAGGTGCCACTGACCACAGAGATTTCTGGCCAGAAAAGTAATACCCCAAAGGTCCTGTAACAATACAGTATATATTTTCAAAGAATAAAAAAAGAGAAAACATTTTCTAACTCTTTATATAAAGCTAATATAACCTTGATTTTTTTTCCTTTCTTCCTTCTTTCTTTCTTTCTTTCTTTCTTTCTTTCTTTCTTTCTTTCTTTTTCTCTCTCTCTCTCTCTTTTTTTTTTTTTAAGTTTTTTCTATTGCCCAGGCTGGAATGCAGTGGTGCAATCACTACTCACTGCAGCCTTGACCTCTTGGGCTCAAGCGAGCCTCCCACCTAAGCCTCCTGAATAGCTGGGACTACAGGTGTGCACCATCATGCCTGGTTAATTTGTTTTTAAATTTTTCTTGTTTTAGCTATGGGGTCTTGTTATGTTGCCCAAGCTCCTCTCAAGCTCCTGGGCTCAAGCAGTCCTCCCACCTCAGCCTCCCAAAGTACTGGGATTACAGGCATGAACTGCCACACCCAGCCAAGAGCTGGATTTTACATAATATAATGCCAAATGGTTCCAATTTGATCTTTTTTTTAAAAAGAAATAGTTAAGGGAACTTTTTTTTTTTTTACTTTTCAGTTTGTAAATTTTCAAACATACGTAAAAATTGAGAAAATAGTATAATAAACCCATGACTTAGCTTTAACAGTGGTCACTATTTTGCTTTATTATTTACACATCCCTCCCCCACTTTTTATCTCCTTTTGCTGATGTACTTTATTTTCATTTTTATTTTTTTAAGACAGAGTCTCACTCTGTTGCCCAGGCTGAAGTGCAGTGGTGCAATCTTTGCTCACTGCAACCTCTGTCTCTTGGATTCAATCAATTCTTGTGCTTCAGCCTCCCAAGTAGTTGGGATTACAGGCATGGGCCACCACATCCAGCTAATTTTTGTATTTTCAGTACAGATGGGGTTTTGCCATGTTGGCCAGGCTGGTCTTGAACTCCTGGCTTCAAGCGATCATTCTGCCTTGACCTCCCAAAGTGTTGCAGTTACAGGTGTGAGCCACAGCACCTGGCCTTGCTGATGTACCTTAAAGCAAACCTCAGACATGCCATTTCAGCCATAAATACTTCCAGTATGCATCTCTAATGCATAAGGACTTTTTTCATAGAAACTTTTGAAATCTTCAAAAGTGATGTTTAAATGTGTCTGAATGATTCATCAGTAAATGTTTTAAAAAATAAGAAAATAGTCCAGGTGTAGTGGCTCACACCCATAATCCCAGCACTTTAGAAGGCCAAGGCAGGTGGATCACCTGAAGTCAGAAGTTCAAAACCAGCCTGGCTGACATGGAGAATCCTCATCTCTACAAAAATACAAAAATTAGCTGGGCATGGTGGTGGGCACCTGTAATCCCAGCTACTCGGGAGGCTGAGGCTGGAGAATCACTTGAACCCGGGAGGCAGAGGTTGCAGTGAGCCGAGATTGTGCCACTTCACTCCAGCCTGGGTGAGAGAGCGAGACTCCATCTAAAAAAAAAAAAAAAAGAAAGCAAACATGGAGAAAGTCAATTGGTCAATCCAACTGAAAGGTATACAGGTGTTCCTTTGTACTATTCATGTAATTTTTCTATAGAAATTTTTCAATGAAAAATTGTTTATTCAACAAGTGTTTTCCTTTAGCACTTTCGGTTCATCAGTACCTAGTTAACAATTTTTTTTGTCTGAAACTGAGTTTCGCTCTTGTTGCCCAGGCTGGAGTGTAATGGCAGGATCTTGGGTCACTGCAATTCTGCCCTCCCAGGTTCAAGCGATTCTCCTGCCTCAGCCTCCCAGTAGCTGGGATTACAAGTATGCGCCACTACGCCCAGCTAATTTTGTATTTTTAGAAGCGATAGGGTTTCACCATGTTGGCCAGGCTGGTCTTGAGCTCCTGACCTCAAGTGATCCGCCTGCCTCAGCCTCCCAAAGTGCTGTGTACAGTGTGAGCCACCATGCCTCGCCAGCAATTCTTTACATAAACAATTACAATTTTTGATAATTAGTTTTTTGTTGTTGTTGTTTTTGATGGAATCTCGCTGTCTCACCCAGGCTGGAGTGCAGTGTTGCAATCTTGGCTCACTGCAACATCTGCCTCCTAGGTTCAAGTGATTCTTCAGCCTCAGCCTCCCGAGTAGCTGGGATTACAGGCATCCACCACCATGCCCAGATTTTTTTTTTTTTTTTTTTTTTTAGTAGAGACGAGGTTTCACCAAGTTGGCCAGGCTGGTTTAGAACTCCTTACCTCAAGTGATCCACATGCCTCAGCCTCCCAAAGTGCTAGGATTACAGGCATGAGCCACCGTACCCCACCTCAAATTAATTTTGAAAATACAACTGATGTGAGCTCTGCCTCTTGAGAGCTGGCATGAGCATTAAAGGAAATGTATTATAAAGATTTGAATGCGTCTTGTGGAATCCCACAGCAGAAGTCCTCAAAAAGAGCATGAGATAAGAAAATGGTTATCAACTAGGATCCCAGGAAGTGCCTTCTCATATCTTGTCCCTGCTTCTCTGGTCTCATCTCTCTGCCTTGCAATTGTCTCTACTTTTCAATTCATACATCGGGTTACAGTTGTACCTCAGCTTTGAAGTTTTAAAATTTCCATCACTCAGGAGAATAGCTCAGTCTGAATAAGAATATTATGGTCCCAGTTTCAAATTCCTGGTAGAAAGAATCTGATGTCACAGGTTGGGTCAGATGTCCACACGTGGTCTGATTATCTGTGACCAAGGAATGATGTCATATAGTAGAGATATGGTTGTCTGGAGCCTCTCTAAGGAGGAGGAAGCAAACTAGGTCTTTGTGAGATAAGCCAACACTCAAAAAGGAGCTAATACAATTGTTGAGTGGAAAAAAAAAAAAGAGTCATGTACAATGCAATTCCGTTTCTGTAAAACAAATCAAAACAAAGCTCTATCTATATACAAATATGTCTATTGCTAATACATATATTAGAAGAGTCTGGAAAGACTTGTAAACAGGAATATATATATTAATATATATTTTTAAAGTTTTCATTATGAAATATTTTAGACTTACACATGAATAGCAAAAATAGTGCAAAGAATTCTTGTACACTCTTCACCCAACTTCTCCAAATGTTTAATCTTACATAATTGAGTAAAATGATCAAAATCAAGAAAATAACACTAGTAGGGTGGAGCCAAGATGGCCGAATAGGAACAGCTCCGGTCTATAGCTCCCAGCGTGAGTAATGCAGAAGACAGGTGATTTCTGCATTTCCATCTGAGGTACCGGGTTCGTCTCACTAGGGAGTGACAGACAGTGGGCGCCGGACAGTGGATGCAGCGCACCGTGCGCGAGTCGGAGCGGGGCGAGGCATTGCCTCACTCGGGAAGCACAAGGGGTCAGGGAGTTCCCTTTCCTAGTCAAAGAAAGGGGTGACAGATGGCACCTGGAAAATCGGGTCACTCCCACCCCGATACTGCGCTTTTCCGACCAGCTTAAAAAACGGCGCACCAGGAGATTATATCCCGCACATGGCTCAGAGGGTCCTACGCCCATGGAGTCTTGCTGATTGCTAGCACAGCAGTGTGAGATCAAACTGCAAGGCGGCAGCGAGGCTGGGGGAGGGGCGCCCGCCATTGCCGAGGCTTGCTTAGGTAAACAAAGCAGCCGGGAAGCTTGAACTGGGTGGAGCCCACCACAGCTCAAGGAGGCCTGCCTGCCTCTGTAGGCCCCACCTCTGGGGGCAGGGCACAGACAAATAAAAAGACAGCAGTTACCTCTGCAGACTTAAATGTCCCTGTCTGACAGCTTTGAAGAGAGCAGTGGTTCTCCCAGCATGCAGCTGGAGATCTGAGAATGGGCAGACTGCCTCCTCAAGTGGGTCCCTGACCCCCAAGCAGCCTAACTGGGAGGCACCCCCCAGTAGGGGCAGACTGATACCTCACACGGCCAGGTACTCCTCTGAGATAAAACTTGCAGAGGAACGATCAGACAGCAGCATTCACAGTTCACGAAAATCCACTGTTCTGCAGCCACTGCTGCTGGTACCCAGGCAAACAGGGTCTGGAGTGGACCTCTAGAAAACTCCAACAGACCTGCAGCTGAGGGTCCTGTCTGTTAGAAGGAAAACTAACAAACAGAAAGGACATCCACACCAAAAACCCATCTGTACATCACCATCATCAAAGACCAAAAGTAGATAAAACCACAAAGATGGGGAAAAAACAGAGCAGAAAAACTGGAAACTCTAAAAAGGAGAGCGCCTCTCCTCCTCCAAAGGAACGCAGCTCCTCACCAGCAATGAAACAAAGCTGGACGGAGAATGACTTTGACGAGTTGAGAGAAGAAGGCTTCAGACGATCAAACTACTCCGAGCTACAGGGGAAATTCAAACCAAAGGCAAAGAAGTTGAAAACTTTGAAACAAATTTAGACGAATGTGTAACTAGAATAACCAACACAGAGGAGTGCTTAAAGGAGCTGATGCAGCTGAAAGCCAAGGCTCGAGAACTACGTGACGAATGAAGAAGCCTCAGGAGCCAATACGATCAACTGGAAGAAAGTGTATCAGTGAGGGAAGATGAAATGAATGAAATGAAGCGAGAAGGGAATTTAGAGAAAAAAGAATAAAAAGAAACGAACAAAGCCTCCAAGAAATATGGGACTATGTGAAAACACCCAGTCTACGTCTGATTGGCGTACCTGAAAGTGATGGGGAGAATGGAACCAAGTTGGAAAACACTTTGCAGGATATTATCCAGGAGAACTTCCCCAGTCTAGTAAGGCAGGCCAACATTCAGATTCAGGAAATACAGAGAACGCCACAAAGATACTCCTCGAGAAGAGCAACTCCAAGACACATAATTGTCTGATTCACCAAAGTTGAAATGAAGGAAAAAATGTTAAGGGCAGCCAGAGAGAAAGGTCGGGTTACCCACAAAGGGAAGCCCATCAGACTAACAGCAGATCGCTTGGCAGAAACGCTACAAGCCAGAAGAGAGTGGGGGCCAATATTCAACATTCTTAAAGAAAAGAATTTTCAACCCAGAAATTCATATCCAGCCAAACTAAGCTTCATAAGTGAAGGAGAAATAAAATACTTTACAGACAAGCAAATGCTGAGAGATTTTGTCACCACCAGGCCTGCCCTAAAAGAGCTCCTGAAGGAAGCACTAAACATGGAAAGGAACAACCGGTACCAGCCACTGCAAAATCATGCCAAATTGTAAAGACCATCAAGGCTAGGAAGAAACTGCATCAACGAACGAGCAAAACAACCAGCTAACATCATAATGACAGGATCAAATTCACACATAATAATATTAACTTTAAATATAAATGGACTAAATGCTCCAATTAAAAGACACAGACTGGTAAATTCGATAAAGAGTCAAGACCCATCAGTGTGCTGTATTCAGGAAACCCATCTCACAAGCAGAGACACACATAGTCTCAAAATAAAAGGATGGAGGAAGATCTATCAAGCAAATGGAAAACAGAAAAAGGCAGGGTTTGCAATCCTAGTCTCTGATAAAGCAGACTTTAAACCAACAAAGATCAAAAGAGACAAAGAAGGCCATTACATACTGGTAAAGGGATCAATTCAACAAGAAGAGCTAACTATCCTAAATATATATGCACCCAATACAGGAGCACCCAGATTCATAGAGCAAGTCCTGAGTGACCTACAAAGAGACTTAGACTCCCACACAATAATAATGGGAGACTTTAACACCCCACTGTCAACATTAGACAGATCAACGTGACAGAAAGTTAACAAAGATACCCAGGACTTGAACTCAGCTCTGCACCAAGTGGACCTAATAAACATCTACAGAACTCTCCACCCCAAATCAACAGAATATACATTTTTTTAAGCACCACACCACACCTATTCCAAAATTGACCACATAGTTGGAAGTAAAGCTCTCCTCAGCAAATGTAAAAGATCAGACATTATAACAAACTGTCTCTCAGACCACAGTGCAATCAAACTAGGACTCAGGATTAAGAAACTCACTCAAAACCGCTCAACTACATGGAAACTGAACAACCTGCTCCTGAGTGACTACTGGGTACATAACGAAATGAAGGCAGAAATAAAGATGTTCTTTGAAACCAACGAGAACAAAGACACAACATACCAGAATCTCTGGGACACATTCAAAGCAGTGTGTAGAGGGAAATTTATAGCACTAAATGCCCACAAGAGAAAGCAGGAAAGGTCCAAAATTGACACCCTAACATCACAACTAAAAGAACTAGAAAACAAGAGCAAACACATTCAAGAGCTAGCAGAAGCCAAGAAATAACTAAAATCAGAGCAGAACTGAAGGAAATAGAGACACAAAAAACCCTTCAAAAAATTAATGAATCCAGGAACCGGTTTTTTGAAAGGATCAACAAAATTGATAGACCACTAGCAAGACTAATAAAGAAGAAAAGAGAGAAGAATCAAATAAATGCAATAAAAAATGATAAAGGGGATATCACCACCGATCCCACAGAAATACAAACTACCATCAGAGAATACTACAAACACCTCTACGCAAATAAACTAGAAAATCTAGAAGAAATGGATAAATTCCTCGACACATACACCCTCCCAAGACTAAACCAGGAAAAAGTTGAATCTCTGAATAGACCAATAACAGGCTCTGAAATTGTGGCAATAATCAATAGCTTACCAACCAAAAAGAGTCCAGGACCAGATGGATTCACAGCCGAATTCTACCAGAGGTACAAGGAGGAACTGGTACCATTCCTTCTGAAACTATTCCAGTCAATAGAAAAAGAGGGAATCCTCCCTAACTCATTTTATGAGGCCAGCATCATCCTGATACCAAAGCCTGGCAGAGACACAACAAAAAAAGAGAATTTTAGACCAATATCCTTGATGAACATTGATTCAAAAATCCTCAATAAAATACTGGCAAACCGAATCCAGCAGCACATCAAAAAGCTTATCCACCATAATCAAGTGGGCTTCATCCCTGGGATGCAAGGCTGGTTCAATATATGCAAATCAATAAATGTAATCCAGCATATAAACAGAACCAAAGATAAAAACCACATGATTATCTCAATAGATGCAGAGAAGGCCTTTGACAAAATTCAACACTTCATGCTAAAAACTCTCAATAAATTAGGTATTGATGGGATGTATCTCAAAATAATAAGAGCTATCTAGGACAAACCCACAGCCAATATCATACTGAATGAGCAAAAACTGGAAGCATTCCCTTTGAAAAGTGGCACAAGACAGGGATGCCCTCTCTCACCACTCCTATTCAACATAGTGTTGGAAGTTCTGGCCAGGGCAATTAGGCAGGAGAAGGAAATAAAGGGTATTCAATTAGGAAAAGAGGAAGTCAAATTGTCCCTGTTTGCAGATGACATGATTGTATATCTAGAAAACCCCATTGTCTCAGCCTAAAATCTCCTTAAGCTGATAAGCAACTTCAGCAAAGTCTCAGGATACAAAATCATTGTACAAAAATCACAAGCATTCTTATACACCAATAACAGACAGACAGCCAACTCATGAGTGAACCCTCATTCACAATTGCTTCAAAGAGAATAAAATACCTAGGAATCCAACTTACAAGGGATGTGAAGGACCTCTTCAAGGAGAACTACAAACCACTGCTCAATGAAATAAAAGAGGACACAAACAAATGGAAGAACATTCCATGCTCATGGGTAGGAAGAATCAATATTGTGAAAATGTCCATACTGCCCAAGGTAATTTATAGATTCAATGCCATCCCCATCAAGCTACCAATGACTTTCTTCACAAAATTGGAAAAAACTACTTTAAAGTTCATATGGAACTAAAAAAGAGCCTGCATCGCCAAGTCAATCCTAAGCCAAAAGAACAAAGCTGGAGGCATCATGCTACCTGACTTCAAACTATACTACAAGGCTACAGTAACCAAAACAGCATGGTACTGGTACCAAAACAGAGAGATAGATCAATGGAACAGAACAGAGCCCTCAGAAATAACGCCACATATCTACAACTATGTGATCTTTGACAAACCTGAGAAAAACAAGCAATGGGGAAAGGATTCCCTATTTAATAAATGGTGCTGGGAAAACTGGCTAGCCATATGTAGAAAGCTGAAACTGGATCCCTTCCTTACACCTTATACAAAAATTAGTTCAAGATGGATTAAAGACTTACATGTTAGACCTAAAACCATAAAAACCCTAGAAGAAAACCTAGGCATTACCATTCAGGACATAGGCATGGGCAAGGACTTCATGTCTAAAACACCAAAAGCAATGGTAACAAAAGCCAAAATTGACAAATGAGATCTAATTAAACTAAAGAGCTTCTGCACAGCAAAAAAAACTACCATCAGAGTGAACAGGCAACCTACAACATGGGAGAACATTTTCGCAACCTACTCATCTGACAAGGGGCTAATATCCAGTATCTACAATGAACTCAAACAAATTTACAAGAAAAAAACAAACAACCCCATCAAAAAGTGGGCTAAGGGTATGAACAGACACTTCTCAAAAGAAGACATTTATGCAGCCAAAAAACACATGAAAAAATGCTCACCATCACTGGCCATCAGAGATATGCAAATCAAAACCACAATGAGATACCATCTCACACCAGTTAGAATGGCAATCATTAAAAAGTCAGGAAACGACAGGTGCTGGAGAGGATGTGGAGAAATAGGAACACTTTTACACTATTGGTGGGACTGTAAACTAGTTCAACCATTGTGGAAGTCAGTGTGGCCATTCCTCAGGGATCTAGAACTAGAAATACCATTTGACCTAGCCATCCCATTACTGGGTATATACCCAAAGGACTATAAATCATGCTGCTATAAAGACACATGCACACATATGTTTATTGCGGCACTATTCACAATAGCAAAGACTTGGAACCAACCCAAATGTCCAACAATGATAGACTGGATTAAGAAAATGTGGCTGGAGTGCAGTGGCGGGATCTCGGCTCACTGCAAGCTCCGCCTCCCGGGTGGGCGACAGAGCGAGACTCCGTCTCAAAAAAAAAAAAAAAAAAAAAGAAAATGTGGCACATATACACCATGGAATACTATGCAGCCATAAAAAATGATGAGTTCATGTCCTTTGTAGGGACATAGATGAAATTGGAAATCATCATTCTCAGTAAACTATCGCAAGAACAAAAAACCAAACACCGCATATTCTCACTCATAGGTGGGAATTGAACAATGAGAACACATGGACACAGGAAGGGGAACATCACACTCTGAGGACTGTTGTGGGGTGGGGGGAGGGAGGAGGGATAGCTTTAGGAGATATACCTAATGCTAAATGACGAGTTAATGGGTGCAGCACACCCGCATGGCACATGTATACATATGTAACTAACCTGCACATTGTGCACATGTATCCTAAAACTTAAAGTATAATAATAATAAAATAAAAAATAAAAAAAGAAAATAACCCTAGTAAATGCCACTAATTCATCTATGAACTGTATTTAAATTTTGTCAACTGTCCCTATGTGCCCCTTTTCCTGGATCAGGATGCTATCAAAGATCACACAATGCATTTATTTATCTTCTTACTCTTTAATCTATGATAGTTTCTTAATCTTTCTTTATCTTGTGTGACCTTCACAATTCTGAAGAGTGTATACCCATAGTTTTGTAGAGTGTCCCTCACTTTGGATTTGTCTGATGTTTCTTTTTGATTAAATCAGGTTATATATGTTGGCCTCATGACTGCAATATTAACTTGGATCACTTGATTAAGGTGGTGTCTGCCAGACTTCTCTACTGTAACATTATTTTTCCCTTTGCCATTTAATAAATATCTTCTGGGGAGATACTGTGACACTATATAAAAAATCCTGTTTCTCCTTTTAGCCCACCAATTTTAGCATTTGTGAATGACTCTTGCCTGAAACAATTTTTACTATAGTATCTGGCAAATGGTAATTTTGTTTCCATCACTTCTTCATCATTTATTACTTGGAATTCTACTGTAAAGAAGAACTTCCACCACTCTCCCAGTGATTTATTTATTCAACTTGTTATCACTCTGGACATAGGGATATTTGTTTTATTCCACGAGTTACAACTTATTACTATCATTATTTATTTTGTTGCTTAAATTGTCCCAGATTTGTCTTGGGATCCCCTTCAAGTTGGCTCCTATGTTTCTTCAACATGCCCCATCATTTTTCCAGCATTTACTTTTTGACATCATGACATGTTCCAGGCGGATCTTGGTTTTTCTCTGTTCCAGTCCTGGAACCAGACATTTCTTCCAAAAGTTCTGGCTTTTCTTTTCTTTTTTTCTTTTTTTTTTTTTTGAGATGGAGTCTTGCTCCGCTGCCCAGGCTGGAGATGACGCGACCTGGGCTCACTACAACCTCCACCTCACGGGATGAAGCGATTCTCGTGCCTCAGCCTCCAAAGTAGCTGGGACTATAAGCTGGGACTAAAGACGTGCGCAACCACAACCGGCTATTGTTTGGTATTTTTAGTAGAGATGAGGTTGTGCCATGTTGCCAAGGCTGGTCTGGAAATCCTGAGCTCAAGTGATCCTCCCACCTTGGCCTTCCAAAGTGCTAGGATTATAGGTGTGAACCAATGCCCCCGGCTGCCCTGATTTCTTTCCTTTTCTTTTTTTTCTTTCATAAAATTGCACATATAAAACAAGATCTGGCATCAAGTATGTTCATTGCTAGTGATATGCCAATACCTGGAGGTAGGTAATATTTTATCTGCATTTCATAGAAAAGAAGGTGAGGCATGAAGAGGTTAATGCGGCTAATTATTTATTAGGTGCTAGAGCCAATATTTTGACCCAAGCAATCTGACTCTAGAATTCATGCTTTTGTTGTTTTTGTTTTTTTGAGACAGTCTCCCTCTGTCGCCCAGGCTGGAGTGTAATGGCATGACCTCGGCTCACTGCAACTTCCGATTCCCAGGTTCAAGCGATTCTCCCTGCCTCAGACTCCCAAGTAGCTGGGATTACAGGCATGCACCAGCACACCCAGCTAATTTTTGTATTTTTAGTAGAGACAGGGTTTCGCCATGTTGGCCAGGCTGGTCTTGAACTCCTAACCTCAGGCTATCTGCCCGCCTCGGCCTCCGAAATTGTTGGGATTACAGGCATGAGCCACCATGCCCAGCCTCTTAAAAGCTTTTTAGTAATTGAGAGAAGTGGAAAAATCATGGTGTCCACATTGCATGTGGTCACTACTTGACCTGGCACTTTATATCTGACAGACACTATGTGGAGTGAGCTATTACCAGCAATCTGTTCATGCTACCCTCCAGTAGGCACAGCACATAGGATATGTTCCAACTAGGCCATAGGTCTCCTCAAGAGCTAAACACTACATATGACATTTGTTGAATCATTTTACTGTCCACAAGACAGAGATATATTTATCAGGGGCCTCATTCACCTGGAAAGTCTCTGAGCTTCTTACCTATAGGTGGTGATTAAATGGGTAAACAAACTGTTTTTCCTAGTCCCAAATTCACCCGATTATAATTAAGGAAAGTCATTTTGTTTGCAACATTCACTGCTATAGCATATTGGCGGCTTTTTTAAAAATCAATGTTAGCCTACATTTGCTTATAAAAATCTTCAGGTTTCCATTTTAGTGGTATCGCTTGAGGAAAAAAATCCAGAAAATTCTGATGCCAGCTATTCTACATGGTCCCCTCTACTGAAAAATATAAAGTGGATCAAAGTTTATATACTACTAAATCTTAATGCATAGAAAGCTTGAATATTTCTTGTTTTTCATAACATCCAATTTAACACACATAAGCCAAAGATCCCAAGTATAGAAAGGCAGGAAAAAGAGAACAGGAAGGGCAGAGGGGGCTGTGGCAACTACAGTTTTGGGCAGTTTGGTAACACCCCTTCTTCTGCTGCTGCTTTAATAAGGTATAATTGACAAATTTGAATTGTATATATTTAAGGTGTACCATTTGATATTTTGATACATATGTGCATTGTGGAATAATCACCAGAATCAAGCTAACTAACCATCACCTGACATACTTATGTTTTTGTGTGTGTACATGATGAGAACACTTCAGATAAAATATACGGAATGCTTAGCAAATTTTCATGACATCCTTGTGCAAGGGCCTTGCTAATCTTCTCTGCATTGTTCCTATCTTATTTTATTTAATTAATTTATTTATTTTTGAGACAAGGTCTCACTTTGTCACCCAGGCTGGAGTGCAGTGGCGCAATCTTGGCTCACTGCAACCTCTTCCTCCTGGGTTCAAGCGATTCTCCTGCCTCAGTCTCCTGAGTAGCTGGGATCACACGCACGCACCATGACGCCCAGCTAATTTTTGTATTTTTAGCAGAGATGGAGTTTCACCATGTTGGCCAGTCTAATCTTGAACTCCTGACCTCAGGTGATCCACCCGCCTCGGCCTCCCAAAGTGCTGGGATTACAAGTGTGAGCCACGGCGCCCGGCCTAGAATTCATGTTCTTGACCACTATGCATATCTTACTAATAAAGCTGAGGAAGCTAGCACAGTAGAAACCAATCTTACCCATATACAAGTGCAGTTTTCTAACTAGAGATGTTAAAGACTTAAATGTAATACATAAGTAGAAAATGCATAAAAAAGAATTAAACGTAAAATCTCAAATAATAAAAAAAAGGAGAAACTATAAGTGAATATTCAGTCAATCTCAGGCTGAGAGAAAACTCTGTGAGAATACAATGGTGCACTCCCCAGCTGCATCACTCACTTTAGGATATGTCCCCGATGTTAGCTGTGGCAGGAACCAGTTAAAAAAGGAAATTGGCACTGTGTGCATTTTTTTCTCAGGAATCAGTCCTGGCTTGTCTGACTGAACTCCCTTTGCATTGCCTTCTCTGTCAGAACGATCAATTTGAATTAGAGCTTTCTCTTTTTTATTGCCCTGTCTGAATTTGGCACCCTGACCCTGGACTATTGGTCTTGGCATTACTGACCCAGAAACTCCATAGGAAACTGACCTGGTAATTATTCTCTTGGCTCCATTCACCACAGCCTCAGGCCCACTTCCAGGCCAGGGACTCAGGGCCCCCCATCTGCCTGAGGCAGCAGTATGTGGTCAAAAAAAGAATAGAAAACACACATCCAAGGAAACATAGGAAAAGATGGACAGGCTTGATTAAACGGTAAAGTGTAAAATGATTATTCTTCAAGATAACGTACAATTCTATGATTCTATAGACACATATGTCCATGCCTACATATGATAACTGACTTCTCAACTGCTAACATTTCTTGAGTACTATTTGCCCAATACTACTCATTTTTCTATAAATTTATATTTTGAAAAATGTCAAACTTACAGGAAACTTTAAAGAATAGTACAACGAGGCAAGGTGCAGTTGTTCACACCTGTAATCCCAGCACTTTGGGAGGCTGAGGCGGGAGGATCACTTGAGCTCACGTGTTTGAGACCAGCCTGGACAACAAAAGGAGACTGTCTCTACAAAAAATACAAAAATTAGCTGAGTGTGGTGGCGTACACCTAGAGTCCCAGGTACTCGGGAGGCTGAGGTGGGAGGATTGCTTGAGCCCAGGAGGTTGAGGCTGCAGTGAGCCATCATTGTGCCACTGCACTTTAGCCTGGGCGACTGCAAGATCCTGTCTCAAAAAAAAAAAACAAAAAAAAAAACCAAAGAAAAAGAATAGTACAATGGACACCTATATATTCTTCACCAAGATTCAGCAATCAAGAATTGACTTTTCCCATCAGATTTTAATATTTCTTGTTTCTACCCAAAAATTCATGTGTATTTTGCATCTTGTCACAGGCCATATTTCAGGGGTTCCATAACCACTCCTAGTTTGGTGTTTTTTTAGAAACACTCAAAAGGCTCAATATCAGGTTATATTCATGGCTAAGACTTATTACAGCAAAAAGTAGACAGCAAAAGTTGCAAAAAGAAGATAGGCATTAGGTAAAATCCAGAGAGGTCAGATACACGCTTTCAAGTTTTTTCCAACCAGAGCCACACAAGACAATCTTTCCTTCTAGCAGTATCTCTCTACCCAATGCAAGTCTCAGGGCCCAAGGCTTTTATGGAGGTCTGGTCACATAGGTACATTCTACTACATGACCATCCTTGGCAACTGAAACTCAGGACCCTAATAATGAAACCTGGCATGCATGATCAGTCTTGATGTTTGTGCAAAGCAATTCTGACAAGCTAGTAGGTCATGGTTCATTGCTCTAGGTGCATACAACAAAATCATCAACGTTAGCATAAAGAACCTTCCAAGGGCCACATACCTAGGGTTGACCAACAGTCAATCATGGGTCCAGGTTTCCTTGGAGATATGCAAGGACAGAGCAACCAGAATTGCTGTGTAAACTTCTCATATGATACCTTTGTTTGTTATGTTCCTGCCATTTGAATTGCCTTTTCCAGAAGTCTAGTTCAAGTTCCACATTCTCTCCAGCACCTGCCCAAGGCCCTTCCTGGAGCAGCTACTTCCTAAACATATGCTCAGTGAAGGAAACTTGAGTGATGTCTTCACAGACCTATTCAATCCGGGGATCTCTTCCTTTTCAGTGAATTTTCCCCTTATTTTATAATTTGTCATATAATGCCTAGGAATAGCTCTTGTGTTATTATCTGACATTGCCATTTAATTTTTCAAGTTTATATTTTCTCCTTAACCACATGCTAAACAACAATCATCTTTCAGTTCACTTTGTATATATTTTGCTGCTGCTAGAACAAAATATAACACACACTTAATAAATATTTACTGATATTTACTGATGCTAATTGATAACTGGTTCAAAAACTACCCTCCTACAACTTAGTCTTTAATTAATATATAAATAATAAAGAGCTGGGCATGGTGCCTCACACCTGTAATCCCAGCACTTTGGGAGGCTGAGGCGGGAGGATTGCTTGAGGCCAGGAGTTTGAGACCAGCCTGGGCAACATGGCGAAACCCTGTCTCTACGAAAAATACAACAATTAGCTGGGCATGGTGGTGGGTGCCTATAATCCCAGCTACTTGAGGGACTGAGGCAGGAGGATCACTTGAGCCTTGGCAGTCGAGGCTGCAGTGAGCTGAGATCATGCCACTGCACTCCAGCCTGGGTAACAAAGTGATAACCCGTCTCAAAAAAAAAAAAAGTGATAAAGAAAATGAGGCTGTTTTAACCCAGCTAACATCTAGGTTTGACGATTAGGTGAGAGGAGTCATTGCAACAGTAGTGGTCTACTAAGTTGGTTTATTGCTGCAAGAGAAGCCTGTACATCACATACTTCTCCAGGCTCAAGTCCCTTGCTTGGGCAGTTCTACAAGCCATCAGGAGAGCGCTTGCAACTAATTAGAATGGTGCCTCTCAAACTGTAGCATGCACTGGGAGCACCTGGAGGGCATGTAGGACACAGATTTCTGGCCCAGCTTCCGGAATTTCTGATTCAGTAGGTCTGGGGTGGGACCAAATAACTTGCATTTTTAACAAGCTCCCAGGTGATACTGATTCTGCTGGTCCCATACCGTACTTCAAGTCGCAAGGTCCTAGTATATCATTCACACACTCAACAGTATATATTTTCAGTACTCTAAGTGCAATTCTTAGCAAGCAGCTAGGCCATAGCAGAATTTTGACTTTATCACACACTGTTCCACCTTTATATGTCTTGTCTACTTACACACAGCCACTATTTTTCATATAAGAATAGTAATTTGTTTTTGCTATAATGACACTCCTCTTCAGAATATATTCAATGATGGAATTCCATGCCAGAAAATTGCTGTTTATCAATTATTATAACAGTTTCTGTTATAAAGACTTAAAATTTCAATGGATACCATCTGTTGATTTTAAAATCCACACTGCTATAAATTAGTCATCATAATATAATGGTCAAGTATCATATCACAATTTACTATTGTCTGGTAGTGTTCTTGAAACTTAACTTGTTCTCTTTGTTCCTCTTTGAAGCTTTTTTTTTCTTTTTTCTTTTTTTTTTTTTTTTTTTTGAGACAGATCTCGCTCTTTTGCCCAGGACGAGAGTTAAGTGGCATGATCTCAGCTCACCTGCAACCTCGCCCCCTGGGTTCAAGAGATTCTTCTGCCCGCCACCATGCCCATCTAATTTTTGTATTTTTAATAGAGACAGAGTTTCACCATGTTGGCCAGGCTGGTCTTGAACTCCTGACTTCAGGTGATCTGCCCGCCTCGGCCTCCCAAAGTGCTGGGATTACAGGCGTAAGCCACCATGCCCGGCCTCTTATAAGCTTTTTAGTAACTGAGAGAAGTGGAAAAATCATGGTGTCCACATTGCATGTGGTCACTACTTGACCTGGCACTTTATATCTGACAGACACTGTGTGGAGTGAGCTATTACCAGCAATCTGTTCATGTTACCCTCCAGTAGGCACAGCACATAGGATATGTTCCAACTAGGCCATAGGTCTCCTCAAGAGCTAAACACTACATATGGCATTTGTTGAATCATTTTACTGTCCACAAGACAGAGATATATTTATCAGGGGCCTCATTCACCTGGAAAATCTCTGAGCTTCTTACCTATAGGTGGTGATTAAATGGGTAAACAAGCTGTTTTTCCTAGTCCCAAATTCACCCGATTATAATTAAGGAAATTCATTTTGGTTGCAACATTCACTGCTATAGCATATTGGCGGCTTTTTTTTAAATCAATGTTAGCCTACATTTGCTTATAAACATCTTCAGGTTTCCATTTTAGTGGTATCGCTTGAGGAAAAAATCCAGAAAATTCTGATGCCAGCTATTCTACATGGTTCCCTCTACTGAAAAATATAAAGTGGATCAAAGGTTATATACTACTAAATCTTAATGCATAGAAAGCTTGAATATTTCTTGTTTTTCATAACATCCAATTTAACACACATAAGCCAAAGATCCCAAGTATAGAAAGGCAGGAAAAAGAGAACAGGAAGGGCAGAGGGGGCTGTGGCAACTACAGTTTTGGGCAGTTTGGTAACACCCCTTCTTCTGCTGCTGCTTTAATAAGGTATAACTGACAAATTTGAATTGTATATATTTAAGGTGTACAACTCGATGTTTTGATACATATGTGCATTGTGGAATAATCATCACAATCAAGCTAATTAATCATCACCTGACATAGTTATGTTTTTGTGTGTGTACGTGATAAGAACACTTCAGATAAAATATATGGAATGCTTTGCACATTTTCATGACATCCTTGTGCAAGGGCCTTGCTAATTGTCTCTGCATTGTTTCTATTTTATTTATTTATTTCAGACAAGGTCTCACTTTGTCACCTAGGCTGGAGTGAAGCAGTGCAATCTTGGCTTACGGCAACCTCTTCCTCCTGGGTTCAAGTGATTCTTCTGCCTCAGTCTCCCGAGTAGCTGAGATCACAGGCGCACACCACCATGCCTAGCTAATTTTTGTATTTTTAGTAGAAACAGGGTTTCGCCATGTTGGCCAGGCTGGTCTCAAACTCCTGGCCTCAGGTGATCTACCTGCCTCAGCCTCCCAAAGTGCTGTGATTACAGTTGTGAGCCACGACACCTGGCCTGTTCCAATTTTAGTATATGAGCTTCCAAAGTCAGCACCTTATCCTTCTTCTCACAACAGTACTCACCAACCCACAAAACATAAGGCCAGCAACCCAGATTTAGACCGAACCTCAACTTCCTGGCCAGAGGAATTATCCAAGGATTATTATTAGGGCAGGTGACACAAGTTGAGAAAATCCAAGTTCTTCCCCAGCAGGTACTCGAGGGGCCCTTTGGCTCTGGGGTCACGGAGCTAGAGGAAGTGAAGCCAGAGGGGCTTGCACGCCTCATGAAAAGGCCTAGCAGAAATAGAAGTGAATGAGGCCAAAACCCAGAGAAACAGACCTGTGAAGATATATACACAAAGCAGAGGGACAGAGAAAAAGAGAGAATGAGAAGACCTTTCAATGTCCTTGAGTCCCTGGGTTCAGAGTAGCTACGGTCAGGGCCTTCCCTATTCTCCCCAGGAACATGAACCACTAAATATTGCTCTTTGCTTAAATTATTTTGAGTAGGATTTCTGCTCCTTGACTAATAGTAAGGCATATTACTTTATCTATTTCTGAGTAATGGCAACTATTTTTAAAATCAATCTTACTCCCACACCTAGGAGGAAAAAAATACTGTCAGATATAAAATTAGGTTTAAACATTATTAGCTAAAGGTGTCTGAGATTTTGTCTGGAATTCGCTGGTAAAAATGCTATTTTGAGGTGAATGTGTATAAATTAATCCATACCCTAGGGACAATTATTTAACATTGTTAACACCCAGGTCAGGAGTCTACACCTGAGGCAGGGGTGATTAACTAGACATCTAAAGGCCTTAATCAGTTGGCCACCCTCCAAAGGAGGCAGGTGTAGAACTTTAGATATCTCACTTTCTGAACCTGCACCACAAGCGATGTTGCATTTTTTCATAGTGAAATGAGCAGTATTCAAGATATACTGCCAGATGACTAGCAGCCTTTTTTTTTTTTTCCTTGAGATGGAGTCTTGCTCTGTCACCCAGGCTGGAGTGCAGTGGTGCGATCTCGGCTCACTGCAACCTCCACCTCCTGGGTTCAAGCGATTCCCTGAATGGACAAATTGGCTTAGGTCAAGTCTTAAGGGTGAGAGAAGCTGCTGAATGACTTCTTATGACTTAGATTCTCAAACACTCCCTGGGTTTTCATCCAGTCTAGTGTCCTACTCTTCCTTCTAGATTCACCCTTCTATGAGCTCTTCTTGGTTCTAATCCAGTTTAGTTCCTGGGTATTAGAGGCCATATTTGCTTGCAGCCCACCTCTGGTTTTAGACTTAGGCCAACTCACACCCACATTTGAATGCCGCATAGCTCTATCCCTCACCTATACTCCTAGGCCTATTTCATTTTGCTTAAAGAAAGT
Source organism: Homo sapiens (assembly GCF_000001405.40). NCBI lineage: Eukaryota > Metazoa > Chordata > Mammalia > Primates > Hominidae > Homo > Homo sapiens. The sequence goes on from NC_000002.12 coordinate 55,457,848, forward strand.
GTTTATTTCTCATTTGCATGTGGAAAGTCTTTATTATTGTACATATCACTTGCAACAATCTGTCCAAAATTAGAGTATCTTGTACTTTTACATAGACAGAATGACAGAATTTTTTAAAAAGAGTGAAAGCACATTCCATGTACATAAGTGAATTTTTAAAAAGTCTTTAATTCAAAATAACATTTCACCGTGTAATTTCTTAAGTTTCAGCCATAGGTATGTGTTCTTGAAGTAGAGACCTTTTTTTTTTGAGACAGAGTTTTGCTCTTGTTGCACAGGCTGGAGTGCAATGGCGTGATCTCAGCTCACTGCAACTTCTGCCTTCCGGGTTCAAGCGATTCTCCTGCCTCAGCCTCCCAACTAACTGGGATTACAGGCATGCCCTATCATGCCCAGCTAATTTTTTGTATTTTTAGTAGAGACAGGGGTTCACCATGTTGGCCAGGCTGGTCTCGAACTCCAGAATTCAGGTGATCCACCCACCTTGGCCTCCCTAAGTACTGGGATTACAGGAGTGAGGCATCGTGCCCAGCTGAGACTTTTTTTTTTAAGAGGCGAGCTAGTTTATTGATACAGTAGTTCCTGTCTAATTCTTAGGCACTCAATTTAAGAGATTGAAAAGAATGAAAAGATAGTTCCAGCCCCATCAGGAAAACTGTATTTGGGTTCTTCTCACTATAAAAGGGTATTTTTAGCTTCATTTTTATTATTGGCCTGAAGAAAAAATACACAAGGAACCAACACGGAATTAAACTAAGCTGCCCCCAAAGGAATGGAGAAGAGGATTTGATTTTAGCAGAGACCTGTGTCTCACTTACAAACAATGTGTGGATGAAAAAATGCCTACATGGGGTATGTAGCCACCGGTGCAGTGGCTCACACCTGTAATCCCAACACTTTGGGAGGCCGAGGTGGGTGGATCACAAGGTCAGGAGATCGAGACCAGCCTATCCAACATGGTGAAACACTGTGTCTACTAAAAAATACAAAAATTAGCCAGGCATGGCAGTGGGCGCCTATAATCCTAGCTACTTAGGGGACTGAGACGAGAGAATTGCTTGAACCGGGGAGGCAGAGGTTGTAGTGAGCTGAGATCACCCCACTGCACTCCAGCCTGAGCAACAGAGCAAGACTCCGTCTCAAAAAAACAAAAAATGAAATGCCTACATGGGATCCCAAGGTGAGTGGACGCTAGGTGTTGTGGCTTGGGAGCACTGGGAGAGTTGCTCAAACTTGGCATGGAGAGAGTGGAACCACCTGCTTTCAAATGACCATGAAGTGGCAACAAGTCCTGAAGACCAGGGTCCTTCCCTGAATGTTCTGGAGTGTGTAATCTTCCCTTTCACCATTCCATCATTACTCCAAGATTGTGGTAATATTTATTGCACATCTGTGTTACGGAGTATGTTCACACCTATAACAAGTAAATATACAATTTTTTAAATCTAGATTAAGCTATTTACAATATATCTAAATCAACAATGACTACTTGAGGATATTCTCTTTAAATACTATTCATTACAGAAGGCTGAGTCTACGTGAGGCAGATGTGTGCTTTGCCTACATCAGTGTTTCCTAAGCAGCCTGCTTGGTGCTAGCTCACAGATATTGACTGCCCTGGGTCCTGGGGACAGTTGGTTGTCTTGGGTGATTATCTTCAGCTGTAAGCAGCCTCTTCCTCTTGCCCCAGTGAAACCGCCTTTGCAAAATTATGACTGAGACAGTGAAAGAGGTCCAACTTAAACGACTCCATCTTGCCTCCAACCTCCAAGCTGTGCTTGTTCATTCCTGGGTATAGGCTGAATTAACTTTGGGAGGAACTTAGTTTATCATTTAAAACAATGATAATAGCAGCCCTTTCCCAGGACAAACTTCCTTCTTGCCCAGGGATTGGACTACTAACATTAGCCACAAAATTAAAAATTATGGTTTAGGAGTCACCTAGCTGGAGGCTACAAGACTCTGACCCTCCCTAAACTGCTCCTAAGATCAGTGCTTGAGGTGTTTTGCAGACTCCACCCTTCATGCATCTACCAGCACTACCCAGATGGAGAAACTGGCCATTTGATCTTGTGACCCCCACCCAGGAACTGAGTCAGCGCAAGAAGACAGGGACGCCCCCACGATTTCACGTATGACCCAACCAATCAGCACTCCCCAACTCACTGCCCCTCCCCTCCCACCAAATTGTCTTGAAAAACTTTGATCCCCAAATGTTCCGGGAGACTGATTTGAGTAGTAGTAAAACTCCAGTCTCCTGCTCAGCCGGCTCTGCATTAATTATTCTTTCTGTATCGTGATTCCTCGGTCTCGAGAAATGGGCTCTGTCTAGGCAGTGGAGTAAGGTGAACCCACTGGGCGGTTACAAATTAGGTAAAGTGAACCCACTGGGCGGTTACACCAGTGTGCTATACAACTACTGTATTGTCATTTCTGTGTGTGCCATTTGTGTTGGAAGCACTGGTTCATGTATCTGTAACAGTTTAGTGCAAGAGGCAAAATGTTCCTTTAGCTGCATCTCTTCTACTGACAAAATAAATGTAAAAGGTAACTGTCTGCATTCAAGAAATCCTTTATCAGATGTAAGCAGAGAGCCAGAGTTAAAGCAAGATTCAGCCTAGGAGACACAGAGACTTGGTAGTTTCTGGATAGCTCTTCTATTCAGAAGTAAAGGTGTTAGATACATTTTTGGAAACAGTTTTATTCTAGTTCTACAATCATAGAAAAGTGGAGACTAATGGCTGAACAGAAGTAAAATTCGAAACAGCAGAAATGAAATGTCAGAATTGAGTTCAACCATTCTTTCCTCCCAGGGAGGTCAAACCTACCATAGAGTATCTGATTCACGCAGGGATTCTATCTGAAGTTCAAGTTCTTTCACCCATTCATCTGAAGTGTCCCAATTCAAGAGGGTCAGGTTTTCTGTACTTTCTGTTTCCCTGCAATTCGTGAGTCAGCAGTACCAGGGCAGTGAATTTTTTTTTTTTTTTCACTCTGGCTGCACATTGAAAGTACTTAGAGAATTTTTCCCCCTAAAAATCTGTGCCTGGGTCTTACCCTAAACCAGTGATTCTCAAATGTGGTTCCCAGATCAGCAGCCTCAGCATTGCCTGGTAACTTACTAGAAATGTGTATGTTGATCCCCACCCCTGCTCTACTGAATCAGAAATTCTGAGGTTGGTGCCCAGTAACCAGGTGATTTTGATGCAACCTAAATTTAAGAACACTTGACCTAGACAAATTAAATCAGAATCTCTAAAATGAAGCCTGAGAAAATGATCATTTCAAATGATTCTAATGTACAGCCAGAGTTAAGACCATTGCCTTGGACAAGAGGAAAGCCCTAGGAACTCAACAGAATTTCTGGTCTGTCAGGTCTCCATTTTTCACATCAGACCAGGCTCCCTACTTCCTGATGCAGGTCCCTTTCCAGGTAAGATTATCAGTAACTCTTTCAGCAGAATTTGGAGTTCACTCCTGAGTTTATTTCTGGCCTTGGGTAGATTTCATGCGTTACATCCTTGCCTAAACTCATTACTCACTTGTAAACACCTGTGGAAGTGAACAGCCAGGTCTCACAGCATTTGTTCTCTAAAGCATCTTGTAAGAAATGAGAGATGCATTACAAAAGGAAAGTAGAAGAAATGAGGGCTCTCACGTTTTAGAGCACAAGTTCTCAATCTTGGCTGTATATTAGAATCACCTTTTAAAAACTCCTATTACAGACCACATACCAGACCAATTAAATATAATATTATGGGATAGGGTCCAGAAATCAATATTTTTTGAAGCTCCCGAGGTGACTAAAATTGGCTGAGAATTGCACTCTAGCAGGAGAAACTTGACTAAAATGTCAGTCTTGAGCAAGAGATAGGGAGACTGACAGGAGGAAGAAAAGCTTCTCAGTGCCAACAAGGAATTGGTATTCACAGGCACACATTCGTCCAGTAACCTTTTTAAAAAATACTTTCTTCTCTAACCTTAACACAGAACTAGATGGGCCCCTTTCATACACTCTTAGGTTGCATGAGAGAGGGAGGGAAAGATAAGGAATAGATGAAGCAAGTCTAATGAACCCTTGAAAATTGTTCATCTTGATGATAAGTATGTAGGAGTGAATCATGCTATTTACTTAACTTTTGTGTATATTTGAAAATTTCTACGGTAAAATAATTTTCAACTAAACTTTTTCAGAAGTGGGGACATTATTACCAGCTTACAGAAATAGAAAGGATTATAATGATACTATGAAAAATTGTACTCCAACACATTGGATAACTTTAACTTGTAGCTTGAAAGTAGGGTAAATAGGGGTCCATTCCAAGATGGCCAAATAGGAACAGCTCTGGTCTGCAGCTCCCAGCGTGATTGACGCAGAAGATGGGTGATTTCTACATTTCCAACTGAGGTACCTGGTTCATCTCATTGGGACTGGTTGGACAGTGGGTGCAGCCCACAGAGAGCGAGTTGAAGCAGGGCAGGGCATCGCCTCACCCGGGAAGTGCCAGGGATCAGGGGATTTCCCTTTCCTAGCTAAGGAAAGCCATGACAGACTGTACCTGGAAAATCGGGACTTTGCCACCCAAATACTGTGCTTTTCCACCAGTCTTGGCAAACGGCACACCAGGAAATTATATCCCGCGCATGGCTCAGTGGGTCCCATGCCCACAGAGCCTTGCTCACTGCTAGCACAGCAGTCTGAGATCAAACTGTGAGGCGGCAGCCTGGCTCGGGGAGGGGCGTCCACCATTGCTGAGGTTTGAGTAGGGAAACAAAGTGGACAGGAAGCTTAAACTGGGTGGAGCTCACCGCAGCTCAACGAGGCCTGCCTGTCTTTGTAGACTCCACCTCTGGGGTCAAGGCATAGCTGAAAAAAAGGCAGCAGAAACTTCTGCAGACTTAAACATCCCTGTCTGACAGCTCTGAAGATGGCACTGTTTCTCTCAGCATGGTATTTGAGCTCTGAGAACGGACAGACTGCCTCCTCAAGTGGGTACCTGACCTCCGTGTAGCCTAACTGGGAGACACCTCCCAGTAGCAGCCAACTGACACCTCATACAGCCGGGTGTCCCTCTGAGACGAAGCTTCTAGAGGAAGGATCAGACAGCAATGTATTTGCTGTTCTGCAGCCTCCGCTGGTGATACCCAGGCAAAAAGGGTCTGGAGTGGACCTCCAGCAAACTCCAACAGACCTGCAGCTGAGGGACCTGACTGTTAGAAGGAAAACTAACAAACAGAAAGGAATAGCATCAACATCAACCAAAGACATCCACACCAAAACCCCATCTGTAGTCACCATCATCAAAGACCAAAGGTAGATAAAACCACAAAGATGGGGAGAAACCAGAGCAGAAAAGCTGAAAATTCTAAAAACCAGAGCGCCTCTTCTCCTCCAAAGGATCGCAATTCCTTGCCAGCAACGGAACAAAGCGGGACAGAGAATGACTTTGTTAAGTTGACAGAAGTAGGCTTCAGAAGGTCAGTAATAACAAACTTCTCCGAGCTAAAAGAGGATGTTCGAACCCATTGCAAGGAAGCTAAAAACCTGGAAAAAAGATCAGACGAATGGCTAACTAGAATAAACAGCATGGAGAAGACCTTAAATGACCTGATGGAGCTGAAAACCATGGCATAAGAACTACGTGACGCATGCACAAGCTTCAGTAGCCAATTCGATCAAGTGGAAGAAAGGGTATCAGTGATTGAAGATCAAATTAATGAAGTGAAGCAAGAAGAGAAGTTTAGAGAAAAAAGCAAAAATAAATGAACAAAGCCTCCAAGAAATATGGGACTATGTGAAAAGACCAAATCTGCGTTTGATTGGTGTACCTGAAAGTGACAGGGAGAATGGAACCAAGTTGGAAAACACTCTTCAGGATATTGTCCAGGAGAACTTCCCCAGCCTACAAGGCAGGCCAACATTCAAATTCACGAAATACAGAGAACACCACAAAGATACTCCTCGAGAACAGCAACCTCAGGACACATAATTGTCAGATTCGCCAAGGTTGAAATGAAGGAAAAAATGTCAAGGGCAGCCAGAGAGAAAGGTCGGGTTACCCACAAAGGGAAGCCCATCAGACTAACAGCGGATCTCTCGGCAGAAACTCTACAAGCCAGAAGAGAGTGGAGTCCAACGTTCAACAATCTCAAAGAAAAGAATTTTCAACTCAGAATTTCATATCCAGCCAAACTAAGCTTCATAAGTGAAGGAGAAATAAAATCCTTTACAGACAAGCAAATGCTGAGAGATTTTGTCACCACCAGGCCTGCCCTACAAGAGCTCCTGAAGGAAGCACTAAACATGGAAAGGAAAATTGGTACCAGCCTCTGCAAAAACATGCCAAATTATAAAGACCATCAATGCTAGGAAGAAACTGCATCAACGAACGAGCAAAATAACCAGCTAACGTCATAATGACAGGATCAAATTCACACATAACAATGTTAACCTTAAATGTAAATGGGCTAAATGCCCCAATTAAAAGACACAGACTGGCAAATTGGATAAAGAATCAAGACCCATCACCGTGCTGTATTCAGGAGACCCATCTCATGTGCAGAGACACACATAGACTCAAAATAAAGGGATGGAGGAAGATCTACCAAGCAAATGGAAAGCAAAAAAAAAAGCAAGGGTTGCAATCCTAGTCTCTGATGAAACAGACTTGAAACCAACAAAGATCAAAAGAGACAAAGAAGGCCATTACATAATGGTAAAGGGATCAATTCAACAAGAAGAGCTAACTTTCCTAAACATATATGCACCCAATACAGGAGCACCCAGATTCATAAAGCAAGTCCTGAGTGACCTACAGAGAGACTTAGACTCCCACACAATAATAATGGGAGACTTTAACACCTCACTGTTAATATTAGACAGATGAACAGGACAGAAAGTTAACAAGGATATCCAGGACTTGAACTCAGCTCTGCACCAAGTGGACCTAATAGACATCTACAGAACTCTCCACCCAAAATCAACAGAATATACATTCTTCTCAGCACCACATCTAACTTATTTTAAAACTGACCACATAATTGGAAGTAAAGCACTCCTCATCAAATATAAAGGAACAGAAATCACAACAAACTGTCACTCAGACCACAGTGCAATCAAATTAGAACTCAGGATTAAGAAACTCACTCAAAACTACACAACTACATGGAAACTGAACAACCTGCTCCTGAATGACTACTGGGTACATAACGAAATGAAGGCAGAAATAAAGATGTTGTGTGAAACCAATAAGAATAAAGACACAAAGTACCAGAATCTCTGGGACACATTTAAAGCGGTGTGTAGAGGGAAATTTGTAGCACTAAATGCCCATAAGAGAAAGCCGGCAAGATCTAAAATTGACACCCTAACATCACAATTAAAAGAACTAGAGAAGCAAGAGCAAACACATTCAAAAGCTAGCAGAAGGCAAGAAATAACTAAGATCAGAGCAGAACTGAAGGGGATAGAGACACAAAAAACCCTTCAAAAAATTAATGAATCCAGGAGCTGATTTTTTGAAAAGATCAACAAAATTGATAGACTGCTAGCAAGACTAATAAAGAAGAAAAGAGAGAAGAATCAAATGGACGCAATAAAAAATTATAAAGGGGATATCACCACCGATCCCACAGAAATACAAACTACCATCAGAGAATACTATAAATACTTCTACGCAAATAAACTAGAAAATCTAGAAGAAATAGATAAATTCCTCAACACATACACCCTCCCAAGACTAAACCAGGAAGAAGCTGAATCCCTGAATAGACCAATAACAGGCTCTGAAATTAGGCAATAATTAATAGCCTACCAACCAAAAAAAGTCCAGGAACAGACGGATTCACAGCCGAATTCTACCAGAGGTACAAAGAGGAGCTGGTACCATTCCTTCTGAAACTACTCTAATCAACAGAAAAAGAGGGAATCCTCCCTAACTCATTTTATGAGGCCAGCATCATCCTGATACCAAAGCCTGGCAGAGACACAACAAAAAAAACAGAATTTTAGACCAATATCCCTGATGAACATCGATGCAAAAATCCTCAATAAAATACGGGCAAACCGAATCCAGCAGTACATCAAAAAGCTTATCCACCAAGATCAAGTGGGCTTTATCCCTGGGATGCAAGGCTGGTTCAACATACGCAAATCAATAAATGTAATCCAGCATATAAACAGAACCAAAGACAAAAACCACAGGATTATCTCAATAGATGCAGAAAAGGCCTTCGACAAAATTCAACAGCCCTTCATGCTAAAAACTCTAAATAAACTAGGTATTGATGGGACGTATCTCAAAATAATAAGAGCTATTTATGACCAACCCACAGCCAATATCATACTGAATGGACGAAAACTGGAAGCATTCCCTTTGAAAACCAGCACAAGACAGGGATGCCCTCTCTCACCACTCCTATTCAATATAGTGTTGGAAGTTCTGGCCAGGGCAATCAGGCAAGAGAAGGAAATAAAGGGTATTCAATTAGGAAAAGAGGAAGTCAAATCATCCCTGTTTGCAGATGACATGATTGTGTATCTAGAAAACCCCACTGTCTCAGCCCAAAATCTCCTTAAGCTGATAAGCAACTTCAGCAAAGTCTCAGGATACAAAATCAATGTGCAAAAAATCACAAGCATTCCTATACACCAATAACAGACAGACAGCCAACTCATGAGTGAACCCTCATTCACAATTGCTTCAAAGAGAATAAAACACCTAGGAATCCAACTTACAAGGGATGTGAAGGACCTCTTCAAGGAGAACTACAAACCACTGCTCAATGAAATAAAAGAGGACACAAACAAATGGAAGAACATTCCATGCTCACGGATAGGAAGAATCAATGTCATGAAAATGTCCATACTGCCCAAGGTAATTTATAGATTCAATGCCATTCCCATCAAGCTACCAATGACTTTCTTCACAAAATTGGAAAAAAACTACTTTAAAGTTCATATGGAACCAAAAAAGAGCCCACATTGCCAAGACACTCCTAAGTAAAAAGAACAAAGCTGGAGGCATCATGCTACCTGACTTCGAACTATACTACAAGGCTGCAGTAACCAAAACAGCATGGTACTGGTACCAAAACAGAGGTATAGACCAGTGGAACAGAACAGAGCCCTCAGAAATAACACCACACATCTACAACCATCTGCTCTTTGACAAACCTGACAAAAACAAGAAATGGGGAAAGGATTCCATTTTTAATAAATGGTGCTGGGAAAACTGGCTAGCCATATGTAGAAAGCTGAGACTGGATCCTTTCCTTACGCCTTATACAAAAATTAATTCAAGATGGATTAAAGACTTAAATGTTAGATTTAAAACCATAAAAACCCTAGAAGAAAATCTAGGCAATACCATTCAGGACATAGGCATGGGCAAGGACTTCATGACTAAAACACCAAAAGCAATGGTAACAAAAGCCAAAATTGACAAATGGGATCTAGTTAAACTAAAGAGCTTCTGCACAGCAAATGAACCATCAAAGTGAACAGGCAACCTACAGAATGGGAGAAAATTTTTGCAATCTACTCATCTGACAAAGGGCTAATATCCAGAATCTACAAAGAATGTAAACAAATTTACAAGAAAAAAATCAAACAACCCCATCAAAAAGTGGGCAAAGGATATGAACAGACACTTCTCAAAAGAAGATATTTATGCAGCCAACAGACACATGAAAAAATGCTCATCATCACTGATCATCAGAGAAATGCAAATCAAAACCGCAATGAGATACCACCTCACACCAGTTAGAATGGCAATCATTAAAAAGTCAGGAAACAACAGGTGCTGGAGAGGATGTGGAGAAATAGGAACGCTTTTACACTGTTGGTGGGACTGCAAACTAGTTCAACCATTGTGGAAGACAGTGTGGCGATTCCTCAAGGATCTAGAACTAGAAATACCATTTGACCCAGCCATCCCATTACTGGGTATATACCCAAAGGATTATAAATCATGCTACTATAAAGACACATGCACACGTATGTTTATTGCTGCCCTATTCACAATAGCAAAGACTTGGAACCAAGCCAAATGTCCATCAATGATAGACTGGATTAAGAAAATGTGGCACATATGCACCATGGAATACTATGCAGCCATACATAAAAAAGGATGAGTTCATGTCCTTTGTAGGGATACGGATGAAGCTGGAAACCATCATTCTGAGCAAACTACTGCAAGGACAGAAAACCAAACACCACATGTTCTCACTCATAGGTGGGAATTGAACAATGAGAACACTTGGACACAGGGCAGGGAACATCACACAACAGGGCCTGGCGTGGGGTGGGGGTATGAGGGAGGGATAGCAGTAGGAGAAATACCTAATGTAAATTACTAGTTAATGGGTGCAGCAAACCAACATGGCACATGTATACATATGTAACAAACCTGCATATTGTGCACATGTACCCTAGAACTTAAAAGTATAATAAAATAAATAAACAAATAATTAAAAAAAAAAAGAAAATAGGGCAAATAGGCCAGACGTGATGGCTCATGCCTGTAATCCCAACACTTTGGAAGGCCAAGGCCGGTGGATCACCTGAGGTCAGGAGTTTGAGACCAGCCTGGCCAACATGGTGAAGCCCTGTCTCTACTAAAAATACAGAACATTAGCCAGGTGTGGTGGCGGATTCCTGTAATTCCAACTACTCTGGAGGCTGAAGCAGGAGAATTGCTTGAGCCTGGGAGACAGAGGTTGCAGTGAGCTGAGATTGCACCATTACACTCCAGCTTGGGCAATAAGAGTGAAATTCCATCTCAGAAAAAAAGAAAAAAAAAAGAAAAAAAAGAAAGAAGGGCAAATAATTTTTTTTAAAAAGCAGATTGGATAAGCTACAGGAAATGGATAAATTCCTAGAGACATGCAGACTGCCAAAATTAGCTCAAGAAGGAACAGAAAATCTAAATAGACCTAACAGAAGGAGATTGAATCGGTAATTCTCAAATTCTTCCAAAAAAATAGAAGAAGAGGGAACACCTAACAACTCATTCTATGAGGCAAGCATTACTTGATATAAAAGACAGATAATAACATCACAAGAAAACTACAAATCAATATCGCTTCTGATTTTGGATGCAAAAATCCCCCCATTAAAAAAACAGATGCTCAACTGACAATGGGGTTACATCTGATGAATCCATCATATATTGAAAATATCATAAGTTGAAAATATATCTAATACACCTAACCTACTAAACATCATACCTTAGCCTAGCCTACCTTAAACATATTTAGTATACTTACATTAGCCTACAGTTGGGCACAGTTACCAGGCAATCCAGTACATTGTAGAGCATCAGTTGTTTACCCTTGTGATTATGTGGCTGATCAGGAGTTGTAGCTTGCTCCCATTGCCCAGAATCACAAGAGTATCCTACCACATATCACTAGCCCAGTGATATGGTTTGGCTCTGTGTCCCCACCCAAATCTCATCTTGAATTGTAATCCCCACATATTGAAGGAGGGGCCTGGTGGGAAGTGATTGAATCATGGGGGCAGACTTCCCTCTTGCTGTGCCCACAAGATCTGGTTGTTTGAAAGTGTGTAGCACTTCACCCCTTTGTGGTATCTCTCTCCTGCCCTGCCATGGTAAGAAGTGCTTGCTTTCCTTTTGCCTCTCGCCATGATTGTAAGCTTCCTGAGGCCTCCTGGCCATGCTTCCTATATTGCCTGTGGAACTGTGAGTCAATTAAACCTCTTTTCTTTATAAATTACCCAGTCTCAGGTGGTTCTTTGTAGCAGTATAAGAGCAGACTAATACACCCAGGAAAAGATCAAATTTTGAATTTGAAGTATATGGTTTCTACTGAATGCATATCGCTTTGGCACCATTGTAGAGTTGCAAAATTATAAATTGAGCCATCATAACTTGGGGACCATCTGTACTAGAAAATCAAATCCAGCACATATTAAAAGGATTACATGTCATGACCAACCAAATGGGATTTAATCCCAGGAAAGCAAGGGTTGTTCAGTATAAGAAAATTAGTCATTGTAATATACTGTATTAGTAGAATGAAATGGGACAAAACATACAATCACCTCAATTGATGCAGAAAAGGTATCTGACAAAATTCAACACCCTTTTACAATAAAACACTTAAACTACAAATAGAAGAGAACTTTCTCAACATGCAAAAGGGCTTATATGAAAAACCCACAGCTAACATCATACTCAATGGTTAAAGACAGAAAACTTTTCCCCTTATATCAGGAACAAGACAAAGATGTCTGATCTTGCCACTTCTATTCAATATTGTGCTGAAAGTCCTAGCCAGAGAAATCATGTAACGGGCCGGGTGCGGTGGCTCACAACTGTAATCCCAGCACTTTGGGAGGCTGAGGTGGGTGGATCACCTGAGGTCAGGAGTTCAAGACCAGCCTGGCCAACATGGTGAAACCTTGTCTCTACTAAAAATACAAAAATTAGCTGGGCATGGTAGTGCGTGCCTATAGTCCCAGCTACTCGGAAGGCTGAGGCAAGAGAATAGCTTGGACCCAGGAGGTGGAGGTTGCAGTGAGCCAAGATCACTCCATTGCACTCCAGCCTGGGTAAGAAAGTCAGACTCCATCTCAGAAAAAAAAAAAAAAAAAAAAAAAAAAGAAATCATGTAAGAAAAAGGAGGGGTAAAACATCCAAACAAGAAAGGAATGAGTAAAGCTATCTCTATTTGCAGGTGATGTGATCGTATATATAGAAAATGTCATGAAATCCACCAAAGAAACCCTCAGAGCTAATAAACAAATTTAACAAAGTAATAGGATACAAGATCAGCATGCAGAAACCAGTTATATTTCTGTGCACTAGCAATGAACCATCTGTAAAGGAAATTAAGAAAGCAATCCCATTTATAGTAGCACCAAAAGAATAAAATACTTAGGAATACATTTAACCAAAGAGGAGCAGAACTAATATGCTGAAAGCTGTAGAACACTGCTGAAAATAATTAAAGAAGACCAAAATAAATTGAAAGAATTCACATATTTATGGTTTGGAAGACTTGATCTTGTAAAGATGACACTGTTCCCCAAAGTGATCTACAGATTCAGAGCAATTCCTGTCAAAATCCAAAACCTTTGCTGCAGAAATGGAAAAAGTCTATCCTCAAATGCATATGTGATCTCAAGGCACCCCAAATGTCAAAACAATCTTGGGAAAGGAAGACAAAATTGGAGGACCCACACTTCACAATTTCTTTTTTCCTTTTTCTTTTTTTTTTTTTTTGCAACAGAGTCTTGCTCTGTCATTCAGGCTAAAGTGCAACGGCGCAATCACAGCTCACTGCACCCTCCGCCTCCAGGGTTCAAGCGATTCTCCTGCCTCAGCCTCTCAAGTAACTGGGATTACAGGCGCCCATGACCACACCCAGCTACTTTTTGCATTTTTAGTAGATACGGGGTTTCGCCATCTTGGTCAGGCTGGTCTCAAACTCCTGACCTCAGGTGATCCACCCACCTCGGCCTCCCAAAGTGCTGGGATTACAGGCATGAGTGACTGTGCCCGGCCTCACAATTTCAAAACTCACTACAAAGCTACAGTAATCAGGGCCGCGTGTGGTGGCTCACGCCTGTAATCTCAGCACTTTGGGAGGCCAAAGTGGGTGGATCACAAGGTCAGGAGTTAGAGACCAACCTGGCCAACATGGTGAAATCCCATCTCTACTAAAAATACAAACATTGGTGGCGTGCACCTGTAATCCTAGTTACTCGGGAGGCTAAGGAGGAGAATCGCTGGAACCCAGGAGGCAGAGGTTGCAGTGAGCTGGGATTGTGCCACTGCACTCCAGCCTGAGCGACAGAGCAAGACTCCATTTCAAAAAACAACAACAATGACAACAAAAGCTACAGTAATCAAAACACTGTGGTACTGGCATAAGAGAGACATATGGATCAGTGGAATAGAATTGAGCATCCAGAAATAAACCATACATCTATGGCCAATTGATTTTCATCAAGGGTGCTAAAACAATTCAGTGAGGGAGAAAACAGTCTTTTCAATAAGTAGGGCTGGAAGAATTGGATACTCACATGCAAAAGAATAATCTTGGACTATTACTGCATACCATCTATAAAAATTAACTCAAGATGGACAAAAGACCTAAATGTAAGAACTATGAAAGTAGGAAAATGTAAAATATAAAACTCTCAGCCAGACACGGTGGTTTCACGCCTGTAATCCCAGCACTTTGGGAGGCCGAAGTGGGTGGATCACCTGAGGTCCGGAGTTCCAGACCAGCCTGGCAAACATGGTGAAACCTCATGTCTACTAAAAATACAAAAATTAGCCAGGTGTGGTGGCAGGCACCTGTAATCTCAGCTACTCAGGAGGCTGAGGCAGGAGAATCGCTTGAACCTGGGAGGTGGAGGTTGTGGTGAGCCAAGGCACCATTGCACTCCAGCCTAGGCAACAAGAGCCAAACTCCATCTCAAAAAAAAAAAAAAAAAAAAAAAAAAAAAAATATATATATATATATATATATATATATATATATATATATATATATATATATGATGAACTCTCAGAAGAAAACACAGGCAAACATCTTCTTGGCCTTGGATTTGGCAGTCTTAGGTATGACACCAAAAAGCAACAAAAGAAAAGAATAAGTAAATAGAGCTTCATTAAAATTAAAAATTTGTGTATCAAAGGACACTATCAAGAGAGTAAAAAGGGGCCAAGCAGGGTGGCTCAGGCCTGTAATGGGAGGCCATTACAGGAGAGGGAGGCCAAGGCAGGAGAATCACCTGAGCTCAGGAGTTCAAGAACAGCCTGGGCAACATAGTGAGATCTTGTGTCTACCAAAAATAAAAAATAATAAAAAATTAGCAGGCGTGTAACCTGCATCTGTAGTTCCAGCGACTCAAAGGCTAAGGTGGGAGGACTGCTTGAACCTGGGAGATGGAGGCTGCAGTGAGCTATGATCACACAACTGCACTCCAGCCTGGGCAAGAGAGTAAGACCCTGTCTCAAAATAAAATAAAATAGAATAAGAGAGAAAGTAAAAAGAAAACCCACAGAGAGGGAAATATATTTGTAAATTATACCTCTGATAAGTATCTAGTATCCAGAATATGTACAGAACTCCTACAGCTGAACGATTAAAAGACAAAGAGCTCCATTTGAAAATGGGCAAAGCGGGCTGGGAGCAGTGGCTCATGCCCTGCACTTTGGGAGGCTGAAGTGGGAGGATCTCTTGAGGCCAGGGGTTCAAGAACAGCCTGGGCAAAATAGCAAGACCCTGTCTCTACAAAATAAAAATTAAAAATTTAGCTGGCCATGGTGGTGCATGCCTGTCATCCCAGCTACTTGGGAGCCTGGGGCAAGAAGGTCTCTTAAGCTCAGGATGCAGTGAGCCATGATCATGGCACTGCACTTCCTCCTGGACAATAAAGTGAGACCACCCTCCATCTCTTAAAAAAAATGGGCAAAGGACTTGAATGCACATTTCTCCAAAAAAGATATACAAATAGCCAACAAGCACATGAAAGGATGCTCAATATTATTAGTCATTAGGAAATCAGAACCATGATGAGATACAACTTCAAACTCACCAGATTGGCCATAATTTTTTAAGTAGAAAATCAGCATTGATGAGGAGGTAGAGAATTTGGAACCCTCATATGTTGCTGATAAAAATGCAAAATGGCACAGCCACTGTGCAAGACAGTTTTGTGGTTCCTTAAAAAGTTAAATATAGAATTACCACATGACCCAGCCATTCCATTTCTAGGGATATATTTGAAAGGATTGAAAACAGTTATTCAAGCAAATACTTGTACACAAATGCTCATAGCAGAAATCTCCACAATAGCCAAAAGGTGTAAACAACTAAAATGTTCATCAATTGATAAATAGTTAAGCAAAATGTGGTATAATCACACAATGGAATATTATTTGGCCATAAAAAGAATGAAGTACTGAGTCATGCTACAACACGGATGAACCTTGAAAGCATTAAGTTAGGTGAAAGCAACCAGACACAAAAGGTCACATATTGTATGATTTCATTTATATGAAATATCCAGAACAGGTAAATTATCAGAGGCTGTGGGTAGAGGAGGAAGGGGGAATGACTACTAATGAGTACGTGATTTTTTCCCGGGGGAGAGTGGCCGGAGGGTGATGAAAATGTTTTGGAGTTAGATGGAGGTGATGGTTGCACGACGCTGTGCATGTACTAAACGCCACTGAATTGTACACTTAGTTAATGATTAATTTTATGTTATGTGAATTTCATCCCAATTTTTTTTAAAAAAGGAAAGAACATTCAAGCAAATACAAATCAGTTAAGGAATGTAAAAGTAGTCTGCAAAAATTAAGATTTTGTATGATGACTGTAGCTTAGCAGTTGTTTGTGAGCATATGTTGTCCTCCTTTTGGGGGATTTCCAGACAGAGGACTATGCAAGGAAATATGGCTCCTATTATTTAAGTGAAAGCATGAATAGGAATATTCTGTTTTGTAAAGATAATGTGAAAACATTTGTATCAAAAGACTGATAGAGCCAAGCTATATGAAGTAAATAAAGGCTCTAATGTCATGAGAACCTCGAGAGTGCTATAAGCAAACTTCTGAAGGAATAAAATGGAAGAAGAAATTATGTCTTCAGGAGAAAGTCCAAACTAACTAGGACAGCAATATGAAGTGAATTTTGGCTATACAGCTTCTTTCTTTTCTTTTTTCTTTTTCTTTTCTTTTTTTTCTTTTCTTTTTTTTGAGACAGAGAGTCTCACTGTGTTGCCCAGGCTGGAGTGCAGTGGCACGATCTCAGCTCACTGCAGCCTCTGTCTCCCAGGTTCAAGCGATTTTCCTGCCTCAGCCTCCTGAGTAGCTGGGATTACAGGTTCTTGCCACCAAGCCCAACTAATTTTTGTATTTTTAGTAGAGATGGGGTTTCACCATGTTGGCCAGGCTGGTCTTGAACTCCTGACCTCAGATGATCCGCCCGCCTTGGTCTCCCAAAGTGTTGGGATTACAGGCATGAGCCACTGCGCCCGGCCCTATATAGCTTATTTCTTCAATTCTTCATAATAACCCTAAAGGTATAAATTATTATACCCATCTATGGCAAAGATTACTAGTCCCTTTCTCTACCATATCCATTTTCTCTTTCATAGAGATAAAAAGTTTTAGCTGAGAACATAGCTGCCCAAAATAAAAATATCCCCCAGACTCCCTTGCAGCTAGGTGTAGTTTTATACAGTTGGCCATGTGACTGGGTTGGCCAGAATTTAGTCACATGGCCAACTGTATAAAACTAGAAGCATCATATGGAAACTTCTGGGAAACTTCTGAGGAGAAAACTGATTTATGCCTTGTTCCTTCTTCCCTCTTTTTCCTTCCCTCCTTCTTGAAGGATATAATGTGTCTCCAGAGGCACCAACCTGGACCATAAGATGACTTCTATATTAGGAATAGAAGTCAAGCATGGCAGATCAAAAAGATAGGAGCCAGAGCCCAAAACTATGGAGCCCCATATTTCTCTCAGATGATTTAATCCTGGACTCTTACTTGAAAGAGAAATGCATTCTATCCTGTTTAAACCAATCCTATCTGGAGTTTTCTTTCTTGTAGGTAAATCAAATCCTAATGGATACATTATTTTGCAGACGACAAAACCGAAAGGATAAGTAAAGCGCACAAGATGACACACCAGAAACTCACAAAGCCGGGATTCAAATCCAGTTCCATAATTCCAGTGGTCATGCTATTCCATCTTTGCTGATTCTTCTTTTAGGATTCTCCAGGGTCTGGTTGTGGCCTACATTTTCAGATTCTTCTTTTGCTGCTCATTTATACCCTACGTTTTGCCTTTTCGAAAGATTTGGGCCAGTGCTTCCTTGGGCTCAGCTACTCATGTTACCTCCAATAATACAGATCTTTCAGTTGGGTTGTTTTTATTGCAGTCTCCAACATCATAGAAATTACATGCTGGCATATAACGCTTGGGTTGAGAAATGATCTGAGGGGCATGAACCACGATGCATTTAAAATTGCTTTTCCCTTTGTTCTTTATCCTCGTCCTCAAAACAAAATGGTACAATTCAGTCCTGTCCCCCACTTTAGGCTAAACTGATAAGAGCATTAGTTGGTATTTATTCACTCAATAAATATTTATTGAACATAGTTATAGAATCTGTCAGTCATTATGTGAGAAGCCCAGGGTACAATGGAACCTACTCTCAAGGCATTTACATGTAAGTGTGCAACTTGGATTCTAGTGGGCATCAGATGTCAGCTTCCACATTGTGTTTTCTAAATTCTTTTTTTTTTAAAGAGATAATGTCTTGCTATGTTGTCCAGGCTAAAGTGCAGTGGCTATCAACAGGCGTGTTCATGATGCACCAGCCTGGAACTTCTGGGCTCAAGCAATCCTCCTACCTCAGCCTCTCAAGTAGCTGGGACTACAGACTCATGCCACCACACCTGGCTACATTGTCTTTTTCTTTTCAATGACGTTTCATGAGCCCTTGTGTACATAGACCCTTTCATTTGTCCTCTCATTTACCTACAAATCACACCTGGATATATATGAATTTGCACCAGCTATACAGATCTTTGCTTTGCGATTCCAGATACAGAAAGGCAGGATTTACATAGAGAAGAGGGGAGAGGACTATTGACCTCATACTCACCTAGTGACTGGTTCCCAGTTGTTCAAGTCAGAAATTTAAGGATCATCTAGACTCAGCCTCCATATCCAATTCATCACTAAATCTTCTCATTTCTATCTCTTAATCAGTCTCAAATTCATCTTCTCCTCTCCGTTTTTATTGTCATTGTTTTAGTTCAGGTGAATATTGTTCCTGTTTTACATGTGTACAATAATCTCTGTATTGTTAGTATGCTAAGGCTGCCGTAACAAAATACCACAGGCTGAGTGGCTTCAACAACAGAAATTTATTTTCTCACTGTTCTAGCAGTTAGAAGTCCCATATCACAGTTCTGGCAGATTTGGTTTCTGGTGAGGTCTTTTTTACTGGCTTATAGACAGTTGCCTTCTTGTTATGTATTCACATGTTCTCTTCTCTGTGTATGCAGGAAGAGAGAGATCACTGGTGTCTCTTCTGTCTCTTCCTCTTCTTATAAGGACGCCAATCCTATTGTATTAGGTCCCCATCCTTATGACCTCATATAACCTTAATTACCTTCCTAAAAGCCCTATTTCCAAATATATTGGGGTTAGGGCTTCAACACATGAATGAGGGGCAGGATCGGGGCAAAGGGACACAATTCAGTCCATAACAACCTCTACACTACATTCTGAGTGATCTTTCCAAGACACAAAGCTGATCATGTCACCGCTTTGCTTTTAATTCTTTACAGTTCTGGGTCTCTTCGGGTTCTTTGGGTGGGAAAACAACTAATTCAGATCACCTTAAGGGGGTTTCAGGAACTTATAGAACCAAAGGGGAGGCTGAAGAGCCAGGCTTAGAATGAGGTAGTTCCTGAGGTTTCAGTAACAGGGATTCCTGCACTGTCTTGGTTGGGTACTTACGCTGCCATGAGTGGACTCTCTCTGGTTCTCTCCTTATATTATACTGCTCAAGATACAGTCTCTGGTTGCACTGAATGTACTTCATGCACTGAACTGTACACTTCAAACTGTTAAAATGGCAATTTTTTGGCCAGGCGTGGTGGCTCATGCCTGTAATCTCAGCATTTTGGGAGGCCAAGGTGGGTGGATCACCTGAGGTCAGGAATTCGAGACCAGCTTGGCATTTTTTTTTTTTTTTTGAGGCAGAGTCTCACTTTGTCACCCAGGCTGGAGTGTAGTGGCACAATCTCGGCTCACTGGGACCTCTGCCTCGCAAGTTCAAGTGATTCTTCTGCCTCAGCCTCCCGAGTAGCTGGGACTACAGGCGCCTGCCACCATGCCCAGCTAATTGTTGTATTTTTAGTAGAGGCAGCGTTTCACCATGTTGGCCAGGCTGGTCTCAAACTCCTGACCTTAAATGATCCAGCCACCTGGGCCTCCCAAAGTGCTGGGATGATAGACGTGAGCCACTGCACCCGGTAAAATGGCAAATTTTACGTTACATATTTTTGTACCACAATTTTTAGAAAGTTAACAGTGGCCTTCATGTAGCCAAATGCTTAAAATGTTCTGGAAGGCGATTTTACAGTGATGAAATATAAATATAGCTTTTTATCGCTAGGGATTAGATGACACATGGAATACATGAAGTTAAATAAATGTGATCAAGCTAAATAAAATTGATATATTTGTGTTTGACTTTGGAGGTAACAAAGAAAGACAAATAGAGAAAGATAGAAGATGATCAGACCTTGACATTTCTTCCTTCTTTCAATAGACACCTCTTTCTTTCAGGCTTTGTCATTTTCAGTACTAAGCACTAAAAGGACTTTTGTAAATCATTATTTCCAGTACATGGCAATATTTTCATCAAACTAAGTTACTTCAATGGCTTATGTTAATAATATTGGAAAAAATCTTCTTGGATATTATACCTAAGATTTGCTTCCAAAAACTCTGTGGAGCGGAGGAAATGGAGAAGTTTACAGATGAAGTAGATTGACCATGAATTGATCATTTTTCAGAATGGGTTTGGTTCATGCAGATTCATTATACTATTTCCTCTACTTTTGTGTATGTGTGAATTCTCCACAATAAAAAGGTGTTTTAAATCCTAAAAAAACAAAAATCTCTGAAACAGAGAGTGTAGTGAGTGTAGTTTAGGTCACATGCTTACCCCTTGACTATGTCAGAGGGTGAAGGAAGAAGCCTCTAGGGACTCCTTTGGTTTCTGTAGTAGGAGAGCATTTGTATTTATCATCCTGACAATGAGACACAATGGGGGTGAGGTAATTCTCCCAAAAGACATTGGGGTGCAATTAGGAAGAGGGATGGAGGCTGGGTGTCCATATAATGACAACTATCCACTTCTGTGCATGACAGATGGGGCACTTTATCAACTTTCCTCCCTCATCTCTTATCTCCTCCACTACAGCCTGC
Source organism: Homo sapiens (assembly GCF_000001405.40). Taxonomy (NCBI): domain Eukaryota; kingdom Metazoa; phylum Chordata; class Mammalia; order Primates; family Hominidae; genus Homo; species Homo sapiens. The sequence goes on from NC_000002.12 coordinate 55,478,851, forward strand.
ACTCCAGCCGGGCCAGCAACCTTGTGCCTTTCTGTGCCCTGCTCTTGACTGTGTTGGTGCCCTGATGAAAGTCTACTCATCCTGCAGACTCAATTCAGACATCATCTCCTTCGACTTTGTAAGCAGAAGGTGGTAGATTTTGGATGGCTCTTGACTCTTCATCTCACAGTGTATTTACAGTAGTGGTCCTGCATCAAAATCAGCTGACAAACTGGTTAAAACACATATTGCTGGGCCCAACCCTTAGAGTTTCTGTTTCAGTAGGTCTTGGGTGGGGACCTGAAAATTTGCATTTTTAAGTTCCCAGATGATGCTGATGCTGCTGGTCCAGGGACTGCATTTTATGAACCTCTGCTTTGGAACATTGGTGTCCAAATCTGACTACGTACCAGCCTCAAATGTAGAATGTTAAAAGTATATAACTTCCTGGATTGGCTGTAGGCTTGAAGAATCAGATACTCTGGGAGTGGGATCCAGGAACCTGCATTTTGAAATAGATTCCCAGCTGTTATTTCTGCAGTGGTCCTGACAATATTTTGGATAGTTACTGGGGACCACAGCATCTGAGGGCACTGATCAGTCAGACCACCTCCCCCCACCCTTTAGGCAAAGTGACAGAGAGGCTGGTGTATTTCTTCCTAACAGGATGGAAGCAGCCCTGAAGAAAATGATGCTTTCTTACTGGTTAAAGGATTATAGTGGGCCAGGCACAGTGGCTCATGCCTGTAATCCCAGCACTTTGGGAGTCTGAGGTGGGAGGATAACTTGAGCCCAGGAGTTCACGACCAGCCTGGGCAACAAGGTGAGACTCTGTCTCTACAAATAATAAAAAAATGAGGTAGGTGTGGTGGCTCACGCCTATAGCTACTTGTGAGGCTGAGGTGGGAGGATCACTTAAGCCAGAGTGGTCAGGCTGCAGTGAACCATGATCGTACCACTGTACTCCAGCCTGGGCAGTATAGTAAGACCCTGCCCTGTCTCAAAAAAGAATTACAGTGAAGATTAATATAATCTCACACAAATATTCAGAAAGTACCATTGTTAGTACTTTAAAATTTTTAATTGAAATCAGATGTCAATTTCTACCTCTTAAATGAGCAAAGCATTGAAATAATTTAATAGGTTAGAGATAGTGGGTTGAAATGCATACTCTCATTTATTACTATTGGCATTATAAACTGATACGCTGTCTTCGAAAAGCAATTTGGCAACCTACATCAAGATCCAGAAAATGGGCCAAGATCCAGAAAATAGGCCAGGTGCAGTAGCTCATGGCTGTAATCCCAGAACTTTGAGAGGCCAAGGTAGGAGAATCACTTGAGGCCAGGAGTTCAAGACCAGCCTGGGTAACATAGCAAGACCCTATCTCTACAAAAAATAAAAAATTAGCCCATGTGGTGGTGTGTGCCTGTAGTCCCAACTACATGGGAGGCTGAGGTGGGAAGTTCCCTTCAGCCCAGGAGATTGAAGTTGCAGTGTGCTATAATGGTGCCACTGCACTCCAGGCTGGGTGAGAGAGCAAGACTCTCTTTTATATATATATATATATTATATATATATATAATATATATATATGGCCGGGCGAGGTGGCTGACGTGTATAATCCCAGCACTTTGGAAGGCCAAGGCGGGAAGATCACGAGGTCAGGAGATCGAGACCATTCTGGCCAACATGGTGAAACCCCGTCTCTACTAAAAAATACAAAAATTAGCTGGGCAAGGTGGCACGGGCCTGTAATCCCAGCTACTTGGGAGGCTGAGGCAGGAGAGTCGCTTGAACCCGGGAGGCAGAGGTTGTGGTGAGCCGAGATTGTGCCACTGCACACCAACCTCGATGACAGAGCAAGACTCCATCTCAAAACAAAACAAAACAAAAAGTATATATACCTTTTTTTAATTTAAATTTTAAAAACAGAAAATATTTTTATTTAATTTTGTAATCTTGATATAATGACTTTTTTTTTTTAATTTTTTCAGACAGAGTCTCGCTCTGTTGCCCAGGCTGGAGTGCCATGGTATGATTACACTGGTGGGATTACAATGGTGGGATTACAGGCGTGTGCCAGCATGCCCAGCTAATTTTTGTGTTTTTAGTAGAGACCGGGTTTCACCATGTTCTCCAGGCTGGTCTCGAACTCCTGACCTCAGGCAATCCGCCTGCCTCAGCCTCCCAAAGGAATTACAGGCGTGAGCCACCATGCCCGTCAATTTAACAAACTTTGCTTCAGTAATGTCACTTCTGGGTATTAATCCAAAGAAAATAATCCATAATATATTAAAATACACAAATGAATACATATTACAGTATTATTGTAATAGTAAAACACTATAAGCAGTTTGAATGTCTAAAAATAGGGTATTGATGAAGTAAATACATATACTTGATGGACTTTTATAAGGAAATTTAAATACTGGTTGTTTATTCATTCATACAAAAAAAAATATTTGCCAAGATGTCCCCAAAGGGTTAATTTGCACTTTTCCCAGCATTATATTTGCATCTTCAATAATAATGGACATTATCGTCTTTTAAAATAGCTGTCAATGGTATTTTGTGCTGTTTCATGTATTACTTTTATAGTGGAAACATGCTATTAATAAAATTATATTTTCTAAAAGATTATGTCAGTTAGGGAGAGATGCATATCAAGTGCTAGGGCTGAATATCAGTGTTTTTATTTCTTTTAGTTCCTGTAATTGTATGCAGCTTAAATTTTGAACTGGTCTAATTCAGGATAACTTTTGCATCTGAAAAGAACTATTCATTGAAGGCCTGATGGTGTCTTACTTGTTTTCCTCTTACTGAACCCTATATATTTGTTTGATTCCTTTAATTTTTATTGCCCATGAAGAACAAATTTCTCATATGTATATTATACTTGTATTCATCGAAATAAGGAATCATATCTAAAATATATCAGGAGCCTTTAAAATATTCTAATATTTAGGCCTATTAACTGTATATCTGAAAATAAATAGTAGGGCTCTAAAGCAAAATGGTTTTAACATTTTAAAATTATCCAAATAGTAGAGGAAATATAAGAAAATTATATTTATAAGGTGGTTAAGAAAATGGGAAGATATAATAACATTAAATGGAAAAATTATGATTGTACTATGTAAAATAAATTCATTATTATACTGTGTAAAATAAATGTACTATGATCATAACTATGAAAAAATAAGCATTTAAAATACTACAAAAATTCTAAAATGCTAGCCTGGTTCTACTTGAAGCATGAGAGAATTCAATTATTTTTTTCTTTATACTTAGATGTATTTTCCAAATTTCTTCTATAGTGAGCATGTAGTGCTTTTATATTTAGAAAAATGAAAATATATAAAGACTATTTCAGTTGAAATGGACAGAAATACAACTCTAGTTCAAGCCAAAAAGAGAGAGAAATTGAAGGGAGTAGGGAGAGAGAAAGAGAATTATTTCCTGGATGAATTTGGCTTCAGGCCCAGATGGAAATTAATCGTCAGGTCTCTCTCTTTCCCCCTCCCCCAATATCTCAGCTCCGCTTCCTCTGTGTGGTGACCTCATTTTCTTCCATTTTCCAGGCTGCCAGACAAGTAGGTTGCCCACAGCTCTAGGCTTACATCATCTGCTTTAGGAATCCCAGTGGAAAGAGACTGCTCTCTCCCAATGTCTCTATATCAATTCCAGACAAGAATTCTTAGAGGTGCTGCTTGGCCCACATGTCCACCCCTAAACTAATCACAGTCTCTGGGGAATAGAGTATTAAGATTGGGCAGGCTTGTGACATATGCCCACATCTGTCCCAGAGAAGAAGATATGGCACTGGAAGAGAGAAATGGCATCATGGCCAGACAAATTAAGAAAGATACTGGGGACTGGGAGTAGTGACTCACACCTGCAATCTCAGCACTTTGGGAGGTCAAGACTTGAGGATTGCTTGAGGCCAGGAGTTCAAGACCAGCCTGATAAATATAGTGAGATCATGTCTCTTAAAAAAAAAAAAAGAGGCCAGGCGAGGTGGCTTACATCTAACAATCCCAGTATTTTGGGAGGCCGAGACAGGCGGGTCACCTGAGGTCAGAAGTTCGAGGTCAACCTGGCCAACATGGTGAAACCCCATCTCTACTAAAAATACGAAAATTAGCCAGTGTGGCATATGCCTGTAGTAACAGCTACTTGGGAGGTTGAGGCAGGAAAATTGCCTGAACCCAGGAGGCAGAGATTGCAGTGAGCCAAGATCGCGCCACTACCCTCCCGCCTGGGTGACAGAGTGAGAAGCCGACTCAAAAAAAAAAAAAAAAAAACACACAGAAAGCAGTGACTGAAAGTCTAGGAACTGTGGGCCATGGTCCTGCAATGCAAATGTCATCTAAATTTGCTTTCCTGGCAGTGAAATAAGTTCTTGCTGCCCTGGGTCTGTACATGTGAGGAACAAGTCTCCCTCACCTATCTTATTCCAGAACTGCACATCTTCCACCACCAACTTCTTGTTGGCCTGATTATGGAGACTGGGTATTGTCTTAGGCTTTGAACAATTATAGGCTTGTTTCCAAGGTGGGGTTTTCAGGCCATACAAGTCCCTTCAGACCTCAGCTGACTTTTTGCCAATTTTATACAAGGGGATTCCATAGCCTAGGCACTAATACCAGAAATCTTACCATGCCTTTGCAGTTTCTGCCTTTTAACACATCTCTGCTTTGCCCATCCTGTAGGCTTTCAAAGTGCCCATCCTATAGTACCCCATAATGACTAACCTGCGTCTGCTGTATCTCAGTGGATAGTGTTTTGCCACAGGTATGAATTTTAATTATGGTTGGCAGGGAATAACACAGTTGCTTGAGAGAGAGGGATGAGGGAAACAGGATTCCCTGAATTGTAGGCTCTTACCAAGTCCCTAGTGCATTTCCTGCCTCTCTCCTTTGTGTTAGTTTCAGGTTGGAGGACACAGTTCAGCTTTTTCAAGTCAGCAGGAATAATCATTGTTTGACCCCCAGTGGTTCTGGATTGCTGGCTGAAGGCAGAACAGGACTTCCCACGTGCTGTTGCATTTCTGCTTTCAGACAAGTGAGCTTGGATTCAAACTTGTCCCTTCCTCCTAGCTTAGCAGGGCTTCCTCTTAGTATCTCCATGTTTGCATCATCCTGTCTGGCAGTGTGTTCACAGAAATGGGGCACTGTGTTTGACTGAGCCTGGGTCATGTGCCCATTTTTGAGGGGGTGGAATTTATTGGAGAAAGAGAGAAAGAGTGGGAATACATTCTGAAGTAGACTACAAGCTATAGTCTAACCCTTCCCTTCCCTTCCCTTCCCTTCCCTTCCCTTCCCTTCCCTTCCCTTCCCTTCCCTTCCCTTCCCTTCCCTTCCCCTTCCCTCCCCTCCCCTCCCCTCCCCTCCCCTCCCCTCCCCTCCCCTCCCCTCCCCTCCCCTCCCCTCCCTTCCCTTCCCTTCCCTTCCCTTCCTTCTACAGGTATGAAAAATCTATAATCTTTTTAAATATTTTTATTTATTTATTTCTTATTATTTTTTTGAGACGGAGTCTTACCCTGTCACCCAGGTTGGAGTACAATGGCATGATCTTGGCTCACTGCAACCTCCGCCTCCTGGGTTCAAGTGATTGTCCTGCCCCAGCCTCCTGAGTAGCTGGGATTACAGGCACGCACCACCACGCCCAGCTCATTTTTTTGTATCTTTAGTAGAGACGGGGTTTCACCCTGGCCAAGCTAGTCTCGAACTAGCCTTCTATAGTGAGCATGTAGTGCAAGTGAGTCACCGTGCCTGGCCTGTAATTTTTTTTTTTTTTTGAGATAGAGTTTTGTTCCTGTTGCCCACACTGGAATGCAATGGCATGATCTCGACTCACTGCAACCTCTGCCTCCTGGGTTCAAGTGATTCTCCTGCCTCAGCCTACCGAGTTGCTGTGATTACAGGCATGCGCCACCACGCCCGGCTAATTTTATATTTTTAGTAGAGATGAGGTTTCTCCATGTTGGTCAGGCTGGTCTCAAACTCCTGACCTCAGGTGATCTCCTGCCTCGGACTCCCAAAGTGCTGGGATTACAGATGTAAGCCACCAGCCTATAATCTTTAAAGAAAAAATAATTAGTGTTTTACATAAAAGTATTTATTTATTTGTTTATTTATTTATTGAGACAGGGTCTTGCTCTGTCACCCAGGCTGGAGTGCAGTGGTGCAAGCTCAGCTCACTGCAACCTCCACCTCCCAGGCTCAAGCCATCCCCCCACCTCAGCCTCACAGTCCTGGCTGCGAGTGGCTGGGACTACAAGCACGTGCAGCTAATTTTTGTATTTTTTGTAGAGACGCGGTCTCTCCATCTTGCACAGGCTGATTTCAAACTTCTGGGCTCAAGAGAGCCCCTTGCCTCGGCCTCCCAAAGTGCTGGGGTTACAAACATGAGCCACTGCGCCCCGCCATAAAAATCTTTAAAGCTAAAACTGTAAATACATGAGTAGAAAAGATTCTTAGGATCATATCTTAATCTTCAAAAATTACAAGGGCCGGGCGCGGTGGCTCATGCCTGTAATCCCAGCACTTTGGGAGGCTGAGGCGGGCGGATCACGAGGTCAGGAGATCGAGACCTTCCTGGCTAACACGGTGAAACCCCGTCTCTACTAAAAAAAAAAAAAAAAATACAAAAAATTTAGCCGGGCGTGGTGGCGGGCGCCTGTAGTCCCAGCTACTCAGGAGGCTGAGGCAGGAGAATGGCGTGAACCCGGGAGGGGGAGCTTGCAGTGAGCCGAGACTGCGCCACTGCACTCCAGCCATGGCAACAGAGCGAGACTCCATCTCAAAAAAAAAAAAAAAAAAAAAAAATTACAAGGGGAGGCTGGGCACAGTGGCTCACGGCTGTAATCCCAGCACTTTGGAAGGCTGAGGCGGGCAGATCACTTGAGTTCAGGAGTTCAAGACCAGCATGGCCAATATAGTGAAACTGCATCTCTACCAGAAAATACAAAAATTAGCCAGGTAATGGCAGGTGCCTGTAGTCCCAGCTACTCAGGAGGCTGAGACAGGAGAATCGCTTGAACCTGGAAGGCAAAGGTTGCAGTGAGCCAAGATCATGTCACTGCACTCCAGCCTGGGTGACAGAATTGGACCCTGTCTAAAAAAAGGAAAGTTACAAGGTGATCTCAAATAAAATGAGAAAGAGTCGGAGCCAGAGAAAAAGGAACACAGCAGAAGACTTTGTCACCCTATCTTCACACCATCAGAAATGCAAGAGCCAATCCTGTAAATATTCATCAACTTCCTTAGCTTTTCTTTCAACAACAGCTTCCAAATGTTTAACACGTAGAGTCTAAATTTCAAAAGTACTTTTAGAATGTGGCTTGCTCAGTGCTATATCCATCATTTTCATTTACATATATGTTTTGTTTTCATAACAATATGTTTGATGTTTTGTTTTGTTTTGAGACAGAGTCTCGCTCTGTCACTCAGGCTGGAGTGTAATGGCGTGATCTTTGCTCACTGTAACCTCAGCCTCCCAGGTTCAAGCGATTCTCATGCCTCAGCCTCCCAAGCAGCTGGGATTACAGACGTACACCACCATGCCCAGCTAATTTTTGTATTTTCAGTACAGATGGAATTTCACCATGTTGGCCAGGCTGGTCTCCAACTCCCGACCTCAAGCAATCCGCCTGCCTCAGCCTCCCAAAGTGTTGGGATTACAGGCGTGAGTCATGCCAGGCCAATATCTACTTTTAACCTAAAAAACCTCATTTTTAGTTTTATAGTATCAGCAGATTTCCTCCCCAGTCAAGAGCTTTCTGCCAGCTTTGAACTTCCTCACCCAGAGATGCTTTTGCATCTTGGTTCTCTGTCTTGTTTTTCCTCATGGCCCCATGTTCGATCCAGATCCCTGTTGCAGTGAGCCTAGCCCACTTATTCATGGAGATAGACTGGAAAATATAACTTCAACATGCTGTTAAATTTTTTTGAGTTTTTAAAAATAAACGTTTTACTTCAGAACAATTTTAGATTTACAGAAAGTTGTAAAGATAGTACAGACCGTCTCTGCATATCTTCCATCCAGTGTCCCCTAATGTTAATATCTTACCTAGCCAGAATATATTTGTGAAAACCAGGAAATTAACATTGGTACATTACTATTAACTAAACTCCAGACTATATGATTTCACCAGTTTTCCACTAATTTTTTTTTAATTCCAGGATCCTTTCCAAGATAGCACATTGTATTTAGTGAGCTAAATTTTGAAACAAATTATTTTTTCAAGTTGTTCCCTGTTAAGCTATGACAATTATGAAGAGTATGGCATTTTAATATTTAAGATAAACTATTCATTAGCAAAAACAACACAAGTTGTCAAGATGCCACTTGTTCTGTGATTATAAGCTCCTCGGGGAAGAGCCTCTATTATTTGTTTGGCACATTCTAGCTATATATAGTTTCGTACATTCTCTGTAGGATGTAGTTTTCACAGCAGTAAGAGTTGAGAGAAGTATAAGAAGTTTAAAGTATTTTAACTTTTAGTGGACAACAAGCTCATTCTTTCTAATGTAATTAGCAGAGTTAGAATTTTGTTCTTATGTCATGCTATAAAAGATAGTGTGAATATATAGCTTATTAATACATTACAAGTCTAATCGAATTATTGCAGTCTGAGCCACAGAAACTGCAAAAGACCACAGAAAGAGATTCTTTTTCAACCATCTTCTCCAGGGGGAAAAGGACACTTGCCAACAAAACCCCAAATCTCTCTCTAGGAGTAATATTTGGAGCAATTTGGGGGAAAGTAAAAGTTATTATTCTTTGCAATTTTAAATAAAGACATTTTCAGACTGGTAGAAGCTATCTTATATTCAAGGCTCTTTTAAAGAATCTACATATAACTTTCATTTTAAGAGACCAGTATTTTAGGCATTAAAACAAAAGAGCTATAAAGAATTCTACTTGAAGTCAATTCAAGGACTTAATTCAATCCAAGAGAAATACAGAGCTTAGCTGAGTATATATTCCAATCTAGTTCCTGCCACAGTTAGGAGGTATCTTCAGGAGCTATCATCAATTATAGGATGACATGCAAAATTCTTGTAGAAAGCATGTGCTCACTCTCTCCCAGAAAAAAAAATGACTTACCTATTTTGTAAAATCCAAAGAAGGCAAAGACAGAGGAAGAATGCAACAAGGAGCAACAAAGTATTTTGCCAAGCATTAGAATATAAAGAAGACAAATGAAGATATTATATATTTAACTCTTCATTTGGCAATTTATTTTCTGGAGGAATAAGAAATATAGTAATTTACCTAATTAATAAAAAGAGAAAATAAAATATTTACATAGCATCTTATTACATTCTAATCACTTGCTCATGTATAATATCTTGAAATGGTAACTGGCGACTATATTTTAGGCACAGCTACCATGGGTGCTGGCACAAAGTAAGCAAGGTCTCATTGTCCTCTGAAGGCTTTTCGAATATCACTTCCCCTGGGAAGCTCTTTGATTATTCCCAGCTCCACTATGAGGGTAGTATCTGCTGTCTGTCCTGTATGTTCCTAACATACTCAACCAATTAATTTTTAAGTAATTAATTTCTATGATAGCACTTATCACATTGTCACCTCTATAGGGACACTATTTTATGCAACTTTTTATCTTCATAAAAAGTAAAGCTGGCCATGGTGGTGTGCACCTGTAGTCCCAGCTATCCCAGAGACTGAGGCAGGGGATTACTTGAGCCCAGGGGTTTGAGTCCAGCCTGGGCAACATAGCAAGACCCTGTCTCTTAACAAACAAACAAAAAGTAAGTGACAGTGTTATCGGCTGAATTATGTTCCCCTGCCCCACCTATATTTGAAATCATAACCCCCAGTACCTCAGAATATGACTGTATTTGGAGATGGAAGAGTCTTGAAAGAGGTGATTCAGTTAAAATGAGATGGTTAGGGTACATCAGTTAGGATACAACTGATGTCCTTATAAAGAAGAGGAAATATGGACACAAAGAGAGTAGCCAGTAGATACGAATACAGAGGAAAGACCATGTGAGGTCACAGTGAGAAGGTGGCCAACTGCAAGCCAAGAAGACTGAGAAGAAACAAACCCTGCTGACACCTTGATCTTCGACTTCTAGGCTCCAGAACTGTGAGAAAATAAATTTCTGTTGTTTAAGGCATCTAGTCTGTGGTGTTTTGTTATGGCAACCCCAGTAAACCAATACAGACAGTCACAGGTAAATGACAAATAGAAAGTGTTTTAAAAATGAGAGCTATTATGTGTAATTGGCAGTTACTCTGTGTATACATCTTGTATATAGATTATTTATGCACATCATTAGCAAGCTTTAGGAATTTATGTCTCTGCATTCATGCTTCCCTTATGATTGTCTTTAAGTTCCATGACCGTCTCTATGTCTGTTAGGGAGTTGAGTGAATTATTGTTTTTCAAGCTTTGCATTCAAGACATTTTGAGAGAATTCTTAACCATTACAAAGACTTCTATCATACATAAAATTGATTCCCTGAGGTAAATCATTGTGTCCTACAATTCAGTTGTATGAATGTTTCATTCAGGTAAGGGGCACAGAAAATTATCAGGATTCAAATTAATTCAGAAGGAAAATAGCTCTGGATTTTTCATAAATTTGTATTAACTTTTTTCAGAATTCATTTAGATTTTTCATAAGATAATGTGAGAAAATAATGTAAGAGTTTTGATAATTTTTTACATAAAATGGGGAAAATTAAATTAAAAATGAAAACGTTTAAGTTATTGCTGTTAGGTAAAATAATAAATAAATAAATAATTTCAGGTCTTACCTGTATGATTCATGGAGTCATAGCCAAAAATGTAACGGATTGCATCATTCTTTGCTCTCAATACTGCAAGGGCTTCCCCTGTTCACCTTGTCTCGAGGGCTCTGAATGATCTGGCTCCAGGCTACCTGCTCTGACTTTATTTTCTACCTTTTCCCCCTTTTCTCTCTGGGCGTTAGCCACAAGGTCTCCTTCAGGATCCTGAAATACACTAATTCCATCTGGCTTTTTCTGAGTCACATGACTTCTCCTTTCTCTTTATTCCAAGCTCTATTTAATGCACCTGATCAGGTCTTCCCTAATCATCCAGATAAACAGCATCTCTGTCATTCTCTTTCTCCTTACCTATTGTTTTCTTCTTTTTTCAGAGCATCTCTTAATACCTGGGCATTATATCTTTGTTTATCTGTTTATTGTCTCTCTCTTCCTACTCCATTTTCAGCTCCCCAAGGACAAGAGCTTTGTTAATAAATACTATTGGATGAATATCTGTAGCATCACACACTGAAGTCTGACATAACAGCTTTTCATAGTCCTTAATGATATAATAAATATTGGAATGCAGCAAATAATGATGAAGAGATGTATCCAATTATACACTGATTACATTATGTTGTCCCAGAAATCTCTATATTTGTCATTGTGCTCTGTGTGTTTGACCCCTTTGAAGGTGTCTTCTGCTCAGAACTTTCACCCAGTGTCTCACAACTGCCCCTGGTCCTCAGAAATAAATCTTTGGTAAAAGCAACACTGTTTAATAGAAATAAAATACGTGCCACATATGTACTTTAAAATTATCTAGTAATAGTAACACTAATAGTAATTAAAATGAAATGTAGTTCTACAAAAATAATAAAATTGTGTGTAATGGAAAAAAATTAACATTGCTTCAGTTTTAAAATTTAAATCAATAAAAATTAAATAAAATAAAAAATTCAGTTCCTCAGTGACATTTCAAGTGCTCCATAGCCATATGTGGCTGGGGGCTTCTGTGTGGAGTAGTATGGGATATAAAGCACCTGATGCTGCCTCCAAGGCATACCTGATTGGAGCAGCAGCAGCCTGATCCAATCAGATTCCTCTCCCCAGGATTTTGAATTTTGAACTGAGATACAGAGAGACCAGAGAAGTTTGGCGCTGAGTCATGCTTGTGGCAGAATTCCAAGGGAAGGTTCATGAGCAGCTGTTGCCAGGGTCCCCAGAGCTTCCTTAGCTTCCGCTCTTCATGGTTGGTTGTTCAGTTCTTTGGATTCTGTGAGAGAGCCTAATATATTTCCAATAAATTATTTTCTCCCTTGAGCCACCTCAAGCTGGTTTCTGTTACTTGCAATGATACTAATTTAAATAAATAAATAAATCTTAGCAACAACGTTTTCTTAAAAGGAGATACATAAAATAACGTAATTAGGCAGATGTGTATGCAAAACTGCTTTGACTACTTTAGAAAATCTTAATTGTCCACAGTGTTATCGACTGTCAACAAAATGGAACACAGTGTAGATAATTCAAGAGTAAACTGATACAAAAAGAGCATTTATTTGGTCTTGAAACGCATTTGTGTGAATTGGGGTTGGGGATGGGGGCAGAGCAAAAACAAGATACAGCTTTCTAATTGTTTTACAGAGAATTTAATCAGCACGAATTCTCCAAGAATGACACTGATCACACAGCAGGTGCTTGATAAATGCATGTTGATTAATTGATTTAGAATACACCAGCTGTCGGTGAAAGAATGTGATCCACAATCAAACCATTTGACAGAAGAAAGCCAGGATGGCTTTTAAAATTAGTAACAACATAGAAATCTACATGCAAATAATTCAGAGATGGTGGTGCTGTCTTTGGTTCCCTTCCTAGATGAGAACAAGATAAATCATACTCTGCTTTGGGAAGAAGGTATTCAGTGTTTAAGGCTGTAAACAGAGGAACACATTCTCCAGTCATTTGTTTCTAGCAGTATGTATGTATCCGGGAGGCCTTCTGATTGCAGATACCAAGTTGTGGGAAGGAGAAAGGCAGTGGGAAGCATATGTGATCATAAGTGATCTCCCCTGATCCTGGTGAGCTTTGAATTTTCCTCCTCTTAAATTTCATAAGGTTGAAAAAGAGAAGTAAAAAAGACTTTTGGAAAGCCAGGCTTAAATGGGTGGAGGGGAATCTAATCAAGCCTCTAGAACTTCTACTGGTTTATAGAAAGTATCAGATAAAGAATGCACACAGGGACGCAATCAGCCAAATCTAGGAAGGGGAAAATTCTACAGGACAAATGACCTGGTTTTTTCAATAGATAATAAATTCTAGAATTATTTTGTAAATAACATGATTGCATTGGACGACAGTGCCCCCTGGTAGAATACTGTTTTAGGCTGGGATCCCTAGATACAAATTCTGGGTGGGGAGTTGAAAGCAGAAGTTTACTGCAGCAATACCACTGTGAGGAAGTAAGGAAGGTGGGACTGGACACTGAAGAAAGTGACCACAAGGGCAGGTGCGGTGGCTTACACCTGTAATCCTAGCACTTTGGGAGGCTGAGGTGGTAGGATCACCTGAGGTCAGGAGTTAGAGACCATCCTGGCCAACATGGTGAAACCACATCTCTACTAAAAATACAAAATTAGCTGGGCATGGTGGCTCATGCATGTAATCCCAGCTACTTGGGAGGCTGAGGCAGGAGAATCACTTGAACCCAGGAGGCAGAGGTTACAGTGAGCCGAGATTGAGCCATTGCACTCCAGCCTGGGTGACAAAAGCGAAACTCCATCTCAAAAAAAAAAAAAAGGAAAGTGACCCCAGTGAGGTTTCAGCTATGGCCTCAGTTATCCTGTGGAGAATTATGGAGTGGGGATGGCCCTTCAGGATTGTCTCAAAGTGAGGCAAGGGGTCCAGGCTATGTATTCCTACCCTCAGCCAGTCATTTGACATAGGCCACCCCTGGTAAGGGTATAACTTTAGGAGAGGCAGTTCATTGCAGCCAAGAGGTGTACCCCACAGAAAACAATAATATCCACTACAATAATATAAAACAATTAAATCCTGCAAGTAGGTCGGGTGTGGTGGCTCATGCCTGTGTAGTCCTAGCACTTTGGGAGGCCGTGGCGGGCTGATCGCTTGAGCACAGGAGTTCGAGACCAGACTGGGTAGGCAACATGTCAAAACCCTGTCTGTATTAAAAATAGAAAAAAATGAGCTGGCCGTGGTGGTACATAGCTGTGATCCCAGCTACTCAGGAGGCCGAGGTGGGAGGATTTCTTGAGCCTGGGAGGCTGAGGCTACAGTGAGCTATGATCATACCACTGCACTCCAGCCTGGGTGACAGAGGAAGACCCTGTCTCAAAAAGAAAAAAATAATATATCCTGAGATTAGTGACACTTCGCTATTATTCAAACCATAATTTGCATAATAATGGAATTTTATTTATAGAATTCTAAAATATCATTACTATAAAAGGTCTGGCATTTTATATCAATTATCTTCCGTTGTTCTATATTTTGACATAGAGAAATAAAGAATTGTGTTATACTAACTTGTTAAACTTTAATTATACCACCATTTCTGGAACCCTAGGTGGGGGCACTTTCTTTGCTTGGTTCTCAGGCTGCCATACTTGTTTCTTCCTACTTCACTGGCCACTTCTTCCTCATCTTCTCCAATGACTGCTCCCCATGTCTGGCCCTGAATTTTGGAGTGGTTTAGTAGGCTTAGTTCTCAGACCTTTTTTTTTTTTTTTAAATCTACTTTCATTTTTAAAATGTTCTCATCCAGTCTTGGCTTTATGTATCATGTATACCTTCATGAGTCACAGATATTTATCATATCCATGAAATCCAGGCTGGTGTATCCAAATGCTTACTCAATGTCTCTACTTGAGTATCTATACACATCTTAAACTTAACATGTTCCAACCAAACCCATTATTTTTTCCCAAATTTTTTGAAATCTCCCACAGAGATTTCAAAATCTCTGCAAATAATAGTTGCACACTCTAATTGATCAAGCCAAAAATCTTGAACTCACTCTTGAGTAATTTAAAGAAAATTTCAGACATTATGTCAAGTCACTCGCAGATATGGCATTTTGCATCTGTAACTGATAAGAACTTTTATTTTTCACATAAATAGCATACGTACCAAAATTAATGTAATTAATATCATCTAATACCTGGTTTGTATTCAAATATTACTAATTCTTTTCTTTTTCTTTTCTTTTCTTTTTTTTTTTTTTGGAGACGGAGTCTCCCTCTGTCACCCAGGCTGGAGTGCAGTGGTGCGATCTCGGCTCACTGCAACCTCTGCCTCCAGGTTCAAGTGATTCTTGCGCCTCAGCCTCCCAAGTAGCTGGAATTACAGGCACACACCATCACATCCAGCTAATTTTTGTATTTTTAGTAGAGATGGGGTTTCACTATGTCGGCCACACTGGTCTCAAACTCCTGACCTCAGGTAATCCGCCTGCCTTGGCCTCCCAAAGCACTGGGATTACAGGTGGGAGCCACCATGCCCAATCCAAATATTACTAATTCTTTCCAAGATGCCATTTTACAGTTGTTTTGTTCAAACTAAGACTGAATTATAAGGGATAAAGTCTATAAACTAATATAAAATATGTCAGATGGTTATTAATACTGCAGAGTAGAGAGGTAAAGTAAAAAGGACTATTTGGTTGGCTGTTTAACCCAGAGTGTTCAGGAAAGTCCTCTATGAGAAAGTGACATTTAAACAGAAATGGGAATAAAGTGTTTCAAGGAGAACATAATCAACTGTGTCAAATACTGCAAATGGGTTACATGTAAGAGGATGACTGAGGCTTGATCTTTGGATATGACAACAGGAAGGTCACTGGGTACCTTGACTAAAACTGCTTTTGTGGAATGGTCGAGGTAAATGCCTGATTGAAATGAGGTCAGGAGAGAATAGAAGGAGATGAAGTGGAAACGGTAAATATAGACAAGTTTTTTCAGATAAGGGGAGAAATATAGAAGAAACAATAAATATAGACAAGTTTTTTTCACATAAGGGGAGACGACAAGTGGGACATTGGCTAGAAGGGATGTGGAAAAATGGATAGTTTTTTTTTCTAAAAGGGAATATTACAGCATGTTTCATACTAGTAGGAATGATTCAGTAGTAAGAAAACATTGATGGTGCAGGAGAGAGAATAATTCCTGGAGAGAGGGCCTTGAGAATGTGAAAGAGGGCCGGGCACAGTGGCTCATGCCTGTAATCCCAGCACTTTGGGAGGCTGAGGCAGGCAGATCACCTGAGGTCAGAAATTCGAAACCAACCTGGCCAACATGGCAAAACCCTGTCTCTACTAAAAACACAAAAATTAGCCGGGCATGGTGGCACACGCCTGTGATCCCAGCTACTCACTTGGGAAGCTGGGGCAGGAGAATCGCTTGAACCCAGGAGGCAGAGGTTGCAGTGAGCCAAGATCGCACTCCAGCCTGCACTCCAGCCTGGGCAACAGAGCAAGACCCTGTCTCAAAAATAAATAAATAAATAAATAAAATAAAATGTGAAAGAGGATGGAATTCAGAGCACAACTGCAGAGTGTGTCTTTCGATAGGAGGATGGACAGTGTATCTACAGTAACAGGAGAGAAAGCAGAATATGTGGGCACTGATGCTGGTAGCTATGGAAATTTTCTCAGTGAAGTAGGAAGCAAAGTCATCAGCAGAGGGATCAGCAGATGATGGAGAGTTGAAGAGGGAAAAGGAATGAAATAGCCCTCTAGAAGAGTTGGAGAGTAAATGGGCTAGGGAATGTATGGGAATCTATTAAAACTCATTTGAAGGTGGAGCTATGAATTTGCAGTATCTTCTGCATGGTTGGTTGTTTTTCTCCAGTCACATTTAACTGCTGGGTGTGACATAGGAAGAGAGCTGGATTTAACTGGGCCTGGAGTTTGGCCATAAAGCACAGTGAAGGCAAAGAGAGGAAAGATATTTAAGAGTGTATGCAAAAATAACTATAATGATGGACCATGAAATACAAGCTGGAGAAGTAGAAAAGAGTGAACTTAACAGGGAGTGATGGGCAGTGAAAAGGCGGTAATGGCCTATAGGTTTCAGGAGTGGAAAAATTGTGGGAGTCAAGGAACAGTGAGAGTGAGCTGGAAAAATAGAAGGTGCTGGTAGATTTAAGGCAAAAATATATAGTCTAAAATTAAGAGAATTGAGAAAATACGCAGTCATATGAACTGATAGTGGTAATGTAAATCAGTATCACCTTTTTTGTGTGGTAGCATCATGGCAATATCTAAAATTGCCATGTTACGGAGCATGGTGGCTCACGCCTGTAATCCTAGGACTTTGGGAGGCCAAGGTGGGCAGATCACCTGAGGTCAGGAGTTCGAGACCAGCGTGGCCAACATGGTGAAACCCCATCTCTAGTAAAAATACAAAAAATTAGCTTGGTGTGGTGGCGGGTGCCAATAATGGGATTGCTGGGTCAAATGGTATTTCTGGTTCTAGATCCTCGAGGAATTGCCACACTGTCTTCCACAATGGTTGAACTAATTTACATTCCCACCAACAGTGTAAAAGTATTCCCATTTCTCCACAGCCTTGCCAGCATCTGTTGTTTCTTGAATTTTTAATAATCGCCATTCTGGCCAGGTGCGGTGGCTCACGCCTGTAATCCCAGCACTTTGGGAAGCCGAGGTGGGCGGATCACCTGAGGTCAGGAGGTCAAGGCCAGCCTCGCCAACATGGTGAAACCCCATCTCTACTAAAAATACAAAAATTAGCCAGGCGTGGTGGCAAGCGCCTATAATCCCAGCTACTTGGGAGGCTGAGGCAGGAGAATGACTTGAGCCCAGGAGGCGGAGTTTGCAGTGAGCCAAGATCGCACCATTGCACTCCAGCCTGGGTGACTAAGCGAGACTGTCTCAAAAAAATAAATAAATAAAAATAAAAGAATAATTGCCATTCTTACTGGTGTGAGATGGTATCTCATTGTGGTTTTGATTTGCATTTCTCTAGTGATCAGTGATGTTGAGCTTTTTTTCGTATGTTTCTTGGCCGCATAAATGTCTGCTTTTGAGAAGTGTCTGTTCATATCCTTTGCCCACTTTTTAAAGGGGTGGTTTTTTTTTTCTTGTAAATTTAAAACTCTGTAATCTTAAACTTGAATAGTCTTTTAGAGTACCTGTAGACTCCCTGTGGAGAGGAGAATAAAATCCTAGTATCTAATTTTTCTATCAATAATATTTACATAGTTACAATGTGTCAATGATTGTTAGTGGTTTTCAGTTTTTTTTTTTTTTTGAGATGGAGTCTCGCTGTGTCAGCCAGGCTGGAGTGCAGTGGCGCAATCTCAACTCACTGCAAGCTCCGCCTCCCGGGTTCACACCATTCTCCTGCCTCAGCCTCCCAAGTAGCTGGGACTACAGGTGCCCGCCACCACGCCCGGCTAATTTTTTGTATTTTTAGTAGAGAAGGGGTTTCACCGTATTAGCCAGGATTGTCTCGATCTCCTGACCTTGTGATCCGCCCACCTCGGCCTCCCAAAGTGCTGGGATTACAGGCGTGCGCCACCACGCCCGGCCTCAATTTTTAGCAGTAGCCTAAAAGCAAAACAGAGAAAACTTAAATGTGGTTATGTCAACCTTTGTAATGTGAAAATAACAGTATAAGCACAGATAGCAGGAGGAAGAGGGAGAACATGAAAAGATGGGAATTAATCTCATCTACTACAGTGTTTACCAGTAAATCAAGAAATAGTAGTAAAGGCCCATTGTTTAGAATTAAAGAAGTAACCATCAAAAAGCCTTGGTAGGAAGGTCTGATGGCAGATACTTGTAGTCCCAACTACTTGGAAGGCTGAAGCAGGAGGATTGCTTCAGTCCAGGAGTTCAAGGCTGCAGTGAGCTATGATGGTGCCTGTGAATGGCCACTGCACTCCAACCTGGGCAATACAGCAAGACTCCGTCTGTTTGAAAAACAAAAAACAAAACAAACAAACAAACAAAAAAACGAGAACAAGAAAGCCATGAAATAGCAACAGTTAAAAGTGGTTTCCTCTGAGAAGTTCAATTAGGGGTGGGAGAGGGTGGGGCAGTAGAACACCTTTTTTATTTTTCATTATAAGCCCTATTACATTATTGTTTTTTTTCCATGTATGTAATTATTGTGATAAAATGTTTTAAGATAAGAACATTTTAATAAAGAAAGGGGAATTACTTACAATTCATTATGCCTGGAGTTTAAATTTTATCAGTTTTCACAGAAGTTCCTGGGTGGGATTGGTTATTAGAAGATCTATGGGCATGAACAGCAGAGGAGGGAGGAAGAGGGAGAGGGTAATGGGTATATTCAAATATAAAATTTGGTTGTCAGAAGTAATTTTCAGTATGGTACAATGTATATTTATCATATTTTTAATCCAACTGTGTCCTAGCAACTAGGGCCTTGGGCCAAATCCCTAAGGAGAGACAGCCATTACTTTAGAAAGAGTGAAATCCCTGGATTCTCTAAAAGTGAGATGTACAAAGCAACACTGTTCTGTAGAGGTCTGGAGGTGACAGGGAACACTGCTGTTGTCCTAACAGACTAGGGCTTCAGTCTGGATATGTACCAAGAAGAATCCTGGGCACCAGGGCACTCCTTGCAGAAGCACATGTAATTAATTTTGAGGGAAAGACAAGGCTTTGCATTGCTGTGGGTATAGGTGAAACTAGAAAAATACTGTCCCCTTAATGTTGTTATAATCTATAGTAGCCACAGCCTGGTGTGGCCTATAAAAACATGATAAGCACTGTTGATTTTATAGCAAAATGCTTTTAGGAAGATAAGCAGCATTATACCATGATTAAAGATACATTTACAAATGAACACATAAATGCTATAATGGTAAATCTCAAATATAATCCAACAACAGAGTTTTGATTTGACAGAGATGCAAGGATAAACCTTTCCGGTTGCAGCATTATGGGGGATAACATGGGATAGAGTATGTTATTTTTCCCTATTATTTGCTGTCCTCCCTATAAAAGGATTATGTTTACCCATTTTCATTAACGTTAACCTTATGACTTGCTTTGCCTATGGAATGTATGCAGAAGTGATGTATGCCCCACATCTAAGCAGAAGCTTTAAAAGACATCTGGTGGTTCAGACGTGAGGTCTGCGTGTGCTGCATCGTGGTTGCTCCTGGAATAAAGATCCTAGAACAGAGCTATAACCACAGTGTGTATAGTGGATGAGTAATTAACCTTTGTTATTGTCAAGCCACTGTGATTTTGTTTTCTTTTTGTTGTTGTTGTTCCGCAACATAACCTACTGAAAGCTAACTATTACATAGCATAAGCTTAAAACACTTTCGCTACCAACTCTCAGAAAAGCTAGTTCCATTACCATTATAGCAAACATAATTATAAATGCATAAACTCCCAAGAAAGTAAGGGAAATATCCAGGACCACTAAACGAAGGGGATACTGAAACAAAGTGTAAGTTGTTAAAATGATGCTGCAGCTATAAATAGTAATAAGAAACAAAGAGAAATGCAATAAATGAACCTTTAAAAATCTATAAAAGAAAACGGATAATTTTTTTTTTTTGAGACAGAGTCTCACTCTGTTGCCCAGGCTGGAGTGCAATGGCATGATCTCAGCTCACTGCAAACTCCACATCCCAGATTCAAGCGATTCTCCTGCTTCAGCCTCCCGAGTAGCTGGGATTACAGTTGGGTGCCACCATGCCTAGCTAAATTTTGTATTTTTAGTAGAGATGGGGTTTCACCATGTTGGGCAGGCTGGACTCGAACTCCTGACCTCAAGTGATCTACCCACCTTGGCCTCCCAAATGCTGGGATTACAGGTGTGAGCCACCACGCTTGGCTAGAAAATGGGTAATTTCTTAAAGGCAAGTGAGAAGAAGGGAAATATTAAAAACAAAAGCAGAAATAAATTGAGTAATAGAAAACAGAACATAAAATACATGTAGCCAATGACTATATCTATTTGTTTAAAAATGGTTTCTAGAGCATTCCATCTCCCTGCTGTGGTCCCACTCTCTTACAATTAGGCTTGATTTCCAAACTGTCATGGGTTTGATATTCACCAAGAGAAAGCAAATACATATTTGGCACATTAATAATATTTAACAACAATGAATTATGGTTACATATAGAAATAATTTATGTTCTGAACAAATGTTTATGCTTCTGTAAAAAATAAAATGGAAAATATTCTGTATCAGACACTACATCTTCACCATAGACTTGTCACGATCTAGGTCAGTGTTTTCATTTGAGAATAGAAACCTACTGGTAAATCATAAAATCAGTTTAATGGTTATAATTTACATTAAAAAATAGAAAAGGTGCTCCCTTTGGCAGCACATATACTAAAATTGGAATGACACAGCAAAGATTAGCATGGCCCCTGTAAGAAAAAAATAGAAAAGAGTAGAATTTGAAAATATCATTGTGCAGTGCATGTAGGTAAGTACTGTTTCATGAAATATTAGTCTCATTTCTATAATATGTGTGTGTCCTAGGTTGAGATTAAAATGTATATTTTACTGTAGGTGGAGAAGGGAAAAAAAAAGTTTGAAAGTTGCTGACTTTGCCCCCTGTGATCAAGTGATGCTCAAAATATTTCACAACTGGTAATGCTTAGTCATAGCCCAGTCAGAATGAAAGCTGGCTGCGATATTGGAATCCTGCTATGCCAGGGGTTACTCCTTTTATGCTAGACTGAGGGTCCTAAGGGAAGGGTCAGGATGGCCGAGGCACTAGGGGGAGTTGGTGCAGTGACTTTATGGGTGTATCAGTTTTCTATTGCTGCAGTAACAAATTACAACAAACTTAGTGGTTTAAAATAACATTAATTTATTATCTTACGGTTCTTTAAGTCAGAAGTCAGGCACAGGTCTCACTGATCTAAAATGAAGGTGTTGACATGGCTGTATTACTTTTCAGGTGCGCTGAAGAAGAATAGGTTTCCTTGCCTTGTTCAGCTTCTAGAATTTGCCCACATTCTTTGATTCATGGTCCATTTCCTCTGTCTTCAAAGCCAGCAACATTGCATCTCCCTCTGATCCTTTTCCCATAGTCACATCACTCCCTCTGACTGCAGCTGGGAAAGGTCCTCCACTTTGAAGGATCCTTGTAATTAGATTGGGCCCACCTGGATAATCCAGA
The DNA here is from genome assembly GCF_000001405.40 of Homo sapiens. NCBI lineage: Eukaryota > Metazoa > Chordata > Mammalia > Primates > Hominidae > Homo > Homo sapiens. Next base: position 55,500,773 of record NC_000002.12, read on the forward strand.
GTACTCTCTCCATTTCAATATCCTTAACCTTAACCCCATTTGCAAAGTCCCTTTTGCCATGTAAAGGAACATTTTCACAGATTCCAGAGGATTAGGGAATGGGCATTTTTGGAGGCCACGATTCTGCATATCACAATGGGTATGGAAAAGTTTCATTATCTGAACAATCAGCACAACCACACCTGTGCATCCTGCCACAGTGGAACTGAAAACAGGTCACCTGTGAAATCACCCATTTGGAGTCTCCATTGCAGCATTCCATGAATGTGTCTTGAATGTTTGCCCTATCCCTTCTAAGAGGAGAGAGGGGAAAGTTTACGCTTCACAAATATAACTCAATCCATTGCTTTCACATCTCCAGTATTTTCCTAGAAGGTTTAACTGTGAAATGGGTTGACTACCTCGGACCTAGGAGAACTGAGAGAGAATTGTGCACAAACGTAAGAAAAGTATATAACAGAAATATTCTTCCTTTTATCACAAGTGAAAAATGTAAATATATAGATGAGCTTATTTTAATACCTATATCAATATTAATTTCCATTGGTAATATTAGGCGTTTTATGATGACAGCAAGTGACAGCTTTTAAAAAATAAAAAGGTTCCAGAAAGCCATCCCAACTTTTATAATTCTAAGCTGTTTCATAATTCTGGAAAAAGTCTCTGGAATAGCATTTCAGAATAGTATCTCACAAAATATACTTATAGATGTAGGATGTCTGTGCACATACACATATGCCCTGGAAAGGAGAAAAGCTTATTTTAAAAACTAGTGTTTTAAGTGTATAAGATCTTTTAAAATTAAATGTGCTCTACTATACAGTAGAATTTTCAAAACAATCTTTGAAATGATCTATGCATGTTTACCATTAGTGCAATCCTTCTGCTCAGCACTGCTCTTTGAATGCTTTTTATGCTAACTAACAAAATAGGAATTAACTCATTTTCGAATCATTTAATTCCGGCCACAAAACCTCAGTGAACTCTAACGAAGCACTTTATCAATCAGAGTGAGGGTGGAGGAAATAAAAAGAAGCTTTAAAAAATTCCACATCAGGTATCAAATGATGGTAATGTGAGCCTTTTACAAATGCTTGTGGATCTGCCTGAGTGGTATATGAAAAGGAAGTTAATCTTGGGACATAACTCTATTATGCTGTTTTACTCCGTTGTCTAAAGACATTGAAGGATGCTAATTTAATCTAGCTTTTGTATTTTTGGTGACTTGCTCTTCTTCCATTATAAAGGCGACTTTACAGATAATTAGTAAGCTAGATTTTTTTTTTTCTTATGAATCTCATTGGCTCTTGCCACTTAGACAAAAGGAAAGGTTTCAGTTGTTGCTCCTCTACCCCCATCCTCAATTTTGAAGACAAAATGCTTTCTAATTGGAAAAAATGGAGTCTTTTTCAAAATCCATGCTGCCTTTCATCATTTTTCCTTTTCTCATCCATCCTTAACTACCTATCTTGGTCTTGTGTTACTGCCATCTTTTTTTAAAAAAAATTTTAATTTTTGTGGGCACATAGTAGGTGTATTATTGCCATCCTAATAAACCTCAACAGTAAGATTTCCCAAGAAATGATTGGGAAGTGATTAATGTTTTATATTTGTTCAGTCATTCAGAATTTCCTATCAAATGTAACTGATTAAAAATTATTTAACATTATTTTAATTAATTTTTTTTTGAGATGGAGTCTTGCTCTGTTGCCCAGGCTGGGGTGCAGTGGCGCAATCTCGGCTCACTGCAACCTCTGCTCCCTGGGTTTGAGCAATTCTCCTGCCTCAGTCTCCCTAGTAGCTGGAATTACAGGCATGGGCTACCACGCCCAGCTAATTTTTGTACTTTTAGTAGAGACCATATTAGCCAGGCTGGTCTCGAACTCCTGGCCTTAAGTGATCTGCCCGCCTCAGCCTCCCAAAGTGCTGGAATTATAGGCATGAGCCACCATGCCCAGCCTGATTGATATTATTGTGCCAGTTACATTTCTTGGCTCAATGTCACATTCCCTTTCTGCACTCTGTTTTATAACTGCAGGGCCTGGAAGCCTGTATACTCCATTTCCCAGAATCCTTTACCGACTGGCTTCTAGTCAAATTTGGCCAATGAGAGTTACTGGTGAGAGGAAAGACGCCATTCTGATCTGGCACCAGTGGTGGAGGTGTCTCAGTGGCCAATTCGGCACTGGCCACATAGGGCCTCTTCTGTGAAGGTAGAGAATTGGCACTGGCCACACCGTAACCTCCAGCAGCAAATGCAGCTAGAGGGCTCCAGCCTAAGAGTGGTAGCAGCTCTCTCATCTCTGGGCAGCCTTCGTTCCTTTCTCCCCCAGCCTTTCCAATGCCTTTGCAACCGTTTCCCAGAATTAAATCCCTTTGTGTTTGAATGATGTACAGTGTTTTTTGTTTTCCTGATTGGGACTGACTGGCTGATTATAGACCAAAGTATTCAGAAGCTTTGGGAAACCAAGGTGTTTATAAGTCAAAATAGTGTAATGCTTTTCTGGAAACCAGTCTTCCCTCCAAACTGTTATCAGGCAAATTTTATGCAGTTCTTAGTCCTAAACACTTGAGGCTCCACCCAAATGCAATGGATCATGGAGTTTGCTTCCTGTTTCAGGGGTGCACATGGCATAGCCAGTGTGTGGTTTGGGCACCCTGGAAAGTGGCTATGGGCAACGGTGGACATCCTTGGCTTTTGGGCAGTACGAATAGCTAGGTTCACCCGCTGTTCAGGGATACGTGACTGAGGTCTCAGGCTCTGCTGGTTCCTTGAAAAGTCGTTGAGAATATTTAGCGACTTGCAAGTGAGGAAGGAAATTGGTCAGGCAATAGAAGTTTTAGGCACCTAACTGAAGGTGGAGTGGTGGCGTAGGCGCTCTCCTACCCAGGTCGTCATCTATTTGACAACTGTGTCCAGTAGGAGTATTTCTGGCTTTTGTTTCACAAACCAGGGACTTGGATGGGAGACCCCAAAGGGAATAGTGTCCATTAGGGTTAGATTTCCTCTGGGTGGTTAAGGCTACGTTGGGGAGGGTGCCTGTGGCTGCCAAAATTTCTGGGCTCCTCAAATTCTTTTCTCCAGGACCAGAAGATGCATTTGTCTTGGTCTTTACTTAATGTCTCTCTTTCTCAAATCTGTTTTTGCTTATCATTGTACCCTCTGGGCATAGCAAAGTGCTACATGTATTCATTCATTGAATTATTCATTCATTCAATTAATATTAAATGCCTAATTTATTCCCCAAACATCAACATACCAATAACCTCTTCAAAAGTTTCAGAATTTGGGTGGGGCACAGTGGCTCATGCCTGTAATCCCAGCACTTTGGAGGACAAGGTAGGAGGATTGCTTGAGCCCTGGAGTTCAAGACCAGCCTGGGCAACATAGTGAGACCCCATCTCTAAAACAATAATTAAAAATATATAAAAATTTTTAAAAGTTTCAGAAGTTTATGTCAATTCATATTGAACACTCTTACAGTGACTTCCTGTAACAAAATCTCTATACACCCTTGAATCTCTGTGTACATATACATACAGAAATTATGTCTTTCTTAATGGATTATGTATTTCTTAATTGATCTGTAAATCAATTAAGAGATTCATAAATTACTATTTCTTAATGATTTACAGATTTTCTGGAATGTTTTCCTACTGTTCTTCTAACTCTGCAGGCAAGAGCCCTTTGTCTATATGTGATAACCCCAGTGCTCACAACTCCAGTGAGTTTCAAACTTTAATGAACATAGCATAAAAAGTAGGTATAACTCTTTATTTTTTATTTTTATTTTTTATTTCCATAGGTTTTTGGGGAACAGGTGGTGTTTGGTTACATGAATAAGTTTTTTAGTAGTGACTTCTGAGATTTTGGTGCACCCATCACCTAAGCACTATGCCACTGTACTCGGTTTGCAGTCTTTTCCTCACCACCCTCGACCATTTCCCCTGAGCCCCCAAAGTCCAAAAGTCGGTATAACTTTTGATCAACCAAATGGACAATAAACAAACTTTCCATTTTTTGGGAGACTAAAAAGCTTAGTAAAATGTTTGGAAATAAGGTAATACACATAAATAAGGAAAAAACATAAATAAAATATATACAGTACATATAAAATATTCATGTATAAATTAAATGCCATTCACAGGTACCAAAAATACTCAGTTTGAAATAAGTAATTAAAAAGGAATCCTAATTTACAATAGCAGCAGATGTGAATAAGTTAATGAACTTTGAGGGAAAATATATTACCAATATGAAGAAAACCAGAAGATTCTTCTGAAAAGTATAAAGTACAAGAAAAGCAATATGATATTTTTAGAAGACTACTATTTTAATAATGTCGTTCTCCCACCAATGAATTAATATGCATAGAGCAAAATCCCAATAAAAAATAATTTGGGAGAACTTGACAAAATAATTCTGAAATTTATCAAAAAGAATAAACAGATAAGAATAGCTAATATCCCCAGCTATCATAAAAAATGATCTAACATTACATTAACTTTTTTTTTTTGAGACAGAGTCTCACTTTGTCACCCAGGCTGGAGTGCAGTGGCACATTCAGGGCTCACTGCAGCCTTGAACTCCCCAGCTCAGGTGATCCTCCCATCTCAGCCACCTGAGTAGCTGGGAGTACAGGCATGTACCTACAGGCACATGCCACCAGGCCCAGCTAATGTTTTGTATTTTTTGTAGAGACATGGTATTGCCCTGTTTCCCAGGCTGGTCTCAAATTCCTGGAGTCAAGCGATCCTCCCGCCTTGGTCTCCCAAAGTACTGAGATTACAGGCATGAGTCACTACCCCTGGCTACATTAATTTAAAAAATACATACAAAAATAACAAGGATTATCTCATGTTTTATATTATTTTTTGTGTTCACATTATTATTTTAACAAAATATTTTTCTATGAAAAATGCAAGCAGAAATTTTATATTATAAATTATAAATTGGTAAGGTTCAGATGCCATGAGTAGCATAGTAAAAATAAATAAATAAATAAATAAATAAATAAATAAATAAATAAATAAATAAATAAAAAGAGGAGCATTAAGGTAGTAAGATTTTATTTTATCAAGAATTGGGACCAGGCACGGTGGCTCATGCTTGTAATCCCAGCACTTTGGGAGGCCGAGGTGGGCGGATCATTTGAGGTCAGGAGTTAGAGATGAGCCTGGCCAACATGGCAAAACCCTGTCTCTACTAAAAATACAAAAAATTAGCTGGGTGTGGTAGTGCATGCCTGTAATCCTAGCTACTTGGGAGGCTGAGGCAGGAGAATCGCTTGAACCCAGGAGAAGGAGACTGCAGTGGGCTGAGATCACACCACTGCACTCTAGCCTGGGCAACAGAGCAAGACACTGTCTCAAAAAAAAAAAAATCTTAGTAGGCAATTTTCTCCATGATAGAAAAATATATTTTAAAACTTGAGTTTGAACTGTTACATATTCAGCTAGTACAATATTTCAATGTTTTCAATAGCTGGATTGCACTCACATATAATTTCATTTAAAATTAGCTTAGCTTTTGGTTTTTTATATTTAGGCAGCCACCATTATTCCTAAATACTTAAGATAATGACTTAAATGATGAATTCATTTATTAAATGATGAAGTTTCAGCATCAAATGAATGGTTGGTCCAACCTCTCTAAAAGTGGTACTTTGAGATCTGTTAATCAAAAGATAATTCATTGAAATAATTCCTTTATCCTATTAGGTCATTTGAAACCAAAATCCTTCTTTTTTTTTTTTTTTTTTTTTGAGACAGGCTCTTGCTCTGTTGCCTGGAGTGGAAAGCAGTGACGCCATCATGGCTCACTGCGCTCATTGCAGCCTTGAACTTCTGAGCTCAGGCCTTCCTTCCTCCTCAGCCTCATATGGAGCTGGGACTACAGGTGTATGCCACCACTCCAAGCACATTTTTAAATAATTTTTTTTGTAGAGACGAGCGGTGGTGGGGGCTGAGGGAGGGCTGACTTGCTATGTTACCCAGGCTGGTCTCAAACTCCTGGTCTCAAGCCATCCTCCTGCCCTCCTGCCTCAGCCTCCCAAAGTGTTGGGATTGCATGCATGAGCCACCATGCCTGGCCTGTAAGGCTTTTTAAAATTTGTATTTTTCCCTACTTGGGAGCTAACAAGTTACCAGAATGTGTTTTAAATATACATTTATACTCCTATAGAAATACAAGAAGCAACATATGCAGGATTGTTACAATAGTATAAACACCAAATCTTAAAGTTTCAGTAATAATGGATATGGTTGTGGATACTACATGTAAAACTGGTGTTTACTGAAGTGCATAGTTTCAGTGAGTTTTTAAAAAAGTGTAATTATGGTAATGGATTAGGACAATGGATTCATCTTTGAAAAGTAGTTCAATGATATGGGTGTAATTTCAGTACTAAAGTGTTGATTCAATTCTTACAGTTCTCATTAAAATTTTTTTTGTAAACCTTTTTTTTTTTTCTTTTTTGAGACAAGTTCTCACTCTATCGCCCAGGCTGGAGTGCAGTGGCTCAATCTTGGCTCACTGCACCCTCCACCACCTGGGTTCAAGTGATTCTCCTGCCTCAGCCTCCCAAGTAGCTGGGAGTATAGGTGCATGCCACCACGCTCAGCTAATTTTTGTATTTTTTTGTAGAGGCAGGGTTTCCCCGTGTTGCCCAGGAGGGTCCCAAACTCTTGGGCTCAAGTGATCTGCCCACCTCGGCTTCCCAAAGTGCTGGGATTACAGGCTTGATCCACTGCACCCGACCGCCAAAGGCATTTTTTAAAATCACAAGACAGCCAGGACTAAATGATTAACTAATATGTCCCTGGATGCTCAACAAAACAAGAATACAATTTAAAGATTAGACACAAGAACCCATAAATAGTTGTAAACCATTCCTTAGATTCTAGAGTGAAGGAGATAACTAGTCATAAGAATGAGATCTTCAGGGAACCTGTGGAGATGGATATAACTGGCACTCTCCCAAAGTGCTGGGATGCCCGGCCTGGTAAACTCTTTTGTTTTCTCTCTCTTTTTTTTTGAGACTGAGTCTCGCTCTATCGCCATGCTGGAGTCCAGTGGCATGATCTCGGCTCACTGCAACCTCCGCCTCCTGGGTTCAAGCGATTCTCCTGCTTACCCAAGACCATTTTTTGATATAATTATCCATAATTTATACATGGCAAAATGTTCATGTCCATTATTTAAACCAAATCACCTATTAAAAAAATAGCAAAAATTCAGTAGGATTAGATGCAAAAAGTACAGACAGAGCTAAAAGAATGTTAACAAAGGGAAACAACAGCAACAAAATGCCAAAGGTGGAAAAAACAGATCCTTCTCAGAATGGCAAAATAAGGACGCTCAGATAGGAAGTAAGTGTCAAACCAAATTGTTAAGATGCCAGTATAAATAATTTTGGAGACATGAGCAGAGACTGATACTGATTCTCAACTGTCAAAATATTAGAAATGAAAATTATGTATGCATAGTAAGGACATGTTTAGTGGTGAAACATTCTAAGTTTTTAATGTACTCATACTGAGTAAATTTCATACTTTGAAGCTGCACTGTCCAATATGGTAGCTACTAGCCACGTGTGACTACTTAAATTCAAATTAATTAAAATTAAATAGGCCTGGACAGTGCCTCACACCTATAATCCCAGCAATCTGAGAGGCCGAGGTGGGCGGATTACCTGAGGTCAGGAGTTCGAGACTAGCCTGGACAACATGGTGAAACCCTGTCTCTATTAAAAATACAAAAATTAGCCGGCCGTGGTGGCGCACGCCTGTAATCCCAGCTACTCAGGAGGCTGAGGTAGGAGAATCGCTTGAACCCAGAAGGCAGAGGTTGCAGTGAGCTGAGACTGTGCCATTGCACCCCAGCCTGGAAAACAGAGCAAGACCCCATTTCAAAATAAATAAATAAATTAAATTAAATTAAAAGAAAATTCAGTTTCTCAGTTGTACAAGCCATATTTCAAGCTCTCAAGAGCCACACTGGACACAGAGCACACTGGACATGCAGAAATAGAACATTTTCATTAGGGTAGAAAGTTCTGTTGATGCTGTCATGGAGTATGACCAGTTGTGAGTGAAAGGGTCATAATTAAGCTTTATCAATATTACTTACCTGGAAGTTTATCACAACTACTTTTTAATTATCCATGCTATGAGTTACTTCTATTTTTTTTCTTTTTCTTTATTTACACACCCTTGCTGGCTTGAAAAGTTACTTTTAGAGGCAAGATATACAACTAGATAAAACAAGGGTCAAATTCTTTACTGCCTTTTTCTTCCAAGGAAGACTTCCTTGGAATTTTATTATCTATAAGCTAGTAAGAAATGTAATGGCTTATTGTGGCTATTATCTTCCAGCACCTAAGAAATGCAATAGCTTCTTGTGAAAAGTAAATATGCAGCAACTTTTGACTTGGTATAACATTTCAGATGCTGAATAACTAGGCATCATTTTATTCTTTCTGTGACTGAGCAGAACAGCTGAGGAAAATAAAGGATTTTGTCTGCTTTATATAATAGTATAACCCATAGCACACCCAGACAGAAATAATCTTTTATGATGAGTTTGGTAGGCACTTCTTTAACATGTAGGGGTAGAAAAAAAATAACCTCTATTAACAGTTAAGGGTTTTGAATTATAAAATGTCTCTACTGTGATACAAACATTTATTTATTTTCCACTTTTAAATTTTAAAAACAGCATTCTTTTCAGAAATGCCTTAGGAATATATAAATAATACTGACATGGATAAAAATCATTATATATTTTTCTGGAACAAAAGAGAAAATAATTGTATATTATCTAGTTCTCTTATGAGCTAAACATAGCTCTGACACTATAATTCAATAAAGATGTGATACACCAAAAAATTTTAGTAAGACAAATCCTACTATAAATATTAGATATAAAATAGTTAAAATGCCAGCAAACAGTTCAAAAATACATTAAAACCTTAACCTGGGCTGGGCAAGGTGGCTTATGTCTGTAATCCCAGCACTTTGGGAGGCCAAAGTGGGAGAATTGCTTGAGCACAGGACTTCAAGACCACCCTGGGTAACACAGTGAGACCCCCATCTCTATAAAAACTTTTTTTTTCTTTGTTTCGAGACAAAGAGTCTTGCTCTGTTGCCCAGGCTGGGTGAAAAAAAAATTAAAATAAGCATAATGAAGAGTATTTCTTACAATTTTTTTTTTTGAGATGAAGTTTTGCTCTTGTCACCCAGGCTGGAATGCAGTGGCATGATCTTGGCTCACTGTATCCCTCGCCTCCCAGGTTCAAATGATCCTCCTGCCTCAGCCTCCTGAGTAGCTGGGATTACAGGCTTGCACCACCACACCTAGCTAATTTTTTTATTTTTAGTAGATATGGGATTTCACCATGTTGGCCAGGCTTGTCTTGAACTCCTGACCTCAGGTGATCCGCCTGCTCAGCTTCCCAAAGTGCTGGGATTACAGGCGTGAGCCACCATGCCCAGCCTTTCTTAAAAATTTTAAAAAGTCAGTTATACCTGGTAAAGATGTATTCTTTTGTCTTTTTTTTTTTTTTTTGAGACAGAGTCTCCCTTTGACACCCAGGCTGGAGTGCCCTGGTGCAATCACAGATCACTGCAGCCTCCACCTCCTGGGCTCAAGGGATCCACCTACCTCAGCCTCCCCAGTAACTGGGGCCACAGATGCACACCACACATGGCTAATTTTATTTGTATGTTCTGTAGGGACAGGATCTCAAAATGTTTCCCAGGCTGGTATGAAACTCCTGGGCTGAAGCAATCCTCCCACCTTGGCCTCCCAAAGTGCTGGGATTATAGGGTGTGAGCCACTGTGCCTGGCCTAAAGATTCATTCTTTATCATCATTATTAAACATTTCACATTGTTTATCATCTTTAGTGACTGTAATAAAATACGAAACAGAAAAAAGAGAAACAGTGGAAGGGCAAAAACAAAAAATATATATTTTTTAGAATATATGATTGCATAGCAAGAAAATTAAAAAGAATCACCTCATAACTACTATAATTAATAAAAGAACACAGATATTGGCCAGGCACGGTGGCTCATGCCTGTAATCCTAGCACTTTGGGAGGCTGAGGCGGGCGGATCACGAGGTCAGGAGATCGAGATCACCCTGGCTAACACGGTGAAAACCATCTTGGCTAACATGGTGAAACCCCGTCTCTACTAAAAAATACAAAAAATTAGCCGGGCGTGGTGGCGGGTGCCTGTAGTCCCAGATACTCGGGAGGCTGAGACAGGAGAATGGCATGAACCTGCGAGGCGGAGTTTGCAGTGAGCCGAGATCATGCCACTGCACTCCAGCCTGTGAGACAGAGCGAGATTCTGTCTAAAAAAAAAAAAAAAAAAAAGATATTAAATGTTAATGCTGCTAAAATCAGTATATTTCTGTAAAATCATCAAAACCCAATTAGAATGTATGTAAAATAAACTCACCCAAGCAAAATGAGTGATATGCATGATCTTTATAAGGAAAACTACAATGCTGATTGAGAGATACAAATGAAGACTTAAATGGGGAAAACACCATATTCTTCAACAGGAAAAATAAATATCATAAGGACCTTTTTTTTTCAAACTGTCTTACAGATTTGATGCAATTGTAATTAAAACATAATTTTTGGATGCCATAAAAGAATGATTAGAAATTCATGAGAAAACATATTTTATCTGATAATAAAATACATTACTCTCAGATAATTAAATATATTACTATCAGATAATTAAATGCATTACTACGGTTTAAAACAATGCCTCTGATTAATCTCCCCTCCTCTCCAATATTAATGGGAGAGCAAGCTCCCTAAGACCTCTGGGTCACACTGAAGCAGGATCTTGGTTGATGTTGATTTCCTTTCCTTTTTTCCCTTTTTTCCCGTGGTCTGCCCTCTGGTGATCTAAATCAGCACCTACGTTTTCACTGCAGCAAGACAGTTCACAACTTGTTATGGAAAGCCAAGGAATTAGGAGTGAGTGCCTGGGTCAAAAGGGCATTAAATGACATCTTCCAATCCTACTTCCTATATAAAATAATATGACGTCTTGGTTTGGCAAAAAACGCTGACAATTTTTAAAGCATGATGTTTCTTTTCTGTATGCTTGCAAATTTCCATAATGAAAAGTTAAAAATAGAAACAACAAAAAATTATTGCTCCCACAAATATGTGACCAATATATAAAAGAATCCTCAGTCACATTAACAATTAAACAAAGGCAAATTAAAACAAGTAAAAATTTTTTTTCATTCCAGACCAAAAAGAACATTGAAACGCTAATACCTTTTAGCGCTAAAGAGGATATGGGAAAATAAGCAGCCAATCTTTTGGGGAGGGTATTACTGCTATCTTTTGGAGGGCAATTAAGTAATACCAATGGAAAATTTTATTGTTCCAAAAACATTTCATATCCTTACACCCAGAATTCCACTTTTATCTTATGAAAACACCCAGGGAAGAATGCAAAAATATATGTACATGAATGTTTATTGTACCATTGTTTATGAGAGCGAAACATTGGGAATGAGTATGAATAAGTACTTATTAAATAAGTTAAGATACATCATACAATGGAACACATGCATCTTTTATTTATTTATTTATTTATTTATTATTTTTTAGAGACAAGATCTCACTCTGTCACCCAGGCCGGAGTGTACTGGCGCAGTCAGGGCTCACTGCAGCCTTGACCTCCCAGGCTCAAGCAAACATCCCACCTTAGCCTCCCGAGTAGCTGGGACTACAAGCAGGAGCCAACAAGCCCAACAAATTATTGTTTTTTTTGTAGAGATGGTGGTTCCACCATGTTGCCAGGCTGGTCTTGAACTCCTGGGCTTGAGAGATCTGCCTGCCTTGGCCTCCCAAAATGCTGGGATTACAGGCATGAGCTACGGCATCTGGCCCATGCATCCTTTTAAAAGAAAATCTCTTTTTATCAACACAGAAAGATATCCTTGGAAAATTAAGTAATGAAACAACTCGTATAAATGAGAATGGCCACATTTTGGTTAAAGAAGATAATAATATACGTTAATATGTTCATTTAAAAAAATGTGGAGGCCAATAACCAAACAATTACAATGGTTTTCTTTAGATAGTAAGAAAAATGGGAGACTTTCACTTTCTTCATTGTGTAGTTCTGTAATGTTTGATTTTTTCAAGGCACATATATTATTGTTAAGCTCAATGTCCTGGGTTCCAAATATGAATCTTGAAGTTATCATCATCATTTTCCCCAGAATATTCTAAAAGGGACTAGAGTAAATAGGACACTCATTGATTTCCTTACTTGTCTGACAAGGATAAAGCCCAAGCTAGTGGCCTCCACAGTGGGTGCACAAGATGATCCATTGATGCTCAGAGAAAAAGTATGCGAACATCAACATACATATTTTAATCTCATCCTTTGTTAATTTCCATTGTCAACTTTTGTTTTTAAATCATACATTATATAATTATTTATATTCATAAATGTATATTACATGTATATCATTTGTACATAAATATATACTCATATATTACGGGGAGTGTTCAAACATTTTTTTATTGATGGAGTATCTGATCAAAAGAGTTTAGAGTCCATTAATTTAGGTCAAAGCTGCCTTTAAGAGAACTTGAATTAGAGCTAAGGTAGACATAAACATTTTCCATAAGTTAGTTGTCCTCCCCAAAGTCACTAATACAGTACTTAAAAGGAAAAAAATCAGGAAAATAGGTGAGAAAACACAATGGAAGACACATGAAAGAGTCAACTCAGTAAGTAATAAAAGGTAGAAGAGAAGAAAGTAAAACGGACAGAATGATTATTTACCTATACACAAATCAAATAATAAAACAATGGGGAAAACCTTAATGAATAAAGAAAGGGAAGTCAAAATGCAGGAATAGTCCCACAAAACATTTAGAGATGAAGAAACCACATTCTATCCTGAAAAAAAAGCAAATTGTCAAACAGTTGGAATTTAGAATGTAACACATCTGTAGTTCTATGTTTTCAGCCTAATGCTTCAAGCATAGTATGCACTCAATGAGTAAAGAAAGAAAGGATTTTAGGTTATAGCATTTTACACCAAATTAATGTGTTTAGCTGCAATTTGAAAGCTTAATGTGTTTTTGTTATTTCTCTATTTTAAATTGAGCTGCTGAATATTTTATAGATTATGAGAAACAGAAAACAAAAAAATTGAAAAAACAATGGCAATTTTGTGATGTTACATTTGCAAATGCAATGAAAAAGGTAACAACTCATTGGGAGAATTTCAAAATATGACAGGTAATTATTTATTTGCCAACCCATGGAAACCTCCTCTATTCCTTTGCCGTTATATGAGCCAAATAATCAAATAAGAATATTTGCAATGAACTTATAATTTAGAACTTCTAAAATTTCTAGAGCCAGAATAAAGGCAATTAACAGGATTAAAGCAGTGACCTTTTTCCTGCTCTTGAAAGCTGAATTCATTAGTGACGTTCTATACGGTCTATAAATTATTTTTTAAAATAACACTTCCATTGTGTGGGTATTTTTAAGCCTATTGCTAATAGTTACTTTAAGCCCTCTGATCTAGAATGTAAGCATGTTTTGTTAGTGTTAAAACAAAATGAAATCCTGTTTTGCAGTAGTTACAACTTTACCATCTCTCCCAGGGGCAGCAAAGATAAATAGATTATTTTTAGGCAAATGTAAGGCACTATATTCTTAGATTATCATTCAGATATTCATCAAATATTCAATGAGGGTTTCTCAGTGCCAAACATTGTGTTGGAGTTGGAGATCCACTCGTGAAATTAATGAGTCAGCCTCCTCCAGAATTCACAATAGTCTTTCCTTGATTAATTTTGCAATATCCAAACTATCTGAGATATATCTGTGCATGTGTATGGATGTGTAGACTCATGAATATAAAACACTACTATAAAAAAGATAACTACTTAACATTTAACCATGATTATTGTAGGAGGTGCAATACTTAACTCTTAAAAAAAGTAAGTAGAAGTATCTTTAAAAGCCGCATAATGTGTGATTCAACAATTCTACTTTTAGGAATTCATCTTCACAAAATGATAAAGGTTAGTGGCAAATATTTAATTACAAGGGTGCTCATAGTAGAATTATTATTATTGTTGTTATTATTATTATTTTAAGACAGGGTCTCACTCTGTTGCCCAGGCTGGAGTACAGTGGTGTAATCAGAGCTCACTGCAGCCTCCAACTCCTGAATTCAAGCAATCTTCCCATCTCAGCCTCCTGAGTAGCTGAGACTACAGGTGCTTGCCACCATTCCTGGATAATTTTTTTTTTTCTTTTGCAGAGGCAGGGTCTCGCTATGTTTCCCAGGCATATTTTTTTAAAAAGTGCAAGAAACATCTTAGATCAATGCAGGATTGCTTACATAAATTATGATCACACAATGGGAAACTAGGTAATATTAAAAAGGATTATGTAGAAGTGTTTTCAATGATGTGGAAAAAATTCCATGATATATCAGAAAGTGAAAATTAGAAGTTTCCTTGTTGCTTAGGTGTCTAGTACAGAAAACAAGTCCTGACTGTGCTCTGAGCCTGGGCAAGACACTTGACCTCACAGACTCAGTTCTTCCATCTGTTAATGTGTGGAATTTGTGTTACCCTCAAATTCATATGCTGAAGTGATAGTCCACAGTGCCTCAGAATGCGATATTTGGAGATAAGGTTTTTAAAGAGGTAATTAAGTTAAAATGAGGTTATTAGGGGGCCTTAATCCAATATGACTGATATGCTTATAAGAAACGGAGATTAGTACATAGGCTGTATAGGGGTAAGACCAGGTATAGACACAGGGAGAAGACAGCCATCTGCAAGCCAAGACGAGAAGCCTCAAAGGAAACCAACCCTGCCAATAACTTGATCAGAGACATAGACTTCAGAACTTTCAGAAAATAAATGTCTGCCGCTCAAGCCACCCAGTCTGTGGTAATTTGTTATAGCAGTCCTAGCAAACTAATACACCATTTAAAAGAGGGAGAAAATCTTAATATCATCTTTATTTAGCTCACAAGTTTGCTGTAAGTCAAATAGATGTAATCTCTTTGTAAACTGTAAAGTACTATATAAATGTGAATAATTGTTATTCACAAGGTCCTTGAAAATGCAGTCATGTTGTTACGATTTGAATTTTATATTCCTTTAGTAGGGCAGACACTCAGTATCAGTACAGGGGATGGGGAGAAGCAAGAGATTTCCTAGGGCTGCAGCAAAAAACACAAATGATTTGTCATTGAAAGAAGAGGCAAAATAAAATGAATAGTTCCTTGCATTCATGCTGCAAATTTTTAAGCAAACCGATACCTAAACTACATACAATAACAATATCTAATATGTATTAAGCATTTACTAAGTACCTAGCATAATCCCAAGTACTTTTAATATGTGTTCTCAGCCAGGCGCGGTGGCTCACGCCTGTAATCCTAGCCTTTATCAACCCCATGGTAAAAGTGCTTGGTGTGTGTATGTGTGTCATGTACTGTGTATATATATTTATTTATGTGTGTGCATCTATTTTAGTTTTGTTACATGTATCTTTTTTTTTTTTTTTTGGAGACAGGGTCTCACTCTGTTGCCCAGGGTGGAGTACAGAGGTGCAATATCGGCTCACTGCAACCTCTGTCTCCAGGTTCAAGCGATTTTCCTGCCTCAGCCTCCCAATTAGCTGAGTACAGGCGCCCATCACCACGCCAAGCTAATTTTTAGTAGAGACGAGGTTTTGCCATGTTGGGCAGGCTAGTCTCAAACTCCTGACCTCAAGTGATCCACTCACCTTGGCCTCTCAAAGTGCTGGGATTACAGGCATGAGCCACCGCACCCGGCCTGTTATACATATCTTTAACATTAAAATTTGTTCCTATGTGGTAAGAACAGTAAAAGGAGTAATAAAATTGCCAAAATAAGTTGTGATTTTCCAAGAGATGACTGTGCTTTGCATTACTGTGAAACACTGAAAACACTGCTAAATGACCTATGCGTAACACACACCCATGCTATCTTCTTACTCTTGCCCCAGTACATCCATATGCATTGCTCTAACAGTGTGCAAGCTGTTCTTCTGAGTTTATTTTATGATAAGCGTATTGAATACATTATCTCAAATCTGTGTAAGCATCCTGCTTATAAGAATCTCAAGCAATGAATAAAAAGAAAAGCCTTATGTTTTAAGGAGAAAATGAAATAATAAAATATTTTGAAACAAATGAGAGAACTTGCAGGCCTGAAGGAATCCACATTGCCCATTTAGATTTAGAGATTTAGAAACAAGGCTAAGAAAATAAAAGAAAGGAAAACTCTTACATCATAGTTATCTGCTTCCAGTGGAATTGAGAAGCATTTGGAAGAGACTGAAGACAAAGAAAGACTCTAATGCTGAACAATGAGTGTGGATGAGGCCGGGCGTGGTGGCTCATGCCTGTAATCCCAGCGCTTTGGGAGGCCGAGGTAGGCAGATCACTTGAGGTCAGGAGTTTGAGACCAGCCTAGCCCGGCCAACATAGTGAAACCCTGCCCGTACTAAAAATACAAAAATTAGCCAGGCTTGGTGGCGGGTGCCTGTAATCCCAGCTCCTTGGAAGGCTGAGGCAGGAGAATCGCTTGAACCCGGGAGGTGGAGGTTGCAGTGAGCGAAGATGTCACCACTGCACTCCAGCGTGGGTGACAGAGCGAGACTCTGTCTCGAGAAAAAAAAAGGGCTGTGGGGGGGGCTATCATTTTAACCTAGTAGATTGGCAAAGACTATTTTTTAAAAATATTTAAAATAGGGAGCCCGAGGCGGGCAGATCACGAGCTCAGGAGATCGAGACCATCCTGGCTACTAACATGGTGAAACCCCGTCTGTACCGAAAATACAAAAAATTACCCGGGCGTGGTGGCGGGCGCCTGTGGTCCCGCCTACTCGGGAGGCTGAGGCAGGAGAATGGTGCGAACCCGGGAGGCGGAGCTTGCAGTGACCCGAGATTGCGCCACTGCACTCCAGCCTGGGCGACAGAGCGAGACTCCGTCTCAAAAAAAAAAATAATAATAATAATTAAAATAATTAGTTCAGTAATTTTCCCATGAGAATTTGTTCGAGGGAAATAATGAGACTAGGGTTCAAAAACATATGTGCAAGTATATTCATTACACAATTGTTTACGGGTTTAAAAAATTCAAGTAATTTAATGTAGCAGTTGAGGTTTGGTCAAATTAACCAAGATATATATTCTTTCATTTAGCAATTCTGCTGGAATCTATCCCTTGGAATAGTAAATAAAACCAACAGTTCTCAGGATGCAACATTTATAA
Source organism: Homo sapiens (assembly GCF_000001405.40). Lineage (NCBI taxonomy): Eukaryota > Metazoa > Chordata > Mammalia > Primates > Hominidae > Homo > Homo sapiens. The sequence goes on from NC_000002.12 coordinate 55,518,111, forward strand.
CAGCAGTTTGTGGAAGCAAAAAATGGCAAATCCACAGCACGGAGGAGGAAAAAGAAAAAAATTGCACATGGCCAGGCACGGTGCCTCACGCCTGTAATCCTAACTCTTTGGGAGGCCGAGGCAGGCGGAACACCTGAGGTCAGGAGTTCGAGGCCAGCCTGGCCAACATGGCGAAACCCTGTCCCTACTAAAACTACAAAAATTAGCTGGGTGTGGTGGCACATGCCTGTAATCCCAGCTACTCTGGAGGCTGAGGCACAGGAGAATCTCTTGAACCCAGAAGGCTAAGGTTGCAGTGAGCTGAGGTCACGCCACTGCACTCCAGCCTGGGCGACAGAGCGAGACTCTGTCTAAAAAAAAAAAAAAAAAAAAGGCACATAATGATCATCTTCATGCATTCAGGTAAGATACTGTGTGCACATTCACAAAATAAAAATAGACTAAAGGATGGTTTATGGAATACTATGCAGTTGCAAAGAAAGCACAAATTTATATTTTTAAAAGATAAAGATATAAGAAAAAAATTCATAACTGTACATATAATCCTATTTATGTAAAAAATATATATATATATATGGTTGTCTGAAGATATTTTGGGACTCCAAACACCTTCACAATGACCACTGAAGACCCCATTCCACAATGGACTCCACCTAAATGCTGAGTTGGAGTTATAATAAGATTTGGTTACCAAGGCATTTATTTAAGTGAGTATTAACTTTGCTCTTGCCCTTGAAAAGCTCCTAATTCTAGTTATCTTTATCCAAGCGTAAGAGATTAAAGACCCGCCTGAAGATACAGATGCAAACTGACCGTAAGACAATCAGCGAGTCTCACACAGCTCGGCTTTGTATTTTCAGACAACCCTTTAATTACAAACGCCTCTGGGCCAATGGTCTGAAAATGGTTGGGACTGAGGTGCTGGGGATACAATGATGAACTGCAGCCGCTGAAGCCCTGTCAGGTGGAGACCCGGTTACCTCAGACCCTCACTGAGCCTTTTCTTTTTTCTTTTCTTTCTTCCTGTTTTTCTTTTGAGACGCAGTCTCCCAGGCTGCAGTGCAGTGGCTCACTGCAACCTCGGCTTCCCGGGTTCAAGCGATTCTCCTGCCTCAGCCTCCCGAGTACCTGGGATTACAGGCGGCGCCACCACGCCAGGCTAATTTTTGTATTTTTGGTAGAGACGAGGTTTCACCATGTTGGCCAAGCTGGTCTCGACCTCCTGACCTCAGGTGATCCGCAAGCCTCGGCCTCCCAAAGTGCTGGAATTACAGGCGTGAGCCACCGCGCCCGTCTACTGCGCGTTTTCTAAACCTTGGCTCCTACGCATTTATCAGAAGAGAGAGCGCAATCTGTCTATGACTTCCAGCCAATAGCTACACTTCTTTTCTCAGCCCTCGTCCACTGTTCTTTTTTAACCAATCAGAAACGTTTTTCAAACGTTTGCCCTCCCCGCTAAGTGCGCAGGCTCCTGGAAAGTTGTCTTCACTTCCGGGCCGCGGTCTAGGGCGGCTACGTGTGTTGCCATAGCGACCATTTTGCATTAACTGGTTGGTAGCTTCTATCCTGGGGGCTGAGCGACTGCGGGCCAGCTCTTCCCCTACTCCCTCTCGGCTCCTTGTGGCCCAAAGGCCTAACCGGGGTCCGGCGGTCTGGCCTAGGGATCTTCCCCGTTGCCCCTTTGGGGCGGGATGGCTGCGGAAGAAGAAGACGAGGTGGAGTGGGTAGTGGAGAGCATCGCGGGGTTCCTGCGAGGCCCAGACTGGTCCATCCCCATCTTGGACTTTGTGGAACAGAAATGTGAAGGTAAAAACCAGAGCCCGAACCGACAATCCTTTTCTCCTCTCTCACACCAGCGGCGGGCAGGGGGTTGGTAACCACAAGCCATCTCTCGTCTCCCCGACCCCCTGTCTCCACCCCTGTCGCAAGGTCTCGTTCCCCTCACCACCTTCTCCACCCGCGTCATCAGGTTTAGAGCTGGTTGTGTGGGAGGAATTCCTTTCACCCTGCCAATGTGTTCCTTCGCAGACCTGAAAACGGGGACCGAGACTCCCCTTCTCTGGGGCCGAAGCGCACGTCCGAAGAACATTAGACTTGAATCGTAAATTCGGTCTCTCACCCTGTCCCGAACGTTTCTGCCCTCGGCAGGTGGACTGTTTGGCTGGGCTTCTTCAACAGCTTTGCCAGACTTGAGAGGAGAAGCGTCGGTTTACCTGAGTTCCTTATGATCCCTAGCATTTCGCCCGGTGTAGTCAGCTTAGGAAATGAGAAATGATTTCACTCCAAACCAACAGTTAACTGCAAAGGAGGGCATGTGATAACTCCAGGAAGCCCAGAGCCGGTGATTTTGGTGGCCTGTGTTCCCCTTGGTGAGCTCTCTACTCTTCGCTATACCAAAAATTGGCGAGGTGGGGCAGGACCATTCTTGGAACAAATGAGGCGTATAGATATGGCATAATATTCCCCGTGAAGGACAGGCATCTCCGGGTTCTGAGCAGTTCTTCAGGCTTGGAGTTCTGCATTCAGTTCGTGGAGACTATTTGCAGCCCATTCGCAGAAAAGGAACCAGAAACCACGTCATATAAATGAGTGCCCAAGCGTTATTGTGGTTGTTTAATCGGGCAAGACTTTGAGGGTAGTAGTATTCATCAATTATTTGAACATCTGCTTTGTGTTGTAAGGTTGAGTAGAATAGAGCTAGGGTCAGTTGGTACAAGCTACAGGGAAACAAATTTCAGTGAAGGAAGTGTTTCATGATAGAATGTATCCAAGATGAGTTAGCCAGCCTCAGAAGGTAATGAGCTTCCCGGCTCCAGCAGTGTTTGAATGGATCTGATAGCGACTTAATAGGGTTAGAGGGATTCAGCTATTCAGCTATCAAATGGTCGGTTATCCTGGATGACCTTTTAAGACTTCTTTAAATTCCAAGATATCATGAATCTGGTAAAGATGAAATTCAGTTTGACCACTGAATCTTTTCATTACATTTTCATTGCTATAATCAATATTCAAATCGTAGTTATTAAAGTGTTATTTTTACAGGTAATTTTTTAACAATGTTCAAAAACAAAATAACTTGTATTTGTACTCCTTTTTTTTTTTTTTTTTTGGGAGACAGAGTGTCGCTCTGTTGCCCAGGCTGGAGTGCAGTGGCGTGATCTTGGCTCACTGCATTGTTTTATACATATGATCATTCAGTAAACACTTGTTTTGATTTTATTTAACTTCATTATTTATCTGTGGTAACAAAAATTGCCTGGTCACTTTCAGTAACATTTACATCAGCAAAATTCCAGTACAATAAAATAATATGGAACCTATTGTAAAAGGATTTAACCATTAACAATAATATTACATTAAAAGTTATGAAGAAATTATTGCCTCATATTGATTGAAATGTGTTTTTGTCTTAAATATGAGGTAGTATTCATTTTAAATATTTTCTCAAGTAGGCAAAAAAGCTTGTTTACAATTAATAGTATATATGTGTGTGTGTGTGTGTGTGTGTGTGTATATTTTTTTTTCTTTTTTTTTTTTGAGATGGAGTCTCACTCTGCCGCCCAGGCTGGAGTGCAGTGGTGCAATCTTGGCTCACTGCAACCTCCGCCTCCTGGGTTCAAGCAATTCTCTTGCCTCAGCCTCCCGAGTAGCTGGGTCTACAGGCGCGCACAACCACGCCTGGCTGATTTTTGTATTTTTAGTAGAGATGGGATTTCACCACATCAGCCAGGCTGGTCTCGAACTCCTGATCGTAGGTGATCCACCCACCTTGGCCTCCGAAAGTGCTGGGATTACAGGCATGAGCCACAGTGCTCGGCCAATAGTATATATTTTTAGATATATTCATTTATATATTTTTAAAAGATAAACCCTAAGAATTCAAAGCTGAAGAGCTAGGTTGACAGTTCTATTTGGAAGGAGTGGATTTTTAAATTTGCATTAATAAAATGATTTGGTTTTTACACTATGTAATATTTTCTTTTAAATTTAGTTTTTGATGATGAAGAAGAAAGCAAATTGACCTATACAGAGATTCATCAGGAATACAAAGAACTAGTGAGTATTTTTTTTCACTGATTTTTAAAAGTAATTAGGCTAATACTACTTATAGCTTTTCTAAATGAAGAAAAATATTTTTACATTAAAAATCCTTAATTTTACAAAAATCCAATCTACCTTAACAATAGTGCCAGTTATATCTGTCTCCACAGGTGCTCTGAATATCTCATTTGGATGACTTATCTCCTCTACTCTAAGGAATGGTTTTACAACTCTTTATGGGTTCTTGCATGTATTCTTTATATCTTATTCTTATTTTGTTGACGCATCCAGGGACATATTAATTATTCACTTCGTCATGGTTGTCATGTGATTTTTTTATTTTTTATTTTTGAGACAGGGTCTTGCTCTGTCACCCAGGCTGGAGTGCAGTGGCACTATCACAGCCTATTGCAGCCTCAACCTCCCCAGGCTCAAGCGATCCTCCCATCTCAGCCACCTGAGTAGCTGGGACTACAGGTGTGCACCACCATGCCCTGCTAATTTTTTTGTATTTTGTAGAGATGGCGTTTCTCTGTGTTTCCCAGGCTGGTGTGGAACTCCAGAGCTCAAGTGATCCACCTGCCTGGGCCTCCCAAAGTGTTGGGTTTACAGGTGTGAGCCACTGCCCAGCCTGTCTTGTGATTTTAAAAAATGCCTCTGGCAGTGGGGCTCAGTGGCTCACACCTATAATCCCAGCACTTTGGAGGCCAAGGCAGGTGGATTGCTTCAGCCAAGGAGTTCGAGACCAGCCTGGGCAACATGGTGAAACTCCATCTTTATAAAAATTACAAAAATTAATCAGTCATGATGGCATGTGCCTGTAGTCCCAGTTGCTTGGGAGGCTGAAGTGGGAGGATGATCTCTTGAGCCCAGAAGGTCAAGGCTGCAGTGAGCCATTACTGTGCCACTGTACTCCAGTCTGGACAACAGAGTAAGACTCTGTCTCAAAAAAAAAAAAAAGAAAGAAAGAAAGAAAAGGCCAGGCGTGGTGGCTCATGCCTATAATCCCAGCACTTTGGGAGGCCAGGGCAGGCGGATCACCTGAGGTCAGGAATTCGAGACCAGCCTGACCAACATGGTGCAACGCCATCTCTACCAAAAAAAAAAAAAAAAATTAGTCGGGCATTGTGGCAGGCGCCTCTAGTCCCAGCTACTCAGGAAGCTGAGGCAGGAGAATTGCTTGAGCCTGGGAGGCAGAGGTTGCAGTGAGCCGAGATCGTACCACTGCACTCCAGCCTGGGTGACAGAGTGAGACTCCATCTCAAAAAAGAAAGAAAAGAAAAGAAGAAAAAAAAATGCCTCTGGGTAGCAGAAGAGTTGTACCACATTGAACTTCATAATCCTGACTTCAACTATTTCTATTAGAAGAAATACAATTTCATGTGATTTTCAGCAAAAATATTAACTTTTAATTTGTGTTTTGGTGAAAGACAATGTCACTGTCATGTAATATGTAGATTAATATTTGCAAAAAATTCGATGATACTTTTCTAAACTAAATACTTAATATGCAAACTGTCATGTAGAATTTTTCTATGTAATTATAAAAGTTAAACTTTGTTTTTTTAGGTTGAAAAGCTGTTAGAAGGTTACCTCAAAGAAATTGGAATTAATGAAGATCAATTTCAAGAAGCATGCACTTCTCCTCTTGCAAAGACCCATACATCACAGGTTTTTGCTTTGTGTTATTCTGCTAACATACAGTTTTAACAAATGCCCAGGGTTAAACACTCACTTAAATTTGAATGTTTGATTGACAAAGTGTAATATTTTAGACATTGTGAGAGGTAGAAAGATAATTCATCACATATGAGTTCTTTTTGAGAGCAACCCTGAAAAATGATAATTTGAGGCATTAATGAACTGATGCAACTCAAAGTGACCTTTCTAAACTCAGAACTAGAATAAGATCACAGGGTTTATACAAACTACTGTTTTATTTACATAGATCTCCAATAATTCTGCAGTTGCTCCTTTTATAATTTTAGCAGATCCACAGTCAGTAGTTCCTGCTGCTGCTTCCTTCTCTTGGAACTACTTGTATTATCTTACTGGTTGTGTAGTGCTAGGCTGAAGTAGTAATACATATGTTATAAACTAATGTTTGTTTTTGTTGTTTTTTTGATATGGGGTCTCACTCTATTGCTCAGGCTGGAGTTTAGTGTGATTGCAGCTCATTATAGGCTCAACATCCCTGGGCTCAGGTAATCCTCCCATCTCAACTTTCCTGGTAGCTGGGACTACAGGTGCCGCACCAGCACACATGGCTAATTTTTTTTTTTTTTTTTTTTTTTTTGTAGAGACAGGGTCTTGCTGTGTTGTCCAGGCTGGTCTTGAATGCTGGGCTCAAGGGATTTGCCCATCTTGGCCTCCCAAAGTGCTAGGATTACAGGCATGAGCCACCACGCCCAGCCTGTAAACTAATGTTTATTGAGGGCTTGTGCTAATTGATATTTTGGGCACTTGACATGTTTTATCTCATTTAATCTTCCTGACACCTCTTAAGAAACTGCTACTATATAACTTCCATTTAGAAATGAGGAAACCAGGCCCGGAGTAGTGGCTCACGCCTGTAATCCCAGTACTTTGGGAGGCCGAGGCGGGCAGATCACCTGAGGTCGGGAGTTCGAGACCAGCCTGACCAACATGGAGAAACCCCGTCTCTACTAAACATACAAAATTAGCTGGGCATGGTGGCACATGCCTGTAATCCCAGCTACTTGGGAGGCTGAGGCAGGAGAATCCCTTGAACCCGGGAGGCGGAGGTTGTGGTGAGCCAAGATCGCGCCATTGCACTCCAGCCTGGGCAACAAGAACAAAACTGTCTAAAAAAAAAAAACAAAAAAGAAATGAGGAAACCAAAGCACAGATATATTAAGCAAATAGTCCAAAGTCCACAGCTAAATAAGTAGTAGAGCCAGTATCCCCAGCCCAGGCAAGCCAACTGAGTGCCCTTGCTCAGAGGGTGAGGATTGGGATATGTTGCTACTACCCAAGTAGCCTTTTGCTCAAAAACTGAAGGCCAGGAAGTGGCTCATGCCTATAATCCCAGCACTTTGGGAGACCAAGACAGGAGGATTGCTTGAAGCCAGGGGTTCGAAACCAGCCTGGACAACATAGTGAGACCCCATCTTTAAAAAAAATATAAAAGTTAGCTTGTTGTAGGTTGTGGTGGTGTTCTCCCCAGAGTACCTACTCAGGATGCTGAAGTAGGAGCATCACTTGAGCCTAGGAGGTTGAAGCTGCAGTAAGACAAGATCATGCCACTGTACTCCAGCCTGGGCAACAGATTAGGACCCAACCCCAAAAAACAAAACATTGGCTTTGGCATCTCATCTTCTACTAAATAAACTGTAATTTCTTAGCAAGATATGGTAAGAATTGTTTAAGATGAGACTCCAGATTGTATTTTTAGCCATGATCCCTTGCTATAGTTCTCCAATACATTATGTTCTACTGCCATTCCAGGTAACTTGCTCTCTTTTTTTTTTCTTTTGAGATAGAGTTTCGCTCTTGTTGCTCAGGCTGGAGTGCAATGGCACAATCTCGGCTCACTGCAACCTCCGTCTCCTAGGTTCAAGTGATTCTCCTGCCTCAGCCTCCCAAGTAGCTGGGATTACAGGCTCCCACCACCATGCCCGGCTAAGTTTTTGTATTTTTAGTAGAGGCAGGGTTTCACTATGTTGGCCAAGCTGGAACACCTGACCTCAGGCGATCCACCCGCCTCGGCCTCCCAAAGTGCTGGGATTACAGGCGTGAGCCACCACGCCCTGCTGCCCCTTGCTCTTATAAGCATCTGTACACCTACCTTTGCTCATGCTGTCCCTTAACCTGGAATGTATGGTCCCCTCCCCAGACCACTCCATCATTCCTTTCATAATGCGGAGAAATCCTCATTATCAGGGCCTGGTTGAAATGCTACTTGTTATAGCAGCTTTGCTGCTTATTCTAAAGTCAGACCAGAATTCAATCTACTTAACTAGGCCAATTGTAAATTGATATTTTTGTTACTCTGCCTTGAATTATAGTTTCCTACAAGTCTATTTGCCCTACTAAATTGTAAGTCCTTTGAGCTGTGTTTAGTATATTTGCATTCCCTGCTGGTAGAACAGAGATGAAAACTTAGTTGCTAGTACATAGTTCTCAATAAATGTTTATTAATTTAAATTGTCTTGTTATGATGGCCTAGAAGAGGTTGCCTTGACTACTTTTTAATCCAGCACTTCCTCTTTTGCACAACTTTTCATTTGATGATCACCTTTAATTCTAGGAATAGAAAACCTTTTTTGTTTGTTTGTTTTTGTTTTTGAGACAGAGTCTTTCTCTGCCACCCTGGCTGGACTGCAGTCGCTCAGTCATAGTTCTATGCAACCTCTAACTCCTGGGTTCAAGTGAATCTCCTGCCTCAGCCTCCTGAGTAGCTAGGACTATAGGTGTGCACCATTATGCCTGGCTAATTTTTCAGTTGTTTTGTAGAGAGGGGGTCATGCTGTGTTGTCCAGGCTGGTCTTGAGGTCCTGGCATCAAGCAATCCTCCTGCCTCACCCTCCCAAAGCTCTGGGGTTACAGGTGTGAGCCACTACATTTTGGCTGGGTGTGATAGCTCATACCTGTAATCCCAATGCTTTGGGAGGCTGAGGCAGGAGGATTACTTTAGGCCAGGGTCTCAATACCAGCCTAGGCCACAATGCAAGACCCCATCTCTACAAAAAATAAAAATACAAGAATTAGCTGGGCATGGTGACACGCTGCTGTAGTCCTAGCTACTTGGGAAGCTGAAGTGGGAGGATTGCTTGAGCCCAAGAATTTGAGGCTGCAGTGAGCTATGACTGTACCACTGTATTCCAGCCTGGGCTGCAGAGTGAGACCCTGTCTCTAAAATAATAATAATAATAAAATAATTTAAATGTTATTGGTATGCCCACATTAATGTGAAAAAATCTGGCAATTTCCAAGAAGACATAACAATCTTTAATATGTATGTACCTAATAACAAAGCAACAAAATGTGTGAGGCAGAAACGGAACTGCAAGGAGAAATGGATGAATACATGATTATAGTTGGAGACTTCAACACCCTCTGTCAGTATTGGACAGATCCAGTAGTTAGAAAATCAGTAAAGACATAGTTGAACTAAACAGCACCTTCAGGCCAGGCACGGTGGCTCATGCCTGTAATCCCAGAACTTTGGGAGGCCGAGGTGGGTGGATCACTTGAGGTCAGGAGTTCGAGACCAGCCTGGCCAACGTGGTGAAACCCGTCTCTACTAAAAATACAAAAATTAGCCGGGTGTGGTAGTGGGCACCTGTAATCCCAGCTACTCAGGAGGCTGAGGCAAGAGAATCGCTTGAACCTGGGAGGTGGAGGTTGCGGTGAGCTGAGATCGCGCCACTGCACTCCAGCCTGGGTGACAGAACAAGACTGCATTTCAAAATAAATAAATAAATAAATAAATAAACAAACAACAGCACCTTCAGTCAACTGAATTTATTTGACATACACCACTTCATCCAATAATCAAAAATACACATTCTTCTCAAGATCACACAGAATGTTCGTCAAGACAGACTACATTATGGGCCATAAAACATACCTTAACAAATTTAAAAGAAGAGAGATCATACAGTGTCTGCTCTCAGACCACAACATAATTAAACTGGAAATAAATAACAAAAGATAATTGGAAAAAAACAAAATACTTGGAGATTAAACAACACACTCTAAAAAACACATGTGGGCCAGGCATGGTGGCTCATGCCTATAATTCCAGCACTTTGGGAGGCCAAGGTGGGCAGATTGCTTGAGCTCAGGAGTTTGAGACAAGCCTGGGCAACATGGTGAAACTCCAACTCTATAAAATACAAAAAAATTAGCAGGGTGATGTGGTACACACCTTCCGCCATGTTGGCCAGGCTGGTCTCAAACTGCTGACCTCAGGTAATCTGCCCACCTCAGCCTCCCAAAGTGCTGGGATTACAGGCATAAGCCACTGCGCCTGGCCACAATTTTTGTTTTATAGAATTATAAGGAATTATATAATTATATATAAAATATGTAATCATAGAATAATCATAAAGTATTATATTTTATAGAATTATAAACAAATGCCCCTCTTTATTGCTGATCATCTTTCTTGTTCTGAGGTCTACTTTATCTGAAACTAAATTAAGCTACTCCAGCTTTCTTTTTTTTTAAACAACTTTATTGAGATATAATTTGCATATCACAATACTGATCCTTTTGAAAAATTTTTTTTTTTTTGAGACGGAGTCTTGCTCTGTCACCCAGGCTGGAGTGCAGAGGTGCGATCTTGGCTCACTGCAACCTCTGTCTCCTGGTTCAAATGATTCTCCGGTCTCAGCCTCCTGAGTAGCTGGGACTACAGGTATGCACCACCGCACCTGGCTAATTTTTTTATTTTTTTAGTAGAGATGGGGTTTCACCATGTTGGCTAGGCTAATCTTGAACTCCTGACCTCAAGTGTTCTGCCTGCCTCAGCCGCCCAAAGTATTGGGTTTACAGGTGTGAGCCACCGTGCCCGGCTGAGAACCCTGTTTTAAAGGCTATTAAGATAAATTTTAAAATTGTCCTTTTGGGACATCTAATCATAAATAACAATGTAGCATTCTTGAATTAATCTACTGTTTTGCAGTAGAAATGGTTCGAATGTATGGGTAATAGTTTTAAAACTTGAATCTTCATTTCACTTGAGACTTCTTTCCACAGGCCATTTTGCAACCTGTGTTGGCAGCAGAAGATTTTACTATCTTTAAAGCAATGATGGTCCAGAAAAACATTGAAATGCAGCTGCAAGCCATTCGAATAATTCAAGAGAGAAATGGTAAAATGTTGAAGTTAGAAATCTAAGTACTAAATGCATTTTTTTTTACAGTTTTGACTATTCTAATATGGTCTTAAATGTAGCTGTCTCATGTACATTTATTTCAAGTTTGAAAGACTTCAGCTGACTTGAGATTTTAGAGTATATGGCTGGGTGCAGTGGCTCACGCCTGTAATCACAGCACTTTGGGAGGCTGAGGCGGGCAGACCATGAGGTCAGGAGATCGAGACCATCCCAGCTAACACAGTGAAACCCCGTCTCTACTAAAAATACAAAAAAATTAGCTGGGCGTGGTGGCGGGCACCTGTAGTCCCAGCTACTTGGGAGGCTGAGGCAGGAGAATGGCGTGAACCCGGGAGGTGGAGCTTGCAGTGAGCTGAGATCGCGCCACTGCACTCCAGCCTGGGTGACAGAGTGAGACCCTGTCTCAAAAAAAAAAAAAGAGTATAAACTTCCTGATTTGTATTTGACATCTCAAAGAAAGGAGACCAGAATTCAATGATACTTTGGATTTCACAGAGTTCAATTTTCTGCCCAGCCATTATGTTTATGAAGTTGAGTATTTTTGAATGGTCATAGTTGTGGTTACTGTTGAGAGGTGTCCATCCTTTTTCTGGCTTAAGATTGTTAGGACCTTTGTAGGAAGCAGTGGTTCTTTTTTTTTTTTTTTTTGAGACGGAGTCTCGCTCTGTTGCTCAGGCTGGAGTGCAGTGGCATGATCTCGGCTTACTGCATGCTCTGCCTTGCGGGTTTACACCATTCTCCTGCCTCAGCCTTCTGAGTAGCTGGGACTACAGGCACCTGCCACCACTCCGGGCTAATTTTTTGTATTTTTAGTAGAGATGGGGTTTCACCATGTTAGCCAGGATGGTCTCGATCTCCTGACCTCGTGATCCGCCCGCCTTGGCCTCCCAACGTGGCCGGAAGCAGTGGTTCTTAAGCTTTAGCAAGCATTGGAAATGGTTGGAGGGCTTGCTGAAGCACATATGGCTGCCTCCCAGTTTCTGATTTAATAGGTCTGGGGTACCGATAATTTGCATTTTTAACAATGATATGGTTTGGCTGTGTCCCCACCCAAATCTCATCTTGAATTCCCACGTGTTGTGGGAGGGACCCAGTGGGAGGTAATTGAATTTTGGGGGCAGGTGTTCCCCATGCTGTTCTTGTGATAGTGAATAAGTCTCATGAGATCTGATGGTTTTGGGAAAGGGGAGTCTTCCTGCACAAGCTCTCTCTTTGCCTGCTGTCATCCATGTAAGACGTGATTGCTCCTGTTTGTCTTCCGCCATGATTGTGAGGCTTCCCCAGCCATGTGGAAATGTAAGTCCGATTAAACCTCTTTCCTGTGTAAATTGCCCAGTCTCGGGTATGTCTTTATCAGCAGCATGAAAATGGACTAACACAAACAAGTTCCCAGGTGATGCTGAAGCTGCTAGTCCTGGGACCACACCAACACCCACTGTTCTAGGGCACTGGGCAGAGACAGATAAGCTTGTACCAGCATCATGTGGAAGACAAAATGGAACTCAAAGCCCTATTAACCCTGGTTGGCTTTATCTTTCCCCTGACCCTGTGCTTAAGTTCACTTTCTCTCTAGCTCTTCCTGCTCTTGTTCCCTTCTTGTGTACCTGAACTACATTTAACATCCTGACTCAAAACAGCCGAGTTTCTAACCATGCTACTTGTTATTGTACCATTTCCTTTCTAACCCAGATTATCATCTCTGTTTCAAATTTCTTGCTGTGGTAACCTCACCTTAATTTCTATGTCTTCGTTAGCTCAATAGATTGCCATGATATTTTTTTACCACGGCCCATAACCTCTTTAATGGCTTGGCAGCAGGACCTTTCCTTTGATTGTTTCTTGAAGATATGAGATCTATAGTTCAGTTGTATCGTTGGCTCTTAAGGGCCTGGAACATGCAACAATAGGGCTTCCGTTGTTGCATGGCAAACATGAGAATTTTGCATGGCCCTTACTGGGGAGTTTCCTCCTCATTTGACTGATGTGAGTAGAGACTCTTAGAGCCAGCCACCATCATAATCATCTACTAGAATCCCAAGATGCTTTCCCCAGCAGCTAATAGCGCTGTTGTCTGTGGGTAGGGGGAAAACACCACCCTAACCCTGAAGAATCCATGACATAGTGCTATTACTTTGATGTGAATAAGTCTGGAAAATAGTCTCTTTCTACTGTGGTTTGCTCTATAAAATCCTTGCCTCTGAATTTTCCTGAAAACTATGCTTTATTCTGACTTACGGGTTAGACAATTTTAGTAAGTATGTTAGTAAACAAATTTTTTTAGGGGATCAGGAAAAGAAATAGTGAACTTGACAATGGCATTCTTTAGTTTTCAGTTTGGAATTTAATTGGAAACTCATTTAGATTTTAATAAAAAGGGAATAAATATATATCTTGTATCATGTGGATGCCTTAGGCTGTCAGTAACAGAACACTCCAGTGAAGAAAAGATCTCCCAGAACAAGAAGTCCAGAGGAAGGGAGAGAAGGAAGACAGGTTCGGGATTGGTTAATTTAGTGGCTCACTGATCTAATCAAGGACCCCGACACTTTGCATCTTTATACTCTGCCATTCTCAGAATCTTCTCTCATGATTGTACTCTGGCTGTATTGAATGCAGACTCAACAGTGTCTTATGAAGAAATGGAATATTTCCTCCTGTACATCTCTTTTTGTTAGCAAGACAACAATTTCATGGAAACCCTCCAGTTTTTCCCTCAGGTCCTATTGATTAGGATTGGGGTCACTTGCCTTTCTTAAACCATCTGGCAAGGGGAATGAGACCATTATGATTGGCTTGAACCAATTAGGAGTCACTCTCCTGGGATTGGGGAGGGCCCTGCCTCTAAGTAGTTAGCTGCCTGATAATTCTGCAAAAGCTGGCTTCTATTAGCAAGGGAGGAGGAGGGGAATGATGTAGAATAATGACTATTGTCAGGCCACAGCATGGGGCATTTTACTTACATTTAAACATAAGGTAATACTTAGTTTCTGCTACAGAATTTCTAATACATGTACTTAAGAGTTTTGCTGGCTGGGAACAGTGGCTCATGCCTGTGGTCCCAGTGCTTTCAGAGGCTGAGGCAGGAGGATCGCTTAAGCCCAGCCTCAGACTTCTGTTTGAGGCTGCAGTGAGCTATGATAGTACCACTGCGTGCCAGCCTGGGCAACAGAGCAAGACCCTGTCTCAAAATTAAAAAAAAAAAAAGAAAAAGAAAAGAAAGAATGTTGCCTGACTAAGATCCAGGGGTGAATACCTTAGATTAATGTTGATTATACTCAAAACTGCAGACTATTTGAAAATAGTTCTTAATGATGAGAAAAAGTCAAAGGCTCTCTGGATTCTTTTTTATCTTTTTGGTGCCTTATTAAAGAATTTAGAGAAATTGCAAATGAGAGTATTATTTTGATGGTTTTTAAGTACTTCATACTGTTGTGTTATTCTTAGTACTTTCAGTTTTCCTCAGGAAGATTATTAGGAGAATAATAATTTTATATCTTTTGACTGAGCAAAAATGCACTTAAGATTAATGGATTAGTTAGATGTCAGTTTTCTGATTGTGATATTGTACTACTATAGTTTTGTAAGATGTTACCACTTGGGGAAGCTGGGTAAAGAGTATATAGCAGATTTCTGCATTATTTCTTACAATTGCACTTACCTCAAAATAAAACATTTAATTTAAAAAAATGTATATAAACATCAGGAGGATTAGAGTAATAAAGCTACTTAAGAGTAGACCCAAAATCCTACAGTCATATGTGGATAAAGAAATGGAAGGTAAAAATTAAGAAGCATTCTGCTAATGTTGTGGAATGTAATAATTACAGATGCAAACAGAACAATTATTACCAGTCCACCTGCTTCGCAGGAAGATAAAAGTAATAAAGTAAATTAAACCAATATTTTAAGTTACTTTTTATTTTCTTGGGCTCAAGTTGCTACTTCCCTGGTTTATAATTATTAGACCAACATCTGAATAGAAGCTTCAAGGGCAGAGATCGTTTTATTCATCTTTGTATCCCCCCAAAGTGCTTAACACCATGGTTTTATTACACATAGTAAGCAGCGCCCTTTTCAATAACATCTGTTATAATATAAATGAAGACTTTTAATGCTATTTCAATTAGCAAAATTATATTTTGTTTTGTGACTCTTCTCATTTAAGGGACACCTTTGAGAGCAGTTTCATTATTAAGCCTAACTCAATGATTTCCGTAGTATATTCTTAGACACTATATGATTATGGAAGAGAAAAACATATTAACAAATTTTTGTTGCCATACATTGTTATTTTTAATTGCCAATAAAATAATTACTAAGAGATATTTGTAGTTAAAAGTGTGGGGTTTTTGGTGGGGCTTATTCTGTAAAATAGGAAAAGGCTTAAAAGATGATAGTTAAAAATGGCCGGGAATGGTGGCTCACGTCTGTAATCCCGGCACTTTGGTAGGCCGAGGGGGGCAGATGACTTGAGGTCAGGAGTTTGAGACCAGCCTGCCGACATGGTGAAACCCCATCTCTACTAAAAATTAGCTGGGTGTGGTGGTGGGCAGCTGTAATCCCAGCTACTCTGGAGGCTGAGGCAGGAGAATCGCTTGAAGCTGGGAGGCAGAGGTTGCAGTGAGCCCAGATCGTGCCACTGCACTCCAGCCTGGGCGACAGAAAGAGACTCTGTCTCAAAAAAAAAAAAAAATATATATATATATAAAATAAAAGATGATAGTTAAAAAGATAATAGCTTAGGATGTTACAGTGATAGATCTGAAGGTAACTTGTACTTAAGGAACGAGAACAGTGAGAAATATATGTTTTTAATGGAGTTGATACTATTTCATGTGGTCTTTGGTTTTGAACAGGTGTATTACCTGACTGCTTAACCGATGGCTCTGATGTGGTCAGTGACCTTGAACACGAAGAGATGAAAATCCTGAGGGAAGTTCTTAGGTACCATTCTTTAATTGTTTTTTAAATGAATCATTATTAATATTATATGATCTGTACATATGCTTTTTGCCCAACAAATATGAACTAATAAAATTGCTAAATTCTCTACTGAAAACCATCAAAATGATCTATCAATTTATGACTGTGGATATATTTCTTAGTGACAGAAAAAGTTATTTTCAGGTAACTTATACCAGATCAGTCCAAATGAAAGGGTCTTTTTACACCCGCATCATAGGAATAGGAAAGTAGCCACCAATGGGAAAAAGTTGCAGTAGACCTAGCCTGATCTCTGGAGAGAGGTATAATGACTTGAGCTAAACAGCTTACTCCTTGGCTTCTGGATCTCACTATGGAGGTGGCATATTCTAGGTGTCACATGGTAGGAGGCTGGGCATCCAGATTCCACAGATTGAATAGCTGACTTGGTGATAGTAACCTTCAAGGGAGGGATGACAGAGGCGTCTATCCCAGATGAGTATCTTGCCGGTCTCCTTGTTTCCCCAGTTAAATGATTCTCAGCCAAATGCCTGGCAAAGAGTGTGCAGACCACTAATGGGGTCCACACAGAACTAAGAAATGGTAATGGACATTTCTTTTTCTTTTGGGCCTGTTGTGCCCTGACCTTTATGGGAATTTTGGAAGGAAGGGGCAGTAGTAGCTCCTAATTTTTAAATCTCCTGTGAGAATATATTAGATTTAGGGCAAAAGGATGCCTATAATCACAGTGTCACTTGCAGACTGTGGCCTTGGCCTTTGGGGTCACTTCTTCTCCAACTATACTACCACACATGACCATCTTCTAGCATCCTACAGTTCCCCCCACTTAGGTACTTTGTCCCACCTCCAAAGCAGAAGAGAGGATCAGAGGATGGGCCTGATGGGAAACTATGGCAGGAGCTCCAGGATGCAGTGCTTAATTTCGGGGGTTTGAGTGATTATGGAGAGGGTAGCAGATATGCAGTTGAACTCAACCCTTTCTTGCCACATCCCTCCTTGGATGGCAGGGGCAAATGGGAGCCTGAGACAACACAGAATGCTTTGAGTTTACAGGTTTGAGATGTAAGGGTGTTTGGTTCAGAGGACTGGTAAAGTTTTGATTTGGACTGGTTGTGTTGGTTGATTGGTGGCCTGAAAACTGGTCAGCACTGTATTTTTAGATTTTATTTTCCAAGAGCTTTTGAGGGGATATACTACTGTGTAAGTAATAGAACTTAGTTATGAACATGTATAACAGTTGACCTTGGTTACTTTCGAAAAGCACTGTCTCAGTGAACAGTTTACAAAAGTTGATGGGCTTTGGCACAGTGGTATCACAAGTGCTTGATGATAGCTCAGATGCCATTGGAACAATGACATTTTATCAAGAGGGGTATAATGGCTCTTATCAAGAGGGGTGTAATTGATCACTCTAAAGAGGGTGATTGAAGTCCTTATTAATGGGATTTGCCATTCAAATTTGGGTTCAGGATTTCAAATCTGTTGATCTTTATTCAGCTAGGGTTCATTCAGAGTTCTAGAAGAAATGGGTAGACCTGTATTTTGTGTTACTAACTGTATTATGCTGTATGCCTATGTATGTCTTTCCCAGTTGACTGTAAGCCACTTTAGAGCAAGGCTTGATTATCTTCCATCTTTGTGTCTAATGTGCCTTTTATTGTAAGCTTAGGTTAGCATGTTGCTTAGTTGAATATTTGTTCTTTGACCAAAAAAGGAAATTTATCTTTTTATCTTATTTTTGTATATTTCAGAAAATCAAAAGAGGAATATGACCAGGAAGAAGAAAGGAAGAGGAAAAAACAGGTGCCTACAGAACATATAACAGAAGTATTTTATTGCTGTTATCTCTTATTAAGTTTACACCTAGATCTTACTATTAAAATTTATACTTATGTGGAACTACATAATTTTAAGTACAATGTAAATATTGACCAATAATATTAATATATCAATAATTCTATGTATGTCGTGCATTACTGCTGGCCACCATATTATATAGTACTATATATACTTAACTGTATATAGTACAAACACCACATAGTACTAATTAATCTTACAGGACATGCATATAAGCAAGAGTAGTCATTTTTTTTGGCAAGTTTAAGCATTTGTTTTTAACTTTTTATACTTTTTTCTCCTTCTTTATTTTTGTCCTGGTAACTCACAGAACAACATTTTTTTTTTTTTTTTGAGATTGAGTCTCATTCTGTCACCCAGGCTGGAGTGCAGTGGTGTGATCTTGGCTCACTGCAACCTCTGCCTCCGGGGTTCAAGCGATTCTCCTGCCTCAGCCTCCAGAGTAGCTGGGATTACAAGCGTGCGCCATCACGCCTGGCTAATTTTTGTATTTTTAGTAGAGACGGGGTTTCACCACGTTGATCAGGCTGGTCTTAAACTCCTGACCTCGTGATCTGCCCGCCTCGGCCTCCCAAAGTGCTGGGATTACAGGTGTGAGCCACCATGCCCGGCCAGAACAACCTTTTATACTCTTTTATTTATTTATTTTTTTGGAGACAGTCTCACTCTGACACCTGGGCTGGAGTGCAGTGGCGCAATCTCGGCTCACTGCAACCTCTGCTTCCCAGGTTCAAGTGATTCTCCTGCCTCAGCCTCCCAAGTAGGTGGGATTACAGGCGTGTACCACCACGCCCAGCTAATTTTTTGTATTTTCAGTAGAGACAGGGTTTCACCATGTTGGCCAAGCTGCTCTTGAACTCCTGACCTCATGTGATCCACCTGCCTGCCACTGTGCCTGGCCAACTTTTTATACTTCTTAATATATAAAGTATATACTTTTTTTTTGAGACTGAGTCTTGTTGTATTGCCCAGGCTAGAGTGCAGTGGCGTGATCTTGGCTCACTGCAACCTCTGCCTCCCAGGCTCAAGCGATTCTCGTGCCTCAGCCTCCCCAGTAGCTGGGATTATAGGTGCCTGCCACCACTCTTGGCTAATTTTTGTACTTTTAGTAGACAGGGTTTCACCATGTTGGCCAGACCGGTCTCGAACTCCTGACCTCAGGTGATCTGCTGGCCTTGGCCTCCCAAAATGTTGGGATTACAGACATGAGCCACTGTGCCCGGCCAAAAGTATATACTTTCTTATAAGAGTGTATACTTTATACTTTCTTTTAAAGAGGCCAGACGTGGTGGCTCACTCCTGTAATCCCAGCACTTTGAGAGGCTGAGGTGGGTGGATCACTTGAGGCCAGGAATTCGAGACCAGCAACATGGCAAAACCCCATCTCTACTAAAAATGCAACAATTAGCCGAGCGTGGTAGTGCACACCTGTAATCCCAGCTACTCAGGTGGCTCAGGCATGAGAATCATTTAAATCCAGGAGCCGGAGGTTGCAGTGAGTCAGGATCACACTACTGCACTCCAGTCTGGGTGACAGAGTGAGACTCTGTCTCAAAAGAAAAAAAAAAGAAAACTATAATATCTTTGGATCCTTTAGGTAGTGAATTAGTTAAAATGAATCTAAATTGTGTGTTTTTTAAAAAATTGTATTATGGAATCCTGAAGTTATCAGAGGCTAAAACAGAAGAGCCCACAGTGCATTCCAGTGAAGCTGCAATAATGAATAATTCCCAAGGGGATGGTGAACATTTTGCACACCCACCCTCAGGTAAGGTTGAGGTGTACTGAACTTTCTCTAATAATATGAATACATAAACACCATATAGAATGTGCCACTTTCTCATACTTATTTAACTTCAAAAGCCCTGGGAGGGAGTATTGAATGTCTTTGGTATTTAACGTTCTTTGTGAATTTGGTTAAAGAGGTTGCAGACGAGATACTGACCTGAAAGAGAGCGTATAGTCCTCAAGTTTCCGTGTAAAGCCTGGAACCCAGAGTAGAGAGCAAAACTCCTTGAGGGAGTAACTAGCCTTTGTGCATGACTGCAGCTTACAAGAGAGGTTCACATAACATTTGGTATTCTCTTCCATGCTTACAGTTGTATGGTATTTGTTAGTGAGAAGCTGAACTTGGAAAGATAATATTAAATTTCTTTTCCAATGAATTAAGTACAGCTAGAAAATAAGAGGTAGCCATTTTGTCCAGATATTTGGTCAGAAATCATATCTTTGAAATCAAAATTTATAGGAATCCTTGTAGGAAATACTAGTGGATGACCTTTTCAACATGTGGCAAATCTATTCTCAATATGAACTGATTTTCTATATAAGAAAACAAGTAATTCTGAAACAGAAATTATGGTCATGAATTCAGTTCATTTTATTATGGATTCCTATGGTTTTAAATAAATGTCCTTTTCTCAATTAAAAAAATATACTCTGTGAGGTAGATATTATAATCCTTGTTTTTCTTTTATCTTTTTTTTTTTTTTTTGAGTCAGAGTTTTGCTGTTGTTGCCCAGGCTAGAGTGCAATGGTGTGATCTCGGCTCACCATAACCTCCACTTCCTGGGTTCAAGTGATTCTCCTGCCTTAGCCTCCTGAGTAGCTGGGATTACAGGCAGGCACCACCACGCCCAGCTAATTTTATATATTTAGTAGAGATGGGGTTTCTACATGTTGGTCAGGCTGGTCTCGAACTCCCAACCTTAGGTGATCTGCTTGCCTTGGCCTCCCAAAGTGCTGGGATTACAGGCATGAGCCACTGTGCCTGGCTACTCTTATCTTTTTTAAAAAAATTATTTTTGTTGAGTCGGGTGTTGCTGTGTTGCCCAGGCTGGGTCTCAAACTCCTGGCCTCAAGTGATCCTCCTGCCTCAGCCTCCCAAAGCACTAGGATTATAGGCATGAGCCACTGTACCCATCCCTTCTTTTTTTTTTTTTTAAAGAAATTCAAGGAAGCTGAGCGACTTGTCCAAGATCACCGAACTCTTCAATGGTGAAATTATGACTTACCTTGGTCTTCTGACACTAAATATATTCTTCTAAACCTTAGTTTAGAAGAACTTCTATAATTGAGATTAGTGTGATGTTTACCCATTAATTTTTTAATGTAAGTTGGAGAACACCTTTCTTTAATATGCCTAATTTAAGCTGTTTTAGGTTCACAGTAAAATTGAGCAGAAGGTACAGAGATTTCCCCCATATAGTCCCTGCCCTAGTACATGCCTAGCCTCTCCCATTATCGACCCCCTCAAAAGTAGTACATTTGTTACGTTGGTGAACCTTCCTTGACACAACATTACCAACCAAAGAGCATAGTTTACATTAGGGTTCACTCTTGCTATTGTATATTCTGTGGATTTTGACAAATGTATGATGACATGCATTCACCATTATAGTATCATGTAGTATACAGTTTCATTGCCCTAAAAATTCTTTGTGCTCTGCCTATTCATCCTTCCCACCTCCTAGCCCATGGCAACCACTGATCTTTTACTGTTTCCACAGTTTTGCCTTTTCTAGAATGTCATATAGTTGAAATCATACAGTAGTACGTAGCCTTTTCAGATTGGCTTCTTTCACTTAGTAATAATCCATTTAAGATTTCTCCATGTCTTGTCATGGCTTTGTAGCTCATTTCTTTTTAGTGCTGAATAATATTCCATTGTCTGGATGTGCCACGGTTTGTTTATTCATTTATCTGCTGAAGAAAATCTTGGTTGCTTCCAAGTTTTGACAATTATGAATAAAGCTGCTATAAACATCAGTGTGCAGGTTTTTGTTTGGACATAGCTTTCAGCTCCTTTGGGTAAATACCAATGAGCATGATTGTTATATCTTACAGTAAGAGTATGTTTAGTTTTGTAAGAAAGTGCCAAACTGTGTTCTAAAGCGGCTATACCATTTTGCATTTCCATAGCAGTGAATGAGCGTTCTTGTTGCATCCTTGCCAGCATTTGGTGTTGTCAGTGTTCTGGATTTGGAGTATTCTAGTAGGTGTGTAGTGGTATCTCATTGTTGTTTTATTTGCATTTCCCTGATGACATGATGTGGAGCATCTTTTCATATGCTTGTCATCTATGTATCTTCTTTGGTGATGAGTCTGTTAAGGTTTTTGACCCATTATATTTGTTGGGTTGTTTGTTTTCTTTTTGTTAATTGGGTTCATTTTCTTATTGTTGAATTTTAAGTGTTCTTTGTATATTTTGAATAACAGTCCTTTATCAGATGTGTCTTCTGAAAATATTTTCTTCCAGTCTGTGGCTTGTCTTCTCATCCTCTTGATACTGTCTTTTACATAGCAGAAATTTTAATGAAGTTCAGCTTATTAATTATGTCTTTCATAGGGTGTGCCTTTGGTGTTGTATCAAAAAAGTCATCACCATACCCAAGGTCACCTAAATTTCCTCCTATGTTATCTTCTAGGATTTTTATAGTTTTACATTTTACATTTAGGTCTGTGATCTATTTTGAATTATTTTTTGTGAAGGGTGTAAAGTTTGTGTCTAGATTCATATTTTTTCTTTCAGATGTCCATTTTCCTTTCCTCACCGTATTGCCTTTGCTCCTTTGTCAAAGATAAATTGATTATATTTATGTGAGTTTATTTCTGGGCTCTCTATTATGTTCTGTTGATCTATTTCTCCATTCTTTTGCAAATACCACACTCTCTTGATTACTGTAGTTTGAAGTCTCCAAGTTGGGTAGTGTCAGTCCTCCAATTTTGTTCTTCAATATTGTGTTGGCTATTCTGGGTGTTTTGCCTCTCCATATAAATGTTAGAATCTGTTTGTCAGTATCCACAAAATAACTTGCTGAAATTTTGATTGATATTGTATTGAATCTGTAGATCATGTTGGGAAGAACTGACATCTTGACATTGAGTTTTCCTGTCCATAAACATGGAATAGGCCGGGCATGGTGGCTCATGCCTGTAATCCTAGCATTTTGGGAGGCCAAGGCGGGAAAACTGTTCGAGCTCAGGAGTTCAAAACCAGCCTGGGCAATTTGGCGAAACCCTGTCTTTACAAAAAAAATACAAAAATTAGCCAGGCATGGTGGTGCACGCCTGTAGTCCCAGCCTCTAGGGAGGCTGAGGCAGGAGAATTGCTTGAGCCCACGAGGTGGATGTTGCAGTGAGTTGAGATTGCATCACTGCACTCCAGCCTAGGTGATAGAGTGAGACCCTGTCTCAAAAAAATAAAATAAAAAAATAAAAAAAAGGCCAGGAGTAGTGGCTCACACCTGTCATCCCAGCAATTTGGGAGGCCGAGGTGGTGGATCACTTGAGGTCAGGAGTTTGCGACCAGTGTGGCCAACATGGTGAAACTCCATCTCTACAAAAAATACAAAAAATTAGCTGGGCATCGTGGCAAGTTCCTGTAATGCTAGCTACTCGGGAGGCTGAGGCAGGAGAATCGCTTGAACCCGGGAGGAAGAGGTTGCAGTGAGCCAAGATCGTGCCATTGCACTCCAGCCTGGGCAACAAGAGCGAAACTTCATCTCAAAATAAAATAAAATAAAAACCATGGAATATTTCTCCATTTATTTAGTTCTTTGATTTCTTTCATTAGAATTTTGTAGTTTTCCTCATATAGATCTTGTGCATATTTTGTTATATTTTATATCTAAGTATTTCATTTTTAGGGGTGCTGTGCTAATGTAAATGGTATTTTTAATTTTAAATTCCATTTATTCATTACTGGTATAAAGGAAAGTGATAAACTGTTATTAATTTGTATCCTGTAACCTTGCTATATAATTATTCATTTCAGTTTTTCTGTCAATTGTTTTGCATTTTCTACATAGATGATCATGTGTTCTGCAAATAAAGACATTTTTATTTATTCCTTCCCAATCAGTGTACCTTTTATTTCCTTTTCTTGTCCTAGTGGATTAGGTAGGACTTCTAGTATGATGTTGAATCAGAAAGGTGAGAGAGGGGACATTTTTGCCTTGTTTCTGATCTTAGTGAGAAACCTTCTAATTTCTCACCATTAAGTATTGTGTTAAGTTTTAGAGTTTTTCGTACTCTTTATGAAGTTGAGGAAGTTCCTCTCTATTCCTAGTTTACTGAGAGCACCCATTAATTTTAAGGAGTTAGATTCTTATTTGACAGAAAAACAGGAGTATATTGAATCAGAAGCAGATCTGTGAAGTTACCTTGCTTCTTTGTACCAAGTCAAACCATTTCTTTTTTATATATATGCTACAGATTGTAAGGAGAAATAGCCTCATTTTAATGATATATATGAAAGCTCCTGCTTTAGGTTTGTCTGTGCTCTAGTTTGCTGACCCAAATTAACTTTGTTTTATATACACCTAAGTACATACACTATTTAAATCTTGTGTCTAACATAAATTGAATAAATTTGCTTTGTCTGCTTTCTTATCTAAGTGAAGCTATAGAAAACTTGATCTCAAACCACATATAATTCAGTTGTACACATTAATGGTACACCATAAATGGTAGATCTCAAAAGTAATGATTTCAATTTTTAAAATAATTTTTTTCAAATGCGCATATCTGATATTTCAGAGAATCACTTCGTACAAAGTGATGGAAGCCCAGTATGAAGACCTGAGTTTGGAAGAATCATGAAGTTGTTTGAGCTTCTGCTTTGTCCTTTTGCCTGTCTTTCCCTCATTCCTGCCAGCAATGGATAGTGTCTTTTCTCAGATTGATGCAGATTTGCCAGAGATGAGATGATCTTTCTTTAGGTTTTCTGGCTTTCTGATCTTCCCTTCCTAGAAATTAGAGAAGCTAAGTATTTGGCTTCAAGTACTTTCCTTTCTAGGCCTGAGAATATACGTATGTTCATAATTAACAAACCCAAGGCAAGAACTGTCCAGAGAAAGAACATGAGTGGAATATAAATGCTTATATGTATGGGTTCCCCCCTCCTCAGGAATTATTTGAACTGTCCCTTCTCCAGTTCTGTGAGTCCACTGAGGGCTAAGCCTACCTCTGCTAACGTCACTCTCAGTAATAACAGCGGTGTTTTACCTCTATCTTTATTTCTGTTAGTTATGTAGCTCCCTGTCTAGGTTGGTTTGGAGTGCTGGTTACAGCTTATCTTTTCCATGGAGATTTCCCTTATTGTCCAAGGGTCTGGAGAGCTTTTCTTCCTTCAACCTCTCTGGCACTGTAGTCAGTCTGGTCACTGCTAGAGGAGTGGTCTGTTGTCAAGTTTCTTGCACAGACAAAATTCTGTTTTCTGTTTTAGTATGTATGCTGGCAAGGTATTTTTTTTTTTTAACTGGCAGGATCAACCAGGTGTGGCAAAAATTTTAATCATTTAGACATGTGTGCCATGTTTTCCCATCATGCTTTTAGATCTTAGCATCATTTTAATGTCTTTGCTTGTCTCAGTGTGCTTTCTTTCATAGCCCATGTATTTACACTGAAAATGTTTTATCTTTTTAAAAACAATCACCTTATAATAAAAAATGGCTCAGAGGAGCAATTAGAATGTTAACTCTCTCTCTTGGTTGGCACAGTCACCAAATGGCTGGAAAGTATTTAGTGCTCATGTTTATATGTGCTTCCAAGTTCTGCTTGCTTTAGAAATCTTTACATTTTCATAATGCACTGGCAGGTTTATAGTTATCTTCAATACATAATTATAAACAAAAATTATTGACATTACTGGCATGCACTCTTGCAATACAAAAAATTATAGTTTTACATTAATTGTTCTGAAAGTATAGGGTGACTTTTTACATGCAAGCAAAAGTTTGGAAACCAATTACATTGTAGTAAGGGATTAGTATACTGTTTATTTGGATTATGTGGCAATCTTATATTATAGTGTAGTTCTAATCTTTAGACAAGGATTTTAGCTTTTTGTAGCTATAGTACTGTACAAACAGCAGAAGCATGGTACTTGTTGAGAAGTAGGTGAGAAACTGTAGTTCCAAGCTCCTTAAGGATAGAGACATGATGTTTACTGTTCTTACCCAGTGGCTGGCACAGTATAGGCACTGAATATATGTTGACTGAATGACTATGAGGAAAAACAAGTATTATTAACATTAGCTCATTTCGGTAAACCTAGCCTAACACTTAAAATATTTCTCATAATATTCTAATTGCTCTTATTGTCTACTTATTGCCAGAAGTTAAAATGCATTTTGCTAATCAGTCAATAGAACCTTTGGGAAGAAAAGTGGAAAGGTCTGAAACTTCCTCCCTCCCACAAAAAGACCTGAAGATTCCTGGCTTAGAGCATGCGAGCATTGAAGGACCAATAGCAGTAAGTAAACGACATCACTTAAGAACTATAAGCAAAATGACAAGGTACTGGGAAATCAAACTTCGAATTGAATCACTCAGTGGGCATCTGTGCTACTTACTAAATGGATTTGAATTTAGATAGCTCCTTTTCTTACTTGACCCAGAACTTATCAGTACTTGGAACAGAAGAACTTCGGCAACGAGAACACTATCTCAAGCAGAAGAGAGATAAGTTGATGTCCATGAGAAAGGATATGAGGACTAAACAGATACAAAATATGGAGCAGAAAGGAAAACCCACTGGGGAGGTAGAGGTATGGCTAGCCTTAATATGTCAAGATTTACAAATCTGGTGGTGGAACTATCAAAATCAGAATATGTGCAAGAAAGCCTCTAATAAATTTTGCTTGCAGACCCATTCATATTAATCACCTCCTAGTGCAGTAGCTGCTAAGTCTTTTCTAGGAAGTGAAATTGTTGTGATAAGGATTTTTTGAGGCAGAAAATAGCGGTGTCATTATACATTTTTTTCTTATGCTGTTTCTTTACTTGCCCTTCTCTGAGTATGTCAGGGTTGGTGGTCTGTTTCACCTGGGCATTCTGAAATGTTTTATCATAGAGCAGCATCAGTACCACCTTTATCATAGAGCACATCAGCCACCACTTCCCAGAGGGGTTCTCCAAGAAGAGACTTTACGAAGAAGAGATTTAGGAAACCTAGTCTATGTCTGTCTCTCCCTCCGTCCCACAAGAAGGTGCCCCCGATTTTTGTTCATTTGAGGCAGTATGTTGGGAATTTTAGACAAATTACCCTATTTCATACTGTAGCCAATTTTTTCTTTTTTTTTCAGGAAATGACAGAGAAACCAGAAATGACAGCAGAGGAGAAGCAAACATTACTAAAGAGGAGATTGCTTGCAGAGAAACTCAAAGAAGAAGTTATTAATAAGTAATAATTAAGAACAATTTAACAAAATGGAAGTTCAAATTGTCTTAAAAATAAATTATTTAGTCCTTACACTGAGCCTTTTAGTTTCGAACACTTTTGTAAATCCAAATATCTTAAACACTTTAGGTAAAGGACAGTAGGGAAGGCAGCTACTCATACTGATTAGTTTAATACAAATTCCTGGATGTTTTCCCTTGGAAAGAGGGTATAGAAGGAAACTAGTTGATAGTATGTTCATTCATTCAAACTCGGTTACCTACTGTTTGTGCCAGGCATTGTGCTAAGCACTAAGGATACAGGAGTCAACTAGATTGACAGGGTCACTGCCTTCATGGGGCTAGTGGAGAGGGCCCAAAGACGAAACTGTTAGAAAGGCAAAGTGTAGTGTCCTATGAGCAGGGCTGGCTAAGCCTCTTTAAGCTGAATGGAAGGTTAATTACACAAAGAATAGGTAAGGAACAGTTCAGGTTCTGCAGCAGGAAATAAAGCATATACTGAAAAACTGGAGTATATATATGAGTGGAGACGGTTAGCATATGAAATTGGAGACAGGTGGGGGACTGACAGTGCAGAGTCTTACAGGGAATGTGAGGATTTAATTTTTTTAAAAATTATTTTAGAGACAGGATCTTGCTCTGCTGCCCAGGCTGGCGTGCAGTTGCACAATCCCAGCTCTGGATTTTAAATTTTGTAATACCAGCAGTGTCAAGTCATTGAAAAATTTTAATGCAGGGGCCAGGCACGGTGGCTGACACTGTAATCCCAGCACTTTGGGAGGCCGAGGTGGACAGATTGCTTGAGCCCAGGAGTTTGAGATCAGCCTGGGCAACATGGCAAAACCCTGTATCTACTAAAAATACAAAAAATTAGCTAGGCATGGTGGCATATACCTGTAGTCCCAGTTACCTGGGAGGCTGAGGTGCTAGGATCACCAGAGCCCCGGAGGTCAAGGCTGCAGTGAGCTATGATCACAGCACTCCACTCCAGCCTGGATGACACAGTGAGACCGTCTCAAAAAAAAGGAAAAAAAAAATTAAAGCAGGGAAGTTAAATGATCAAAATTTTCATTTTTATTGCTGTATGAGGTAGAGTAGTTGTGGGTGTACCATGTATGAGACAGTCCAATCAAGGGTAGAGATAACTTGGGCAGTGGTAAGGTAGATTTTACATTTATCATTTACACTTATACGAGGCAGGAGCAAATAGGACTTGGAAAATAGATGTGCGGGATGTAAAAAATACTCACTCTTTCTAGACAAACTCTTACTAAAACACAGGCAAAGGGAATAATCGATTGAGCCTGTTGAAGGAGATGCCACCACTGGGTGTTGGTGTTTAAGAGAAGTGACCCTAAGATTTCTGTAGTCTGTTTGTTTAAAGATAAACCACAATAATAGGAGACCTTTCTTTCAGAAACTTGCAGGCCGGGTGTGGTGGCTCATGCCTGTAATCCCAGCACTTTGGGAGGCCGACGCAGGAGGATCACTTGAGGTCAGGAGACCAGCCTGGCCAACATGGTGAAACTCCGTCTCAACTAAAAATACAAAAATTAGCCAGGTGTAGTGGCGGGTAACTGTAATCCCAGCTACTTGGAAGGCTGCAGCAGGAGAATCGCTTGAACCCGGGAGGCGGAGGTTGCATTGAACCCGAGCTCACGCCACTGCATTCCAGCCTGGGTGACAGAGCAAGACTCCATATAAAAAAAATAAAATAAAAAAGGCCAGGCATGGTGGCTCATGCCTGTAATCCCAACATTTTGGGAGGCTGAGGGGGTGCAGATCACTTGAGGTCAGGAGTTCAAGACCAGCCCGACCAACATGGTGAAACCCCATCTCTACTAAAATACAAAAATTAGCTGGGCGTGGTGGTGCATGCCTGTAATGCCAGCTACTCGGGTGGCTGAGGCTGGAGACTCGCTTCAACCTGGGAGGTGGAAGTTGCAGTGAGCGAAATCACACCACTGCACTCCAGCCTGGGCAACAACAGAGCAAGACTCCATCTCCAAAAAACAAACAAACAAACAAAAAACTTCCAGTCTTGTAATATCCCACGTCCACCCTTTTCTAAGTACAGGATACTCCTGAGATTTAACTTATAATCACATTTTATCTCCTTAAGTCTACCATTATAAACTTTTAAAAAAGGATACCAAAATTAGTGTAACAGGATTTACTCATTTCAGTTACACAATTCCAAACTTTCCCCTGCAGGAAAACCAGTATTTACATTTGTTATATTTTCATCACTAGATGGCTAAGAGGAAATGCTAGTGATTAAAACACAGAAATCTGTTTCATGTAACTTTTTATTAAAAATAGTTTTTATATTGGACACATGTTTACAGATACCATTTTAAGAAGACCTAAGGCATACAAATGTGGGCTTTTGGCTTGCTTCACTGAATGAAGATAAAGATATAAAAACCCAGATCTGCCTGAGGGTAGTCGTTTAAAGACAGCCGCTAACATGGAATTCTCACAATTGTTCTTTTGAGGGATATTTTAAGCCTTGTTCTCTTATCGTCGTAGGTAAGCAC
This sequence comes from Homo sapiens, assembly GCF_000001405.40. Lineage (NCBI taxonomy): Eukaryota > Metazoa > Chordata > Mammalia > Primates > Hominidae > Homo > Homo sapiens. Next base: position 55,547,541 of record NC_000002.12, read on the forward strand.
TTGTACCATGAAAACCGTAACCTGTACTTCAAGAAAACATTCACATTTCTGCTACAAGAAAAGGTTCTGATGATTTAAATGTTTAAGACTTATGGCAGCTCTTCAGAAAGAAAAAGGAAGTCTTCATAAGATACAGAGATAGGGAGGCTGAGGCGGGTGGATTGTGAGGTCAGGAGTTTAAGACCAGCCTGGCCAAGATGGTGAAACCCCGTCTCTACTGAAAATACAAAAATTAGCCTGGCATGGTGACGGGCACCTGTAATCCCAGCTACTCAGGCTGAGGCAGAGAATTGCTTGAACCCAGGTGGCGGATGTTGCAATAAGCCGAAATCGTGCAACTACACTCCAGCCTGGGCAACAGAGCGAGACTCAAACAAACAAACAAAAAGTAACTAGGAAAGTGTTTTACATGTGGGCTTATTTTAAGAAGAAATTTACTAAAAGCTGAGAGATGGGTCTCGATAAAATTTGATGATTCAAAGAAAGTGGATGGGAACTTTACTGATCTTAGTTTAAAATATCCTGAGTCACCTGCCTTATGAGGTGGAAGGTCTTTCTTTCTTACTATATGTACACCTTTAATTGAAAAGGTGAGAAAAGCTCCATACTGTGATGCTATGATTTCCCCAAGGCTTACCTTCTATAAGTAGTCACTGATAAAGTGCCATTGACCCGCATTTGTTTAGAATTATTTCATTAAAATTGGGGTATGATCTAGCAGTTTATAATAAATATTTATGGATAATTTTATTGGCTTTTAAAAGATACTGTAAAATTGACATATCTCAAAATGGAGTTAATTTATATTTACAACAAACCAAACACAAACATCAATTATGGAATTACAGGGTCACATTTTAATTCCTGAATTTTACAGTTTAGCATTAATATCACCACATGTATACAAATGGTGTAAAACAAGTACAGTGGTATTTTTTAATACAAAATAAACATCTGTTTTATGGAAAAAACTATACTTCATATCTACACAGACAGCTCATCTTTTCCAAACAATAGCCAAAATTAAAATTAACTACAAAATCTCCAAAACAGGGGAAACTGCTTTAGATTAAACGATTCCAGGAAAAATGGACCCGTAACACATTACAAGGGTGATCTAAAGATTGTGGCTGGAATTACTGTTAAAGTTTTTTTTTCCCAATGCATTAAATTGTATTTTGGGGAGATTTTTCTCACTTCGGCATGATCTCAGATCATAGATGAGCAAACTAACATTAAAATATTTACAGTTAACTTGTTGCTCTAAAAATAAAACTTAACTGTTTGCCTCAATTTATTTTTAAAATTCACTTACGTATATGGAATGTGCTTTTACTCTTCTTAAAAAAGCAGCTTTCATATCACACCCTTGTTTACAGAAAAGCTACATGTGCTGCATGCTGACTTTGACACTTAAGTAGCTTCTTGGATCAAAATGGCTTCTAGATACTAAATGCCACTTAATTCAGCACTATTCTTGGTTGGTCTGTATAAGTAACACTTTAAAACTTGCAGCTCTGGAAAGACAGAACTTTACTAACAAAGTAGAAAGTGATTTCAAAGTATCTTCCACAAAAGATTGTACTGGTAGGCGGTTGACAACATTCTGTTCGATCTACTTTCAAATTTCTAGAGAAAATCATTTTGGAATACTACTGTACTGATTCTTGGCCTTCGTTGTCTCTAAAAGTGCTGATTTTAACATTATCTTAAAACTGTCCAGTTTGAATTGAGCTTGTTTTCATCAATATACATATTGAAAATTCCTGGTGTAGAAAACTCAACATGTGCTGAATACGGGGTGTACTTCCCTTCAACTACCTAAAAGGCTGAACTTTTGTTAAATCTTAAAGAAATGGTCCCAACAGCTTAACTTCATTTTTTTAATGATAGTTGAATGTGTTTTCCATAAAAATTTCTTTTAAAAAGAGGCAACTGATTAAAACAACAACATGGCCAGCACCATTATACAAGTAATGTTATTGAGTTTACAACTGAAGTTCTGTAAAATTGTTTCTAGATCGACACCCCGAGGAGCAACCCTGCATTATTATATCAACCTTTTCCCCTCCCCTAAACCGTCCCCAAACCTGTGACTTTTCCTTGCTGAGAAGCTGTCTCCCAGGTTCTGGTTACTAATGTTTGTTTTGACAGCCTAAAAGGCAAACCCCTTAATTACTAGCAAGCAATCAAGTTCCTGGGAAGCCTGATTTTTATTAGAACTAAACTCTCTTAGCTGATATACTGTCTTTTGCTACTCCTTGTATATTTTATAAGTTCAATTGAGAAAGCTTTCTGATTCAGATTTTCAGCTCACTGAACAGTTGCAGCATTGTAAGACCACATGTTGAGGGTCCCCTAATAAATATTTTATGAGCCAAGACGAGGTCTTTTCCTGGGGGACGATTCTTCTTCTTCATCTTCCTCTTCATCATCTGGATAATCCACTAAGCCAACCAAACTTCCCTATTGAAGAATTTAAAAATTTTTTCTTTAAACATATATAACAAAAAAGAGCTTTTAGTACAAATACAATCACTTGTAAAAATATCAGAAATCGTTTTTCTAAATCATATCAGAAATTAACATTTGAATTTGATAAAGGAACTGCTTGAAATTATGAACGTTTGAGTAGTAATTGGTAGCACTTGCAGTAACCCTTAACTTTTCTATCTGGTTCTTGGATTATTAATGATACTTCAAAACTCAATTCTGCAAAATTTTACTGTGGGAAAATGTCTACTTTTCCAAACAGTAGGGATAACAATTAATAACATTTGGAAGCTGGAAAGGACATTGGAGATGAACTGGTTCATTTCTCTAATTTCATTACCACAAGAAAGCCCCTTGTAGTCTTTGTTCATCTTGTGTATATTTCATCACTAAGTACACATTATTTTCATTGTGCTTTTGAAGTACAGCTTAAATGGCTGGAGATAAACACATGAAATGATTCCTATAAAATAATAAGTAAAACATTTAGGGCTAGCTCGCTGACCAAAAGAACAATAAGGATGAGGTAATTCGTGGTCTTGGCCTTTGATGAGTAACAGACCTCTGTGAAAATCCTAGAAAAACTCTGGGTACTCTCCAGAAAATTACACATCCACAGGGTTTCATTCATTTTGAGCCAATCCCATGAAAACTTATGTCCTATAGGTTAAGAGGGCTACTGTAAACACTGTATTTAGTTCAAACCCTTCAGACCTCTAGGAGATAAAACAAATACAACTGAAGTAACTCATACTTCATACCTGAAGTACTGAGGTATCGGGTTTTACCAGAATGTAACCAAATCAGTATAATATTAACCAACCAAAAAAAGGCCTCTGGGCAGCTAGAAACAGTTATCAGAAAGACTTATATACCTGTCTGAGAATCTGTTTCTCAACTTAATCACACACACATCTTAAGTCTGGATATGCAAGAAGCAATATGGCTAAATTGTTAAAAATAGGCTAACTGTAGGTCTGATGTCAAATTCTAATGACACCACGTTTTATGTAAAAAAAAACAAAAACAAAAACAAAACTTTGGGGCTGGGCTTATGCCTGTAATCCCAGCACTTTGGGAGATCGAGGCGGATGGGTCACCTGAGAGATAATGAGTTCAAAACCAGCCTGGCCAACATAGCAAAACCCTATCTCTACCAAAAATACAAAAATTAGCCTGGCGTGATGGCAGGCACCTGTAGTCCCAGCTACTCGGGAGGCTGAGGGACGAGCATCTCTTGAACCCAGGAGGTGGAGATTGCACCACTGCACTCTAGCCTGGGCAACAGAGCAAGACTCCATCTCAAAACAAAAAGAAAAACAAAAAAAAACACAAAACCTTGGGCAAGTGGTTTAATACCTCTGCCTCAGTTTGTCTGTAAAATTGGTATAGTAGTATTTAGGCCTCAGTGAACTATTTTGAAATTTAAATTGATGGCCAGGCGCAGTGGCTCATGCCTGTAATCCTAGCATTTTGGGAGGCCAAGGTAGGTGGATCACCTGAGGTCAGGAGTTGGAGTCCAGCCTGACCAACATGGTGAAACCCCATCTCTACTAAAAATAAAAAAATTAGCCAGGAGTGGTGGCGCATGCCTGTAATCCCAGCTGCTTCAGAGGCTGAGGCAGGAGAATTGCTTGAACCCGGGAGGCAGAGGCTGCAGTGAGCCAAGATTGCACCACTGCACTCCAGCCTGGGCAACAAGAGCAAGACTCCATCTCAAAAATAAATAAATAAATAAATAAATAGATAACCAAACATCTAAAGCACTTCAGCACAGTGCTTCGTATGTAGTTAGTGTTCAATAAGTGCTATTAGCTGCTATTACTACTATCATTTTTCTATTATTTTGTTTCTAAGCCAAACAAATTGGAAGAGAGGAAAAACAAGAAATAATTCTGGTATAAAAAGGCACCAATCTGATAATCAAAAAGATGACAGCAAAGTTACAAAGTTTTAATTATGCTTAGTATTACATATCATAACGTACAAACATTTGTATTCCAAATGGTTAACACTTAATTGTTTCTGCCCAAGATTAATAAATTGTCTGAAAAACTCACTTATACAATTTGAGTTTTACTTATATTATCTCTGCAAACTAACATACATTTAAAACATGTTTACAATAAAAATAATAAAAATGCAAAATATGAAATGTTGGAAGTAAAAAGGCCTGTAATCTAGAGATGCACTTTGTGAAGCTGATTCCATACTTTTAATATGTATCTAGAAATGTACTGTTTTAAAATAGCAGATTGAAATTATATTTACTCTTTTACAATCATGTTCATATAAAAAAAAGCTTTCGATGTCAGTACATAAAGTTCCATTTCATTGTTTTAAACCCTTGCATTCCATGGTATGAATATATATATATTTTTTAAGAGTCTTGCTCTGTCGCCTGAGCTAGAGTACAGTTGTGTGATCTCAGTTCACTGCAACCTCTGTCTCCAGGGTGCAAGCGATTCCTGTGCCTCAGCCACCCAAGTAGCTTGGGCTACATGCATGCACCACCATGCCTGGCTAACTTTTGTATTTTTAGTAGAGATGGGGTTTCACCATGTTGGCCAGGCTGGCCTTGAACTCCTGGCCTCAAGTGATCTGCCCACCTCAGACTCCCAAAGCCGAGCCACCATGCTCGGCTTCATCATATACTTTAATTCCTGAATTTCTGGTTGGACATTTGGGTTGTTTTTGCAGGGTATTTAGGTAAGAAATTTAAAAAGTGAATACCAGCAAAGAAAACAGGAGAAGAGAGAACAGCAGTTTAGAGTTGCCAAGGCATTTTTGGAAAAGAGAAATCAGAGGCAAGGCAAGTCATACAACAGGAAGAAGCCAAGAACTAAGTATTTGCAGAGGGATACAGAAACGAGAAACTGATTTGTCTTAAGAAAACCCCAGAAAGAAGCTAGGCAGTAAAGGCACCAAAATATTGGGGAAAGCAGGGAAAACAGTTTAATTATAGTAAAACAGACAACTGGGTCATTGATTCTACACCTCTGACAGCCAGGAGATTTCTGTTCCTCCACCATCACCAACTACAGAGAATTCTACATAGAAAATGACTCTATAAAGAATAAATTCTATAGAGAATGTAATGAACTTTACAGAGCAAAGGACCATATACTTCATGACTTTAGGCAAAGTAAAGGGCATGGGTAAGGCCAGGCTGAAAATGAAAGAATAAATTTAAATTTTGTATACTGAGCAGACACGCCTACCCCACAATAAGCTTTGCTATGTAGGCACTCAGAACACTAACAACCATTCTTATACTTACAAGGTGTAAGAGACTAGCTTTGTCTGTAAAAATTAGATGGCTTCACAGGAGTATGGGGGGAACTACAAACAACTAACACCTCCCGAAAAAAGCAGGGCACTACTCTCTAAGTCCATACCATAAAGTCAAGTTTTTAAAGTGTATAATTTTCACACACCATAAACTCACCATTTCAGAGCATATAATTCAGTGGTTTTAGTATATTCACAAGTTACGTAATCACCACCAATTCCAGAACATTTCCACCATTTCACCCACCAAAAAAAGTCCCCATAAACAGTCCTCATTCCCCCACCACCCCCCACACCACCCAGCTCTTGGCAACCACTAACCTACTTTGTTTCTGCGGATTTGCTTATTCTGGACAGTTCATATAAATGGAATCATACAATATGTGGTCTTTTGTGACTGGTTTACTTCAATTACCACAATGTTTTCAAAGTTAATCTATGCTTAGCATATCAGGACTTCATTCTTTTTTATGGCCAAATAATATCCACTGTATGAATATGCTACATTTTGTGTATCCATTCATCAGCTGAGAGACATTTGGGTTATTCTTACTTTTTGGCTATTATGAAAAATACTGCTATTAACATTCATATACAAGTTTTACAGTGGACACATGTTTTCAATTTTCTTACAATATATACCTAGGAAATGAGGTAGCTGGGTCATATGGTAACTCTGGGTCATATGGTACTCTGACTTTTTGGGGAACCGCCAGACTGTACTCCAAAGCTGCTACACCATTTTATTTTTATATATTTATTTTTTGAGACATTGTCTTAGAGACTCGAAAGTGCAGTGATGTGATCTCGGCTTATTGCAACCTCTGCCCGCTGGGCTCAAGTGATACTCCCACCTCAGCCTCCCGAATAGCTGGGACCACAGGCATGTGCCACCATGTCCAGCTAATTTTTGTAGACGGGGTTTTGCCATTTTGCCCAGGCTGGTCTCGAGCTCCTGGGCTCAAGCGATGCTCCTGCCTCGGCCTCCCAAAATGCTGGGATTACAGGCATAAGCCTATGCACCAGGCCTGTTGTGCTATTTTATATTCTCACTAGCAATGGGTGTCACAATTTACATTCTTACCAACACTTGTTTTTGTGCATCTTTTTTATTATAGCTATCCTAGAGGATGTGAAATGCTATCATATTGTGATTTTGACTTGCATTTCCCTTACTAATGATGCTAAACATCTTTCCACATGTTTATATGGGCCACTTGTGTATCTTCTTTGCAGAAATGTCTGTTAAAATCCTTTGTCCATTTTAAAACGGGGTTGTCATGCTGAGGTGTAAGAGTTCTTTATATATTCTGGATACCAGTTACTTATCAGATATATCATTTACAAATATTTCCTCCCATTTTGTGGATTGTCTTTTCAATTTATGGTAGTATCCTTTGGAGTACAAAATTTTTGAATTTTGAATGAGTCCAATTTATTATTTTTCTTTTGTCACTTGAGCTATTTGTGTCATATCTAAGAAATCACTGCCTAAATCCAAGGTCATAGATATTTATGCCTTTTTTTAAAAAAGAGTTTTAGACTTTTAACTTTTACATTTGGATCTTTTCATCCATTTTGAGAGGAGTTTTGGATATGATGTGAGATAGGGATCTAACTTCATTCTTCTGCATGTGGATATCCAGTTGTAACATTTATTGAAAAGGGTATTGTGGCCGGGCGCGGTGGCTCACGCCTGTAATCCCAACACTTTGGGAGGCCGAGGCAGGCAGATCACGAGGTCAGGAGATCGAGAACATCCTGGCTAACACAGTGAAATCCCATCTCTACTAAAAATACAAAAAATTAGCCAGGCGTGGTGGTGGGCACCTGTAGTCCCAGCTACTCAGGAGGCTGAGGTAGGAAAATGGTGTGAACCTGGGAGGCGGAGCTTGCAGTGAGCCAAGATTGCGCCACCGCACTCCAGCCTGGGCAACAGAACAAGACTCCGTCTAAAAAAAAAAAAAAAAAAAGAAAGAAAGAAAAAGAGTATTCTTTCCCCCATCAAATTGTCTTGGCACTCTTATTAAAATCTGCCTTATTTTTTTTTATGAAAGGAAATCCTAAGATCACCACTTGAGTAAAGTTTCCAATATGAAAGAAAGGATCAAAATAAATGACAACAATAACCTATGAAAAAGCCCTTTGGGAGGCCGAGGTGGGTGAATCACTTAAGATCAGGAGTTCCTGACGAGCCTGGCCAACATGGTGAAACCCCATCTCTACTGAAAATACAAAAATTAGCCAGGCATGGTGTCGCACACCTGTAATCCTAGAACATTATAATAAATGCACATTCTATACAGAAATACACACGTATATGAAATGATATATGCAAGTGGTCACATATTGCAGCAATGATTTTAACTACAAAAAGCTGCAAACAACTTTAATGCCCATCACATTGATAGGGGCTAATTATAAATTGTTATATCCATACTTTTAAGTTCTATGCAGGAAATCTCTAATGTCCTGATATGAAGAGCTCACCAAGATAAATTTGCTACACAAAGAAGCAAAATAACAGGTTTCTCTACTGTGAATCTGTGACGTGTTTATTTTAGTATCCACAAATGGCTTCTCATTCTGATTTTATATTTTTCCTCATAGAAAATATACGTTTTACAGTTACACAACTAAAGAAGTATTTTGTGTCTTTATGACATTTATATCATAAAAACAAATGTTTTAATTCATTAGTAGCTAATGTCTAGCCAGCCTTCAACTATAGCAATTAACACTGTTAGTGAAACTGGCTAAACCAAAGGGCAATTGGTGATAAAGAATCTGTCACCACTTAGGAATGTGGGCATGGTTTGTTAAGAAGGTTGAGAGCAAATTAAAGTGGTGCTTAACTTCTGTCAACTCCTGTCTTGCTTAATTTCAAAATTCTGTGTCTACAGTGATAGAGCAACTGTTTCCCAAGAACACTGTTTTTATCCCTATCTCTAAAAAGGATGTATAACAGATGTATTCTGTAATCTGCTGTTACTGTCAAGAAGAGTGAAAAAGGTGTTGGTGCTTGCATTTAATTTTGCTCATTCATAAGTAAATTATCTGAAAGGATAATAAAAACTCAGAGAAATATAACAGAAAATATAACAGGAAAACAAAATGAATAGTAGGATATAAAAGTAGGATAGAAAAGGTATGCAGTATTGACATATTATTAGAAATAGAAGACACAGCTAAAAGAGTTCAAAGGTATCTTTGTGGAGGGGAACAGAGGGACTGATTTTTTTCTAATATAAACTTGCCTTTTGGTAATATTTGACTTTTGAAAGTACATGCATGTATTACTTTGATTTAAAAAAAAAAAAAGAAAAAAAAGAAAAGCTAATATATACTGAGAAGGTGTCAAGCAGTGTTCTCAGCATTTTACATTTGTTAAATAATTTAATCTTCCCAACAAGCTTATAAAGTAGGTACTACCTTACCCCTTTTTAAAACAAGAAAGTCGGCCGGGCATGGTGGCTAACACCTGTTAATCCTAACACTGTGGGAAGCTGAGCAGGACTGCTTGAGACCAGCAGTCTGAGACCAGCCTGGGCAACATGGCAAAAACCCATCTCTACCAAAAATAGAAAAATTAGCCAGGCATAGTGGCATGCGCCAGCACTCCCAGCTACTCGGGAGGCTGAGGTGGGAGGATCAGTTGAGCCCAGGAGGTGGCGGAGGCAGTGAGCTGTGATCACACCACTGCACTCCAGGCTGGGTGACAGAGTGAGACTCTGTAACAACAACGACGACGACGACGACGAAGCAGGAAGGCAGGGAGCTTAAGGCCCAGAGAGATTAAATAACTTATACAAGGTGATACAGCTACAAAGAGGCAGAGCCAAGGTTTGAACCCAAACAATACAACCCTATGGCAAATATTCTTTTTTGAGCAGGGTCTCATTCTCTTGTTTAGGCTGGAGTGCAGTGGCAAGATCATGGCTCACTGAAGCCTCCACCTCTCAGGCTCAAACCATTCTCCTGCCTGACTCTTGAGTAGCTGGGACCACAGGTGTGTGCCACCACACCCAGCTAATTTTTTAATACTTTTTGTAGAGATGGGGTCTCACCTTGTTGCCCAGACTGGTCTTGGACTCCTGCGCTCAAGCGATCCTCCTGCCTTGGCCTCCCACAGTGCTAGGATACTGTGCCCAGCCCAAACATTCTTAATGTAGTGTCACAATATTACTCTAAATTGTCCCATCATAAAGTTGAAAACTAATTTTAAAATTTTCCAGTTGAAAAACATAAAATATGTTTCAAATACCGAATACCATGAAAATGCTATTGTCAAGAGCCTATCTCACTATACTACTGAATGAAAATTCTACATTTTTGTAAAATAAACTCAGACTTATATTTTGTGTTCCAAACAAGATGCATTCCTTTAATTAGGTATGTACTACCACGGTGTTTCTGCTTGTCTTTCTACCTTTATACAATAGTTGTCCCCTATTTATGCCTTTTTATTTTAAGCCACTCCTTTTTGGGGAAAAAGGATGATTTCATATAACATATGAACAAGAAAAATGTTTCATATAAAATTTAAACTTGTTTATAAAAAAAGTAACCAAGGGAAATACATTTGTTATAAGAACAACAGAAAGTCTAATATCCTTAACTAAAGATTCATCGACAATAATATAATCCAATTTGCAGAGAAGAGCAGATTCAAAAGGCTAATATTTAGCCTTACTACTAATAGAGTATACACGATTGGAAATGAGATATTATATACTGTCTCCCCTACCTAACTGGCAAATACTAAAAATAATTATAGCACTGGCAAAGCTGCAATTGGCCACGCACACTCATACACAGTTTATGGTAACATAAACTGGCATAGACTTTATGAAGATGAATTTGACCGTATGTGTGAAGACGTTCTACTACTAAACTATCCAAGAAAATAATTTAAAATGCAGTAACACTAAGTAGTCAGTGAAATATTAGAATCAACTTAAGTGCTCCAAAATAGAATGGGGGACAGGGAGGAAGGATGCTTACATTTATTATCATAAGCCTAAATAAAATGAAATTCTCTTTGAGAGGCCGAGGTGGGCGGAACATGAGGTCAAGAGATCGAGACCATCCTGGCCAACATGGTGAAACCTCGTCTCTACTAAAAATACAAAAATTAGCTGGGTGTGGTGGCACGCGCCTGTAGTCCCAGCTACTTGGGAGACTGAGGCAGGAGAACTGCTTGAACCCGGGAGGCGGAGGTTGCAGTGAGCTGAGATCACTCCACTGCACTCCAGCCTGGCGACAGAGTGAGACTCTGTCTCAAAAAATAAAATAAAATAAAATAAAATTCTACAATCAACATTTTGGTAACAGAAAAATTCTAAACAATTCATTGAAATTGTTTTGATTATCCAAATTTTTTTCAGTAAACATGAAAAAATCTCACAGACGGGAAAAGCAAAGTTTGTGTGTAATGCTGTTTCACCTACCTTGGTGGCTGTTACTGACGTAGGCAAGTTTGTGGTTTTGGAAGAGGATCCATTAGAAGTTGCTGGTGGTATCTGAGCCACTACAGATTTACTGTTTGTTCCATTAGCAGCACTGGCAGAGTGGGAGAAAGTAAATTTGAAGCCACCAGGAGATGTCCTTTTGGGAAGGTTTTCCTTGTCTTCACTTTCTTTTGCTAAAGCAAAAGTAAAATTTTGAACGTATATCAATAAATACTGCTAAGTCAAAACATCTAAAAACAGCAGTAATTAAAAAACTTATAAAACATTGCTGCCCGGGCATGGTGGCTCACGCCTGTAATCCCAACACTTTGGGAGGCTGAGGCAGGCAGATCACCCAAGGCCGGAGTTCAAGACCAGCCTGACCAACATGGAGAAACCCCGTCTCTGCTAAAAATACAAAATTAGCCGGGTGTGGTGGCGCATGTCTATAATCTTAGCTACTTGGGAGGCTGAGGCAGGAGAATCACTTGAACCTGGGAGGCAGAGGTTGTGGTGAGCCGAGATCGCACCACTGCACTCCAGCCTGGGCAACAAGAGCGAAACTCCGTCTCAAAAAAAACCAAAAAAACAAAAAAAAATAACACCAAAATTAATTGCCTTTGTTTCCTAAGAACTTTTGAAAAAGAACATGATGTGTACAGTGATGATATGGTCTGGCTCTGTGTCCCCACCCAAATCGCAAATCAAATTGTAATCCCCACATGTCAGGGGAGGGACCTGGTGAGAGGTGACTGGATCATGGGGGTGGATTTCGCCCTTGCTGTTCTTGTGATAGTGAGTTCTCACGAGATCTGGTTGTTCCAAAGGGTGGCACTTCCCCCCTTGCTCTCTCTCTCCTGCTGCCATGTAACACATGCCTTGTTTCCCATTCACCTTCCGCCACAAGTTTCCTGAGGCCTCCCCAGCTATGTGGAATTTTAAGTCAATTATACCTCTTTTCTTCATAAATTACAGTCTCAGGTAGTTCTTTAGAGCAGTGTGAAAACGAACTATACAGAAAATTGGTAACAGGAATGTGGTACTGCTATAAAGATACCTGAAAATGGCAGGGCGCAGTGGCTCACGCCTGTAATCCCAGCACTTTGGGTGGCTGAGGAGGGTGGATCACTTGAGGTCAGGAGTTCAAGATCAGCCTGGCCAACATGATGAAACCTATTCTCTATTAAAAATACAAAAATTAGCTGGGGGTGGTGGTGCACACCTATAATCCCAGCTGCTCTGGTGGCTGAGGCAGGAGAATTGCTTGAACCCTGGAGGCAGAGGATGCAGTGAGCTGAGATTGTGCCACTGCCCACCAGCATGGATGACAGAATAAGACTCCATCTCAAAAAAAAAGATACCTGAAAATGTGGAAGCGACTTTGGAACTGGGTAATAGACAGAGGTTGGAACAATTTGGAGGGCTTAGAAAAAGACAGGAAGATATGGGAAAGTCTGGAACTTCCTAAAGACTTGTTGACTGGTTTTGACCAAAATGCTAACAGTGATATGGACAATGAAGTCCAGGCTGAGGAGGTCTCAGATGGAGGTGAGGAACTTATTCGGAACTGGAGTAAAGGTCATACTTGGTATGCTTTAGCAAAGAGACTGGCGGCATTTTGCCCCTGCCCTAGAGATCTGTGGAACTTGAACTTGAGAGAGATGATTTAGGATATCTGGTGGAAGAAATTTCTAAGCAGCAAAGCATTCAAGTGGTGGCCTGGGCTGGGCACAGTGGCTCATGCCTGTAACACCAGCACTTTGGGAGGCTGAGACAAGCGGATCACGAAGTCAGGAGTTGGAGACCAGCCTGGCCAACAGGGTGAAACCCTGTCTCTACTAAAAATACAAAAATTAGCTGGGCGTGGTGGCACACACCTATAGTCCCAGCTACTTGGGAGGCTGAGGCAGGACAATCAGTTGAACCTGGGAGGCAGAGGTTGCAGTGAGCTGAGATCATGCCACTGCATTCCAGCCTGGGCAACAGAGAGAGACTCCATCTCAGAAAAAAAAAAAAAAAAAAAAAAAAAAAAAAAAAGAGGCCTTCTGGCGGTTTCTAAAAGCGTATGCTCATATGCATGAAGAAAGAGATGGTCTGAAATTAGAATTTATATTTAAAAGGGAGCAGAGCATAAAGTTTGGAAAACTTGCAGCCTGACCATGCAGTAGAAAAGAAAACCCCATTTTCTGGGGAGAAATTCAAGCTGGCTGCAGAAATCTGAATAAGTAACAAGGAGCCAAATGTTAATTCACAGGCCCAGAGGCCTAGGAGGGAAAAATGGTTTTGTGAGCTGGGCCCAGGGCCCTGCTGCTCTGTGCAGTCTTGGGACACCCTGCATCCCAGGTGCTGCAGCTCCAGCCATGGCGAAAAGGAGCCAAGGTACAGCTTGGGCCATGGCTTTAGAGCGTGCAAGCCCCAACTCTTGGTGGCTTCCATGTGACACGGGGCCTGTGGGGTAGAGGCAAGAACTGAGGTTTGGTAACCTCTGATTCTCAAACCACCTAGATTTCAGAAGACATATAGAAATGCCTGGATATCTAGGCAGAAATCTGCTGCAGGGGCAGAGCTCTTATGAAGAACCTCTACTAGGGCAGTGCGGAAGGGAAATGTGAGGTTGGAGCCCCCACATAGAGTCCCCACTGGGATACTGCCTAGTGGAGCCATGAGAAGAGGGCCACCATCCTCCAGACCCCAGAACAGTAGATCTACCAACAGCTTGCACCATGCACCTGGAAAAGCCACAGGCACTCAACTCTAGCCCATGAAAGCAGCCATGGGGGCTGTACCTGGCAAAGCCATAGGGGCGAAGCCAGCCATGGCCCTGGGAGCCTACCTGTTGTATCAGCATGCCCTGGATGTGAAACATGGAGTCAAAGGAGATTATTTTGGAGCTTTAAGATTTAAAGACTGCCCTGCTGGGCTTTGCACTTGCCCAGGGCCTGTAGCCCCTTTGTTTTGGCCAATTTCTTCCATTTGGAATGGGAGCATTTACCCAATGTCTGTACCCCCGTTGTATCTTGGAGGTAACTAACTTGTTTTTTATTTTATAGGATCACAGGCAGAAGGGATTTACTTTGTCTCATATGAGACTTTGGACTTGGACTTTTGAGTTAATGCTGGAATGAGTTATGGGGGACTGTTGGGAAGGCATGATTGGTTTTGAAATGTAAAAAGGACATGAAATTAGGGAGGGACCGGGGTGGAATGATATGGTTTGGCTCTTGTCCCCACCCAAATCTCATTGTGAATTGTAATCCCCAGGTGTTGGAGGAGATGACTGAATCATGGAGGCAGAAAACCCCCTTGCTATTTTTGTGATAGTGAGTTCTCACGAGATCTGGTTGTTTCAAAGTGTGTGGCACCTCGGCCGGGCTTGGTGGCTCATGCCTGTAATCCCAGCACTTTGGGAGGCCAAAGTGGGTGAATCATCTGAGACCAGGAGTTCAAGACCAGCCTGGCCAACATGGTGAAACCCCATCTCTATTAAAAATATAAAAATTAGCTGGGTGTGGTGGTACATGCCTGTAATCCCAACTACTTGAGAGGCTGAGGCAGGAGAATTGCTTGAGCCCAGGAGGCAGAGGTTGCAGTGAGCCGAGATCACGCCACTGCACTCCAGCCTGGGCAATGAGAAGGAGACTCCATCTCAAAAAGCAAACAAACAAACAAAAGTGCATGGCACCTCCTCCTTCACACTCTCTGTCTCCCGCTCCACCATGGTTAAGATATGCTTGCTTTCCTTTCGCCTTCGACCATGACTGTAAGGTTCTCGAAGCCTTTCAGCCATGTTTCCTGTTAAGCCTACAGAACTGTGAGTTAATCAAACCTCTTTTCTTCATAAACTACCCAGTCTTAGGTAGTTCTTTTTAACAGTATAAAACGAACTAATACAAGTGGTAAGTCTTTATTAGCTAGAATCTTAGAAATCTCAGTATTAGAAAGGACCTTACGGATCATAACAAAATTAGCCATTCTATGCTAGAACTCTACATTGTGGTATCTAGCACATACATCTAAAATCTCATTAGCTGTCTGACTCTTCCTTTTATTGTCTCCCTGTAGCTTCCACTCACTGACTCTACACTTCTTTACTCATGGTAAAAACCTAGTAATTTCTCTCACAAGTCAATATTCCAAATGCCTAAAGACAATGATCAAGTCCGTAAGTCCTAAATATTCCAGGTTCCTTTTTCTGTTTGTGTTATGACATAGGTGTCCAATCCCTTTTAACATCTGGTTATTATTTTTATATATGATTCTTAACAGCATCTCACTCAACACTGGATACAGAACTTCAAATATGGCTGTACTGCCTCTTTTGACAATAGTCAGGGCAGTACCTGTAATGAGTAAAGGCAGAAGAATTTGTCTAGCAAAGGTACCGATTTCTTAGGATATTTTAATAAGCTTTTTGCTCCGCCACGCTGAGGCAAATAAAACTTATCAAACTAATGAGTTGAAAATGAGTACGAACAATAGTTTCAAAGAAAATGTAATAAATGAAATTAATTTTCTGAGAATTGTCTTTAGAAAATGTCACATTCAAAATCACAAACTTACATAATAAATCCAAGAAAGGCTTTTATCTTCTAAGACATAAATTTTTTCTTTTGTTTTTGAGATAAGGTCTTTCTCTGTTATTAAGCTGGAGTGCAGCGGCAGCTCATGGCTCACTGCAGCTTCGACCTCCTGGGCTCAAGTGATCCTCCAGCCTCAGCCTTCCTAGTAGCTGGGACTCCAGGTAAGTGCCACTGTGCCCATTTAATTTTTGTGTTTTTTTGTAGAGACAGGGTTTTACCATGTTACCCAGGGTGGTTTGGAACTCCTGGGCTCAAATGATCCACCTGCCTCAGTCTCCCAAAGTGCTGGGATTACAGACGTGAGCCGCCATGCCCAGCAAGGTATAAATTTTAATTAAATATTTAAATGATATACTCAGGGCAGTATTCCAAAAAATGGTAATTCCTCAGGCCACAGAAGTAAAATGGTTAGTTCTTTTGAAAGATATATTACTAGCAAGATCTTCATTTTATAAAACAAGTTAAGCACATCTGAAAGCCAGGGGAAGTTTTACTTTTTCACTTCTCTTGTTAGTATATCTTTATGTAACTTTTGTAATTTTAAAATTTCAAAGAGCAAAGTTACTTGTTTGAGCTCAGTTTATCAGCTGTAAAAGACACAGGCAAAGTACTCTAGAAGGTTTCTATGAAGCTATATGGTCTCTGTTATTACTGAGAATTTCAGTATAGAAATAAAGCCAAGACTATTCACAGAAAGAAAAGTATAAGTAGATAATTCAATTTCTAACTAGCAAATTAACAGCATTACAAAATAGCAAGTTTGAAGAGAAACATTTTAAACATGAAAAGAATTCCCAGACAGATTTGGAAAAAGTACATAATTTTAAAAGAACACAGTTTGGTATAAAATTTTTGTCTTTCTTGCTTTGTAAACTATAAACAAACCTTCACAAAGCAACAAAATAATTTCTGCACTAAATAAGAGGGTACACTGTGCAAAAATTCCGAATTTTAATACCTTTTTTAGTCTCCATAAACTTTTCATAATTATCTGGAAAATCATCTTCTGGCTTAGGTTTTTCCACTGGTGCCACAACTGCTTTTCCTTCCTCTTCTTCATCTTCATTAAACCACATTTCTTCATCCTCTTCCAAGGCTTTTGCATCTCTGCGAAATCTGTTACTACGCAATATAGATGGTACACTGTAAGAAATATATCACAAATATTGAGTAATGATTTAAAGTTCATCATCAGATTGAACTGAAGGAAAAATATGTATAACCAAGATGAACTGAAGTAATTTTAACTGACTATAATTTATATCAAAATAATCTCTGTAATGATAGAAGATGTAGCCAGAGAACACTCCAAAATATTTTAGGATGTTGTAAATTAAACTAAATATTCTTCGTAAGTTACAACATGGAGTAGTAATTCAACATATAAATGATATGGGGTAGGGGGGACGCCTTACCCTCCTATTCAACTCTATGCTATCCAGTGATGGAAAGAAAATTCCTCAGTAAATTTCACATGGAAAATCTGAACTACAAACAATTTTGGACACAGTTTTGTAGGCTATAAAAGCAGTATACTTAAACAATACCTGTTCAGTTTCTGATTTTGTCTGTCTTTTTCTTGCTCATATTTAGTCTTCAATCCTTTGAATGTCTGAACATATTCAATCGATTCAAGTGCTTTATAAAAGTTTTCAACTATATGGGCAGTAAGAGACTTGATATCTTCCTGTATAAGCACAAAATTTACATTTAAAATATAATACAATGCTTGTTAGAAGAAAAACTTTAAAATTTTGTTTTGTAGTTCTAAAGCTGATCAAAAAAGGTTTTTCAAAATCACCTTCCAAAATGTAATGTCCTGGTTTCTTTACACATGAGTCAGGACTGCACAGAAAACTTGAAAAAAAAGGAGAAGCAATTTACTGGAGTCCTTTTATAGGACTATAAAGAGCATTCGAAAAGTAAATAGATTTATTTTACATCTTCTATTTTTTGTATATATATATATATATATAGCAGTTTACAATTTAAAAAGCACTTTTACATAAAATTTCATTTGATCTTCACAACAATTCTATGAGATAGGTTTTATTATTCCCATTTTAGAGAAAAACCAAAATTGAGGCTCTAAGAGAGGCTGGATGGTTTGATCCAGAGCACACGGCTGGTTAGAGGGCAGATGTTAAAATTACATTTTCAAAATACTCACGGTGATGGATACCCCAAATACCCGGACTTGATCATTACACATTCTATGCATGTAAAAAATAAATACATGTACCAAATACATCTGTATAATATTATGTATTAATAAAAGAAAAACATATTTTTCAACAAACAGGTCTTATTTAATGACTTCCTGTTTAACTGCTATCAAAATGGGATATGGTTGTGGTGGTTTTCTTTCTGGTACATTTGTTAAGTTTTCAAATGAGCCTAACTCTGCCACATATATCATATAGGAGCTGGCAAAGGCTTGATGACAAAGAGATCTCTCTCAAGCCTTTCCCACATCAGAGGCTGGCTTTCACACACACAGAAGAAGAAAAAACAACAGAGGACACGTGTTACCTAAATAATAAGAAGCAAAGACTTCTCTGACTATATTATACACACAGATCTGATAAACTATCTGGAATTCTACTTGTCTATTCCTATAGTCTTCCAATAGTATAATATCTGTGAAATAAACTAATTGATAGTAATAACTTCTAAATTCTAAACCATCACTGCAAATGCATGCATGCCCAGTAGGCTTATTTTAAAAAAAAAAATTAAAGTTGTGATTGAGGACTTTACAGATAACACTACATAGTAAGAAACACACAGGTCATTTCTTGAAAAGATACACCATAATTTGGTTGCATTATGGATTTTAAGTCTTAAAACTAGTTCTCCTGTACTTCTCAATTGAAAAAAAATACGCAAATCAGAAATTAGAAACCTAGGTAATGGCTCTATGTTATATGTGAAACGAAAAAATACATTAAGTTTTGGGGCACAAGGTACACAAATCGACCACTCGAACTTATTTTCACAAAAACAATTCCATCATGGGCATAGGGACAGGGTTGTAAACTCTACCATTTGCTTTATCTGTATCTCACCAAAATTTTAAAGGAGAATAATATAAAGTAAATAAAATATAAAGCTTTGATTTATTGCAGCAGTACAATGGGAACTAGTGAGCTAGTTAACCATGTTCCTTCTTTTACCAGGTTAAAGACTTCTATCCTCTTCATCCTTTTAAAAATCATATACTTGGCAATTGACCACTTTTAGAAAAACAATCCAGTCAGCCAAATAATCTTCATATGAGAATAGCATGTTATCAGCAAAAATCTGACTTGTAAGAAATAAAACTAGATAATGAATTTCTAGCTTGGACTTTGATTTTTCAAATTATTTCCAGCCAGGTGCAGTGGCTCACACCTGTAATCCAACACTTTGGGAGGCTGAGGTGGGAGAACTGGTTGAGCCTAGGCGTTTGAGACCAGCCTGGGCAACAAAGGGAGACCCCATACATAAAAAAAAATTACCATTAGCCAGGCACTTTAGTGCATGCCTGTAGTTCCAATTACTCAGGAGGCTGACGTGGGAGGATCTGCTTGAGCCCAGGAGGTCGAGGCTGCAGTGAACTGTGATTACATTATTGTACTCCAGCTTGGGCAACAGCATGAGACCTTGTCTCAAACAAAACAAAACAAAAAATAAAACCCAAATTCTTTCCAACTATGTGGCCATTTCCTCAGTGGAATGATTTCGGTGTGTTTAAGTACAGGTGAAGTAAATTTGTTGTACTGGTTCTACAGTTATCTGTTGCATTCCTGTTATTCACATAGACTGCCCTCCAGATTGTTTATGACAAATCTTCTGTTGCCTAAAACTAAGCTGGGACAAAGCTTCAAGTTCTGACTGGTCCTGATTGTGCTACTATCCAAAAGGATGTTCTTGAATAGGTCACTTAATAACTTTGGGTGTCTTAATTTCCTGATCTATAAAATACG
The DNA here is from genome assembly GCF_000001405.40 of Homo sapiens. Classification (NCBI taxonomy): domain Eukaryota; kingdom Metazoa; phylum Chordata; class Mammalia; order Primates; family Hominidae; genus Homo; species Homo sapiens. Next base: position 55,567,323 of record NC_000002.12, read on the forward strand.
GTAATTGGAGTAGTCCATCTAACTTCCTGATCTCTTTAACTTAAAATTCTAGGATTCCATCCTACCTTTTATGCATGTTGTATTAATGTCTACCAAATGATTTTTTTTTTTGAGACAAGAGTCTTGCTCTGTCACCCAGGCTGGAATGAAGTGATGCAATCTTGGCTCACTGCAACCCCACCTCCTGGATGCAAGTGGTTCTTGTGCCTCAGCTTCCCAAGTGGCTGGGACTACAGGCGTGTGCCATCACACTCAGCTAATTTCTGTATTTTTAGTAGAGATGGGGTTTCATCATGTTGGCCAGGCTGGTCACGAACTCCTGACCTTAAGTGATCAGCCTGCCCAGGTCTCCCAAAGTGCTGGGATTACAGACGTAAGCCACCACGCCCAACCCCAAGTGAATTATTTTTCCATCTTTCTATTCTTTTTAAATCATTACCTCTACAATAAAAATATCACCTTTTCCTAAAAGATCACGTGAATAAGGCATGATTGACTGAAATGTCCACATACACCAAATGAGATCATGAAACATTTGGCCAATAAAAATGGAACTGAGAAAATCAAGTAAATATGGGCTGAAAGACTATGCTGAATTTCACTTTTATATTTCACAATTAAAAATATTAGCGTTAAAAAATATCAGTGTCAAAAGTAAAAACCACTAAACTATAACCATGTGGCAAATAAGAATTAAAAAGCTACTGATTTTTAAAATTTCTGTTTATTAGAATAGATTCTAAGACACATGGAATATATAATTTCAGGGGTGAAAAGGGAATGAAGTCACTTTGCTTACATGTAATTCTTTTACATAAAAAATTATTTACATATAATTACATATAATAACAGCTGTTTTATATAAACTTACCACTCTTATAAATTCAAACAACTCAATAACAGCTGAATTCAACAGATTATACCGAGTTCCATTATCCAGAAGTGCATTTATAACTGGCTCAAAAAGATTTCCCTTGGTGATGTAACGATTATAAAATTCATCTTTAAGTCCAATTATCCGCCTCATAAAGCGAAGGGCACCTAATTAAAAATAATATAGGGAATAAGTTAATGATCTTACTAAAATCAATTATTATACAGGTGTTTTTCCACCATAAAGCAATGTATATGCTCTTCTAAAATGAAAAGTAAAACTGTGTATAAAGTAAAAAGTAAACTCCTCTAAAATGAAAAGTAAAACTGTCTGGTAAAACTGGACTTTGAGGAAAATAGAGCTGCAGAGGATCGCTCAAAACCTGTACAACTTTGTAGCCAGAACTAACAACAACAACAACAACAAAAACAGTAATTGGAATCTAGGAGATAAACTACCCAGGCAGGTAGCTCTGTGACAGAGATTTAAAAATATGCAAAATCCATAGACTGCAAATGCTAGCAGTATTTACAGCAGTGCTGGTGGATGCTGAGACAACGCAGTGAAGGCAGCTCAGAATCAGTGGGGGCACTGTCATTAAGGTGGGCACAGGAGTGGGCAACCCACCATGAGCTAAGATTGCCTTGCCTCTCTGAGGGAGGGAGCTTTAGAGGCAAAAGCTTGTTTTCAGTTTTCTGAAAATACAGCTAAAGTGTGGGCAGCAAGCCACCCAGGTGCCGAGGCAAGAGACTGAGGGCACGAGCTGTTCTAGTATAATAAAATATATAAAATAAGAATAGTTATACTAGATATAGATCTTAGATATGATTATATATGAATATCATTAATCATTAGTTTGCAGTAATTATTCTTTATTCCAATATTATAATAATCCTCGCTCTACAATCATAACCTAGGAAAAACCAGGCCATGCAGAGATAGGAGCTGAGGGTACATACTGAGAAGTGACCAAAAGACCGGACAGGGCCACCAGAGGGCTCCTTGGTCTAGCGGTAACACCAGCGTCTGGGAAGATGCCCGTTGCCAAGCAGACCATGGTCTAGCGGTAGCGTTAGTGTCAAGGAAAAACACCTGCTACTTAGCAGACCGGGAAAGGGAGTCACCCTTTCCCTGGGGGAGTTTAGAGAAGACTCTACTCCTCCACCTCTTGTGAAGGGCCTGACATTAGTCAGGCCCACCTGCAGTTATCCAGAGGCCTAATTGTTTCCCTGTGATGCTGTGCTTCAGGGGTCACGCTCCTAGTCCACCTTTATGTTCCATCCTGTACACCTGGCTCTGCCTTCTAGAAAGCAGTAGCAAATTAGTGAAAGTACTAAAAGTCTATGATAAGCAGAAATAATGGTGTAAGCTATCTCTCTCTCTTTCTCCTCTCTCTGCCTCGGCTGCCAGGCAGGGAGGAGCCCCCTGTCCAGTGGACACGTGACCCATGTGGCCTTACCTATCAATGGAGATGGTTCACACTCCTTATTCTGCCCCTTTGTCTTGTATCCAATAAACATCAGCGCAGCCTGGCATTCGGGGCCACTACCGGTCTCCGCGTCTTGGTGGTAGTGGTCCCCCGGGCCCAGCTGTCTTTTCTTTTATCTCTTTGTCTTGTGTCTTTATTTCTACAATCTCTCATCTCTGCACACGGGGAGAAAAACCCACCGACCCTGTGGGGCTGGTCCCTACACTAAAGAGGCTCCTGATGCCAGATGCCAATCACATAAAGGAGATCTAAAGGTTTTTTACTTCTCTGATGAAGACTATTTCCACTCACACTATTCTACTTCTCCTTGCCTTGAAAAAAACATTTGTGCTGAGGCAGGCAGATCACGAGATCAGGAGATCGAGACAAGCCTGGCCAACATGGTGAAACCCCGTCTTTACTAAAATACAAAAAATTAGCCAGGTGTGCTGGCAGGCGCCTGTAGTCCCAGCTACTCGGGAGGCTGCGGCAGGAGAATCACTTGAACCCTGGAGGTGGAGGTTGCAGTGAGCTGAGATCGTGCCACTACACCCCAGCATGGGTGACAGAGTGAGACTATGTCTCAAAAAACAAACAATTTGTGAACCAATCCTATCTCCGTATTATAATTACATCATTCTCTTATGTACCAATTGCTTACAAGCTATTTTACCTGGCTAAATATGCACTGTGGCAGATCAGAATGTATTTGTTAAAAGTAAAACAGAGTAATGAATAAGAAGTACAACTTGACTTCACATTTTAGGACACTGAAAAGAAATCTCCTTTTTAACTCGTGACTAGCTAAATAAAGCTTACTAAATTTAGCAATATTACTGCTAAAAATCTTATGGAACAGGAAGGACTATAATTTCAATCCTTTATTTTTATATGTTGATCCTTTAACTTGTATCCTTTCCCCTAAGTAGTTTATTCTACAGATACCACTAGTCAAATCTTCAAAACACAAGGCTTCTGATTTTATAAGTCATTTTCTCATTCCAACCCTCTGTTCATAGATGAAACTCATTAAACAAAGAACTTGTGCCTGTCACAAGAGGTTCTAAACATTATCTGAGAATAAAACAGAAATAGGCCACATAAGGTATAAATGTTAACTGTAACACCAAACAAGTATGGGGAGACGTGTTAGACTTACAATCTTCCCTCTTTTTGTGGCAGGATAAGAAATGGTTTACTTAAGATGCAAAAGACTGAAGCACTGGCAAGTTTGTGAGCAAAGAGGCACAATTCTACACTGCTGGTAAATGAACTGACATGTACACAAAACTACAGTTACAACAGCACTGCTTATAATAATAGAAATCTTGAAACAATATAAACATTTAAATATTGGAAATTGTGGCTGGGTGCAGCGGTTCACACCTGTAATCTCAGCCCTTTGGGAGGCTGAGGAGGGTGGATCATGAGGTCAGGAGTTTGAGACCAGCCTGGCCAACATGGTGAAACCCCATCTCTACTAAAAATACAAAAAATTAGCCAGGTGTGGTGGCAGGCACTTGTAATCCCAGCTACTCGAAAGGCTGAGGCAGGAGAATCACTTGAAACCGGGAAGCAGAAGCTGCAGTGAGCTGAGACTGTGCCACTACACTCCAGCCTGGGCAACAGAGCAAGACTCTGTCTCAAAAAAAAAAATGGAAATGCATTCAATTGACATGTTCCTATTAAGGGAAGTATTCTGCAGTCATCGAAAAGTACTATTTAATGAGCCAAATAGGAAAATCTGTCTTAAGAACATCAAACATTCCAAAATTAATATAAAAATATAATGTAATTCCAATCAAAATGAACTGGATACAACCAGTTATCATGAAAGAAAAAAATGTCTAAGAACAACCAAGAAAAGTATGAAAAACAAAAGTGAAGGGGTCTCAGTAGGTATTAAACCTTACAAGAGACACTATAATGCCTGGCATAATATAATAAACACAGGTTTTTTGTTTGTTTGTTTGTTTCTTGAGACAGAGTCTTGCTCTGTTGCCCAGGCTAGAGTGCAGTGTTGCGATTTCAGCTCACTGCAACCCCCGTCTCCCGGGTTCAAGTGATTCTCCTGCCTCAGCTTCCTGAGTAGCTGGGATTACAGACATACACCACCATGCCTGGCTAATTTTTGTAGTTTTAGTAGAGACAGTTATATTGCCCAGGCTGCTCTCGAACTCCTGACCTCAGGTGATCCACCCGCCTTGGCCTCCCAAAGTGCTGGGATTTACAGGCGTGAGCCACTGCGCCTGGCCAACACTGGTACTTTTACATTTGGTGAAATTAAATGACTGTCCAGAAATAAAACAAAAGTATATATATGTTAACTTATTTAACAAAAATGGTATTTCAATTCAGAAGGAAAGAGGAAAGGTATGGTTGCCTTAATAAAGGTGCTGATACTGTTGGCTATGTATCTAGGAAACACTCATTTCAAACACTCTCATTTCAAAGTATATGTGCAAAAACAAATTTCACATGTGTTACATACATAAATGTAAAAAAGGAAATAAAGATATTAGAAGAAAGTGAGAATATCTGCATAATCTTAGGACATAAGACTTTCCTAAGCAAAACAAAAAACCCAAAAGTCATAAAAGGAAAAGAAAGACATTTTTGCCATCATAAGGAAATTTTAAAGTTATCTGGAAAACAATACTACAAATAAAGGCAAAGACAAAAGACAATGAAGATGGACATTTTCTCCTCAAAACATGATAAATTGTTAATATCTCTAATATACAAAAAGCTCTAAGAAAAAGATAACTGGCAATTCACAACAGATAAAAATGCAAAGTACACTAATATATGAAAAGATGCTGTCAGGGAAAATGCAAATTAGAATAACAATGAGATACCACATTTTTCAGTATCAGATTGATAACATTTTAAAATTAGTAACACTGAATGCTGGGACAATGTCAAAGTGCTTCAATTTTGGCGGAAGTAATCTGGCAGCTATATGGTAAATTAAAACTTAGAGATACATTAAAAAGTATAAAACAGATAAATATTTTCTCTTACCAATCCCATTATTGAGAATCTATCCTATAGAAAGAAATAAATCAGTACTTAAAAGATTTATGTACTAGACTATTTACCACAGTGAGATGTGGAGTGGCAAGAAAGCAAAAACAATCCTGTAATTTATCCACTGGAGAATGGCAGAAGAATCTGTGGAAGAGCCATACTATAAAATCTTACTCAGCTATCTCCAGGAATAAAATTAGTCTATACAATATTGATTAATCTAGAGTAGTATTAGTGGGCTGAGAAATGTGTTGGTATGATACTGTTTTGTAAATATAAAAAACACAAAAAAATCCTCTATACATGTGTGAATATGTTTATTACATAAATTGGTACAGGTATGAAAAAAAGAAATAATGCAGACAGTTAACACTGGCTATTTTAAGTCCATAAAAATAAAGATTAGGGAGATTAACATTTTCTCTATACATTAAATTAAATGTCTATATTTAAAATATAATTTTTATGGTCAGAATAAAACCACAAAGTACTTTTCATTTGGAGGGAGGATGTTTCTTTCTCTGCTTGCAGGTGAAATTATGAAGGTGACAGTTTATAGTCTGCTAAAAATCAACATTGATGCAAATATCAGGATAATTATAAAGAGTGACTGACTACTAAATGACAGTTTGATGAAGTAGATGTAAAAAAACAGCAGGACTGGTTCTGTTAGTAAAATGCTGTCACTGCACATGGTAATGTATCACAACAAAAGTTAGGCTCATTAAATCTAAATGTGAGCAATATGTGGGTGGGAAAATCACTACAACCTAGTCCTCTTGCCCTTTAAATAAGAACAAAAGAATAGGACTTCTCACAATCATCTCATTCATAGAATATACACTGCTAATAAATAACTTCAAATGGGTAACTTCAGTTTTATCTCTATTAAAAATGTTGCTCCTTAAAACATTTTATACTTACACAAGGCCAGAAAAGTGTGCTTTGAATTCATCAAGACCAAGACTCTTCTTAGCAAGTCCTTGTTCATAATATAGTTTTTTATGTGATATGTGTGATGTTCCACACAAAATGTGAGTAACTCTAAAATTAAGGCAAGTAGCTGTGCTGTTTGATAATTATCTACAAAAGAAAGTAATCTCATGAAAATAAATATTGAATATATCTAAATAAAGAATAAATAAAGCTTACATCCTATATGTTATAACAAAATCTAAACTGTATTTCCTCCTTTTTTTTTTTTTTTTTTTTGAGACAAAGTCTCACTCTGTCACCCAGTTTGGAGTGTGGTGGTGTGATCATGGCACATTGCAGCTTCCACCTCCCAGGCTCAACTGATCCTCCCACCTCAGCTGCCAGAGTAGCTGGAACTACAGATGTACGCCACCATGCTAGCTAATTTTTTTTTTCAAGTTTTTGTAGAGATGGGGCCTCACTATGTTGTCTGGACTGGTCTCAAACTCCTGGACTCAAGCGATGCTCTCACCTGAGCCTCCCAAAGTGCTGGGATTACAAGTGTAAGCCCCTGCACCTGGCCTATTTCCTCCATTTTCATATCCATTTAAAAGGCTGTAGATTTTTACTTTTTCATTAGGCAGACTCTCCAGAAGCATATTATCAGTTTTACCTACTAGATAACTAAGACTTATATTTGCATAAAATATGAAATACAGAAAGAAAGGCAATAAAAATATATGAACATGATAATAATACCTTGATGGCACTGAGGAGTTCTTGGTAATGTTTCTGTAATAAATGCTATATTATTAATATTAATAAATCTATAAAAGGGCCCATTGTTAAAAAATACTTAAAACTTTTTGCCTAAAGTGGCTCAGTGCAAATTTCTCAAGAAAAATTATACGCTTTTAGAAAAGACATTTTAAGAAAAGGATATTTTTGGCTGTTTGAATATCAAGTAAAAAATATTACATCAAGATTCTTTTTTTTTTTTTTGATACAGAGTCTTGCTCTGTCGCCCAGGCTGGAGTGCAGTGGCGCGATCTTGGCTCACAGTAAGCTCCATCTCCTGGGTTCACGACATTCTCCTGCCTTAGCCTCCCGAGTAGATGGGACTACAGGCACCCGCCACCATGCCCAGCTAATTTTTTTGTATTTTTAGTAGAGATGAGGTTTCACCGTGTTAGCCAGGATGGTCTCGATCTCCTGACCTCGTGATCCACCCGCTTCAGCCACCCAAAGTGCTGGCATTACAGGCGTAAGCCACTGCGCCCAGCCTGATTCTTAAACATGATTTAATATAATTTCATATACAACTTCTTTTTTTTTTTTTTTTTTTTGAGACGGAGTCTCACTCTGTAGCCCAGACTGGAGTGCAGTGGTGCGATCTCGGCTCACTGCAAGCTCCGCCTCCCGGGTTCACGCCATTCTCCTGCCTCAGCCTCCCAAGTAGCTGGGACTACAGGCGCCCGCCACAACGCCCGGCTAATTTTTTTTTGTGTTTTCAGTAGAGATGGGGTTTCACCGTGTTAGCCAGGATGGTCTCGATCTCCTGACCTCATGATCCGCCCACCTCGGCCTCCCAAAGTGCTGGGATTACAGGCGTGAGCCACCACGCCCGGCCTATTTACAACTTTTAAAATATCAACTCACGATGTCCATAGAGAGGGACCTACTGAATAAACTTGCATTTTTTCTTTCCCTGAGGCTTTGGTTGATACATTCATGAAATGATTTTGAACTGCATCCTGAACATCAAATTTTAATTTATGTCAAGGGCTCACATGGACAATCATGCACCACCCATATTATAAGTGCTTTAGACAAAGAAATATTTTCTTGTTGTTTGAGACAGGGTATCACTATGTCACCCAGGCTGGAGGGCACTGGTGCAATTTCGGCTCAATGCAGCCTCAACCTCCCAGACTCAAGTGATCCTGCCACCTCAGCCTCCCTAGTAGCTGGGACCACAGGGATATACCACCATGCCCAGTATATTTTTTGTAGAGACGAGGTCTCACTATGTTGCCCAGGCTGGTCTCTAACTCCTGGGCTCAACCAATCCTCCTGCCTCGGCCTCCCAAAGTGCTGAGATTACAGGTGTGAGCCACCACGCTTGGCTAGACAAGGAAATATTAAGCTGTAAGGAAATTATAAAATCACAGGCTTACGGAATTTTTAAAAAAATGACATCATCTAGTACAACTATTTTATTTGAGATTATATACATAAATATTTTGGGGAACTACAATGCTATTGGAAATAAATTAGCATTGTAATAACAGAATGACCATCACATATAAATACACAAAATAAAATTCTGATATTTCAAGGACTGTTTCTACTTTAAATGCAAGTAAAGAGTTTCACTTGCTCCAGACCAATTGCTCTAACAGCCAGTACCACAGCCAAAATTTGAACTAGTCCCTCATCATTAAAACCAATTCCTGGCCAGGTGCAGTGGCTCATGCCTGTAATCCCAGCACTTTGGGAGGCCAAGGTGGGTGGATCGCCTGAGGTCAGGAGTTTGAGACCATTCTGGCCAACATGGTGAAACCCCATCTCTAATAAAAATACAAAAAAATTAGTTGGGCGTGGTGGTGCACACCTGTGATCCCAGCTACTTGGGAGGCTGAGGCGGGAGATGGTTTGAACCCAGAAGGTGGAGGTTGCAGTGAGCCGAAATTGTGCCACTGCACTCTAGCCTGGGTGACAGAGTGAGACTCTGTCTCAAACAAACGAAAGCAATTCTTTATTTCTCAATTCCCAAATTTTATTACAAAATATTTTTTAACCTTGACCCTCAATGCTGTATGTGGAAATTAAGTTTAAAAAAACAAAAACAGGCCGGGCGCGGTGGCTCACGCCTGTAATCCCAGCACTTTGGGAGGCCGAGGCGGGTGGATCACGAGGTCAGGAGATCGAGACCACCCTGGCTAACACGGTGAAACTCCGCCTCTACTAAAAATACAAAAAATCGGGAGGCTGAGGCAGAAGAATCGCTTGAACTCAGGAGGCGGAGCTTGCAGTGAGCCGAGATTGTGCCACTGCACTCCAGCCTGGGCGACAGAGTGAGACTCCATCTCAAAAAAAATAAAAAAGAAAAACAATGAACTACAGTGTTAAACAAATGTCTTGTCTTCATCTTTATAACGGGGACAAGAAATTACTTGTATCTCTAAATAGTCCAATCTCTAAACAGCCTCCTTATTTGAAACTGGCTCCCCTTTGAGATTTGATGAGGCTGGCAGAAAAGGTATGGGACGGTAGGTGCACACAGCACATGTCTTTATTAGTATCAAGCCCATACCTACTATGCCTATTCTAAGTAGAAACAACTGCTTTTAGACTCAGATTCATGAACAATAACCATAAAGTGGTCATGAAAATTAGTTGCAAAGTAATTGGTTTTAGTTTACTACATTTCAAAAATAAGAACTAAATCCTCAAATTTCAGACAATGCCTTCTCATAACAACATCAGAAAACAAGCTATAAATTTTCAGGGAAAAACAACAGAATTCCAACTCGTTTTCTATTTTTAATATTGGAGATAGTGGAATTACAAAAGTAAATTTCTTCTTGGATTTTGTTTTTATGCCAAAATATGCTTTTCTTAGCCTTATATAAGTGCATTACACTTAGAGTAGAAAAAAGTTTATAATTTGCATGTATTCATAAAGTATGAATTCATACTTACCGGGACAAATTGTGTTGTTTTTGTTTGATCCAACTATATTATCTAATAAAAAAATTAAAAATTAAAATAAAATACTTCAGTAATAATATCCCAGATTTCCCTAGTACTTTATAATATACAATGCATGTCTTCAATCATAATCTCCTTTTACCCTCAAAATAACCATAAAGACTTGGTTGCTTCAGCAAAATTATAACTATATCTGCAATCTTTTACAAAAGTGGATGCAGATGTGGAATTATTAAAAGACAACATAGCATAAATATTCTGATAAAAAGTAAGATTACAACCAGAGATAAAACTGACATATCTTCTTTTACCTTCTCCTATTCATCATTCAACAATTAGGGTATTTCTCTTCATCTCATTTTTGTTTTACTATTTTTAATTTTTTAAAATAACATTTGCATTTGATTATCCATTATACATCTAATTTTTAAAAACAGAAAATGCAGGAATTTTTAAAACTCCAGAATAATGAATGTGTTTATGCTTTAAATTAAAAAAAAAACTCAATTAAGTAGGCCATTATAAATAAGTTCCAATTTCTAGGAATACATTCTAGAGCACATCAAGGCACATGTGCACAGGGAAACACAAGAATGTAACTGGAGCATTATTTGTAATAGCAAAAAGCTAGAAACAAATGCACATTAGAGGCAGAATGGCTGAATTACAGCATCCTCATAAGAGAGGATTATGTAGGAGTTAAAAATAAATAAGAACTCTATTTCAATATGAATTAGATCAATATGAACAGGTATCAATACGAATAGATCTCAAAAATAACACTGGATAAAAAATATGCAGAATAATATGTATGACAGACATTAAATTTATAGCAACTTTGAAAACAAGAAAAATAATACCGTATATACACATCATAACAACATAAGTAAATATAGGAGTGATACACTCCAAATTCAGCATACCTTGAGAGATGGAGGAAGAGGGGGTAGAATGGGAATGGGAATGTGAAGGGGTACATATGAAACTCCAACTATATCTGTAATGTTTTAAAAAAAAATCTGAAAAAAAATATGGCAAGTTAGTTTTGATAAAGCCAACAGGGAGTATATGAGTGTCTGTTATATTATTATCTATATATTTCTGTAAGCTGGAAGTGTTTTATTAAAATGAACATAAAAAATGCATTATTTTCATTTATATAAATGGAACCATTCTGCAAGAAAACCCTCTGCGATGTGCTTTTGTACCCATTCACCTTGATATTTTGGGGAATTATTCAGTTGATACATCAAAATTCAATTATTTTAACTGCTATATAGTATTCCATTATATGAAAAAAACATATTTTATTCATTTTCCTACCACAAACAATGCAGCAACATTCTTGTACCTGTCATGCATATGCACAAACATTCCCTAGAGTATATACTCAGAAATGGAACTGATAGTATTACATAGGGTGTGCTCATGTTTCAACTTTATTAGTTTCATAAACATTCTCCTAACTTCCTTTTAAGTGACTCTTCAGGTTAACAAGTATTCTCAGATAGTGGCTAATGTTCTATTATGCCCCACATATTTCTGATTTCACTAATTAAGTTGTACGCTTTTCAAAGTCCTTTGCTTATGTTAGTATGTAGTATGGTCATATGGTAACATATGAGACTGATGAAATCTCAGAGAACTGTAATATCTACAGTTAAGTTGAATATAGAAGGACTCAATTTAAAAATTGCCTCCAAATTAGATACATGCAACTATAATTACCTAGAGGGATATACTAAAACCAAAGGATTCTGCACTCAGACTCCTTCAAAAAATTTTTAGATTTTCACTCCATTTTAATAAACTGAAAACAGAAATTGCAGCTGATGAATTACGGGTGCCGATTACATAAGAAAGAGAATATGGAAATGCAATTTTAAAAATACTAAGGAAAAAGCCTTGCCCCTATATATTAGCACATATTGGCATATGAATGTGCATTTGGAGGCTAAGTTAAAATATTTATACTATTTGCTTCTACTCATTCTAGATATCGCACAAATTTGGCGACAATGCTTTCTTTTGATAAGTGTCTACATATCAATTCCTTAGTGTGTAATACTGTTTGCCACATTTTCTTTTTTTTCTGCCAGTGGTCTACACGTTCAGAGAAACTTCCGTAGCAACAAACTATAGAAATGGCCCCCGAAAGAATAGTCTTGCCACATTTTATCATTCACTTCCATAACCTTAAGAAACAAGAAAATCATAATTTTATATTGCAGTTTAAGTTTTTCAGTCGTAATCTCCCTGTCTTATAAAGTCTCAAGTAAATTGCCTGTTAGTTTAATATTTATCTCATCCTTCTTTAAAAACAGAAATCACAGCAGATAAATAAAGAGACCCTACCCTTTTCACATTTGTCTTCTGAAGTATTGGTCAAAAGTGGTGCTGTGAGAACATGCATACAATGGTTGTAGAAAAAATTTAGAAATTCACTTTTTTCGGTTTTCTGAAACATAGAATTTTTTAAACAATACTGTTACTTATGTAAATAAAAACATCTTCAAGATTAGCAGTACATACCTTTTCCAGAACCAAACCAAAACAAAAAGAATTAGCAGTACAGATCATATATAAGCAGATACTTTAAAATACTGTGAAAAAAATCAAACACTTGGTTATACGTTGTCAAAGAACCAAAAACTAACTATATTCACTTTAATCTTATTTCTGTGGAACTGAAAATTAAGTCTACTTCATATTATGTACTAAGTAAAAATGAAGGCAAGATAAAGATCAGAGAGCATCACAAAATGTTTTTCTGAGGAAAATTATTCAAAATAATTTTTTAAAAAGATGCCTGTGATACGAATATGAAACGCAGTGAAGAACCAATCTATTGTACAACATATATAATAACAACATATTACTAACAATGTATTACACTTGCAAACTGCTAAGACAGTAGATTTTAAGTGTTCTCAACACAAATAAATACTTGAGGTAAAACAGACACAAAATAAACAACATGTAAGTCAGAACAGCAAGCACCATAATCACTATTGATCCCATTTGTCTCTCTCTCTCTGCAGTGTATTGAGTTTTTCCCAAGAAAGTAACAAAGAAAGAAAATTCTCTCAACTTTAAAAATAACATTCAAATGGGGGTAAAAGGCACATTTGAATCTGTTTTGGAAGAATAAAAATGTTTAGAAAGAAAAAGAACCAATTAAGCCCATGTGATAGCAACTTAACTACCTAAAATTTGGAACCCCAGATTTCACCAATTCTATCTAAATTTTAAAAACCACTGAATCACTTTATCAAGCCACTGGATGAAAAGACAAAATTTAAATCAACTTTTAACATTTTAATATTTTATACTTTGAAAATTTGGAAAATAATGTCTATGGCTTTTGCCACTATTTTTTACACAATTGGGTATACAAACTTGTAATGATTTAAAAACGATGTATATATTCTCTAAATATGAAGGAAATTTTATAAAGAAAAATATCCCTCCATATTGAGAGAATGACTATTAATATTCTGGAGTATCTAATCCTTAAGTATTAAGGACTTAATCCTTAAATCTTTTAAAATGTCTTAGGTAATTAAGATCATTCAGTATATTTAAATTTTTCCTTTTTTATGGTGATAAAATCACGCAACATAAAACTTGCTATTTAAAAATGTATTGGCCGGGCATGGTGACTCACACCTGTAATCCCAGCACTTTGGGAGGCTGAGGCGGGTGGATCACCTGAGGTCAGGGGTTCAAGACCAGCCTGACCAACATGATGAAACCCCATCTCTACTAAAAATACAAAAATTAGCCAGGTGTGGTGGTGTGCGTCTGTAGTCCCAGCTACTTGGGAGGCTGAGGCAGGAGAATCGCTTGAACCCGAGAGGCGGAGGTTGCAGTGAGCTGAGATCACGCCACTGCACTCCAGCCTGGTGACAGAGCAAGACTCTGTCTCAAAAAAATAATAATAATTTTATCATTTTTAAGTGTACAGTTTAGTAGTGTTAAGTATAATCACATTGCTGTGTATTAAATTTTAAGAAATTAACACATAGAGGCCAAGGGCCATAAATGGAATTCCTAACATTTTACTAAGATTTTGACGGATTACAATTTTGTATTTTACCACAAATGAATTGCTATAAGAATACCACTGCTACTTAAATACCAACTGGACAAATACTTAAAATACTTGTTTCTCAAAATCTTATTACAAAGCCACCTAAAACTGACTAGGCCAAAACATTTTTATCTCAGAGTAATTTCTTACATTAGTTGTAGCCAGCATGTTCTCTGGATCAATTAGAGTACGAAGAAGTCCCATTAACTGAACAGCGCCTCCTAGCTCAGGATCAGTATCACAGATCATTTGTTCAATTACCACATTAATAAGAAGAATATCCTGGTGGCAAAACAAAACAAAACAAAACATGTTTCCATTAGACCTGGTTTAGATCTAAGACAAAAACACCAACTGAAAGAGCAAAGTGAGAATTATATAGAGAAAAAACGAAGAATGGAATAGCTTATTTAAACCTCTATTCCTAATGCTTTTGAAAGTTCTATAAAATACTACACACTAGAGTGAAAAAAAATCCCACTCCGAGAAAAAAAAAAGAAGAAGGAGGAAAAAAAACCCACAAAAGCAGAGCATGCTTCAACTTATAGGAAGTGGAAAACAAAATTCTTTAGCAGTAGTTCTTGTTCAGTAGAGGTTCTAACAGAATCTCATTTTGGGTTTCAGACTCAGGCGTAAATTTAGAGGTTGACTAAACAAGCAAGATCACATGACCCTAAGACATAAATTATCTCAGCCTCTAACTAGTAAATCCTTCCTAACAAAAAGAAAAAAAAGAAAAAATGACCAAAAATAACCCAGTACACAACTCTTCATGCAAGTGAACACTGTGTTATATAACAATCTAATATTAAATAGATTTGTTACATTAGTAACATGCTCTTGGATTTTATTTATTTATTTATTGAAACGGAGTCTCGTTCTCTTGCCCAGGCTGGAGTGCAGTGGGGCAATCTGGGCTCACTGCCACCTCATTACAAACCAGTCTCCTGCCTCAGCCTCTTTAGTAGCTGGGATTAAAGGCATGAGCCACCATGCCTGACTAATTTTTGTATTTTTAGTAGAGACTGTCCTGATTCTAAGCTGGCATCTCTATTTTCTGATTGGGAAATATAAAGAAAATCAGATGTTCAAATTTGTTTCATTGATTCTAAAACAGATTTCTTAAAAATTTTCACCTCTTAAAATTAAGATACATTTTGTAACTGATGGCATTTGACAGCCACTATCAGCCAAGTGGTAATCGTGACAAAATTACATAAAAATCTTCTACTGACACTGTCTGGTAAGATCAAGAAAACATTAGCATCTGCATATCTTAGGTTTGATGGATTCAGTAAACGAGAGGAGAGCATAAATCTTTAAAATATAAGGATTCTTTTAAAATAACACAAATGTTACCATATCTAAAAAATTAACCTAAGATTTTATTATTAAATGAGAAAACACCTAACAAAATAAGTAATTCAGTAATAACTATATTACTCATCCAGTCAGGTTCTGCAAGTTTTACTGAATGTTTCAAAGGCCATTAATATAAAAATATGTGCAATCTGTGGCATAAAAAGATGACATTATTGCTAAATTTACCCTTTCTGCTTGGATAGAAACAATGACTACAGTAAAAAATGTTAATATTTCCTTTCATCTTAATACATATTTAAATATTGTAATCCATGTTGCCATAACCAAATCTGCTCCATAATACTTTACCAAAAGGAAATGTTTGAATGCTGAGCATTTATTTTAAAAGGGCACTAAAATATCAACTGCCACTGAATATAAAAATAAGTTACTTTCTGTTTCCTTCCTAAAGGTCACCACCAGCCCAGTATGGAATTCAGCATGTAGAAGACTTAATTTGGATTTTTTTTGGTAATTAATTTATCTTCTCTTGTGGACTAAATTATTTTGAGGCAACACAGTTTTAAAAATGTAAAATTGTTAGCTCTCAGAAAATTCAGGAAAATGAAACCCCTAGAAGGTTGTTATAAGAAAAAAAAACACTGAGAAAGGATCTTTTCACAGTGAAAAAATCAATCACTGCTTTTCTAAGTCTTAGGTATCAATTAAACAAGAAATATTTTTAATTAAAACAGGAATCAAAGCTTGAAGAGTTAAGAATTCTGAAAGTTAACAGTTTACTAAGATCATGGTCTGAGATTGATTCATGGTCATTTTATGATAAATGCCTTTAATCACACACATCACTGAAGATGGAGCAATGGGAGTGTTAATTTCAAAGTTATCTTTTGTAAAGGGTGGCATTAAGATAAACCAATGAGATTATAAAATGATTAATAAAGTAGGCATTTCTCTTTAAAGTCAGAATTAGCATCATTTGACATTGCAGCATTAGCCCAAGTTGATTCTAAAATAAAATCACTTTAAAAAACATTGAAAATAACTAACAAACATAGAAAGTATAAATCTAAGGACACATTAAAAGATTAAA
This sequence comes from Homo sapiens, assembly GCF_000001405.40. Taxonomy (NCBI): domain Eukaryota; kingdom Metazoa; phylum Chordata; class Mammalia; order Primates; family Hominidae; genus Homo; species Homo sapiens. The sequence goes on from NC_000002.12 coordinate 55,583,830, forward strand.
TGCAAAACACATAAAACAACTATAATTTCATTCAGTGGTAACTGATGCAAGCATCAAATTAAAATTGAGAATCAAAAACTTTCCTTAACAAGTGGATCGCACATGGTGGCTCATGCCTTTAATCCCAGCACTTTAGGAGGCCGAGATGGGTGGATCACCTGAGGTCAGGAGTTTGAGACCACCCTGAACAACATGGTGAAACCTCTTCTCTACCAAAAATACACAGTTAGCCAGGCGTGGTGGCGCACAGAGGTTACAGTGAGCCGAGAATGCGCCATTGCACTCCAGCCTGGGCAACAAGAGTGAACCTCTGTCTCAAAAAAAACAAAAAACAAAAAGGAAGACAATTATAATTATCTCCTACTTAAAACTGAGGCATTTTTAATAATAAAAAAAGAGTACTTTTAATTATAGCTCTCTGTTCATTTTGTCCTTAAAATAGCTTAAGGGGAAAATTTAAATATATCAGTAGTGGGAAAACACAATATTGGTCTCATTATTAAACTGTCTTTTTTTTAATGTTTTTTATTTCCATAGGTGGTTGGGGAACAGGTGGTGTTTGGTTACATGAGTAAGTTCTTTGCTGGTGATTTGTGAGATTTTGGGGCACCCATCACCCAAGCAGTATACACTGCACCCTATTTGTAGTTTTTTTATCCTTCACCCCCTTCCCACCCTTTCCCCAAGTCCCCAAAGTCCATTGTGTCATTCTTATGCCTTTGCATCCTCATAGCTTAGCTCTCACTTATGAGTTGAGAACATACGATGTTTGGTTTTCTATTCCTGAGTTACTGCACTTAGAAAAATAGTCTCCAATCTCACCCAGTCATTATTAAACTTTCATTCCTACTTAAAACATATTTTTTGAACAAATAAAAGCAACTTTTTAGTTATCCTAGGTAAGTACCTGACCTGTAGATCTCCTAAGGCTTGAAATTACATTTCATTAACACTTGAAATTTAAGACCAATATTTACAAATCTGATTCTATTATAATCTATTTATCTCAATATTGGTTTGAATATCTGGGTTTCTTTTTTTCTAACAATAAACAAAATCAGTCGCCACATATTCTAATTTGGCCAAAGTCACAACAAGTCAGAAATCTATTATTTTGCTCCCAAGAAAGATTAAGATTATGTTATGTTTTTTCTCTCAATAGTTTGCAAACACTACTCACTCTACAGGTAATTCACATAGAACCACAGCATTATTACTTACGTCATCACTCTGCTGAGCTTCTTGCATTACAAACTCTCGGACCATAGATGGACTAAATTCTACTAGATAAGAAAATATATCTGTAGCAGCTGATCTGACTTGCAAATCATCCATGCCCTGATAAAAGGAAAATTAGGTTACTTAGAGACTGTTAACAAAAGTTATTCTCACATTTCTTTTTTCTTTTCCAAATCCATACACTAGCTCTCAACTTTTTGGATTAAGATGTTTTACTGCAATCAATGTGTATAACCTTGCCAGTATGTTCTTCCTTTCTTTTTACAAATATTAAAACTTTCAGGCAATTCAATGATTAGTTTCTGCTGATTTTTACCACTGCAAATAAATATACAGAGAATTTAAATATAAGAATTGGCACAGGATTATAAGGCAATACCTTACAAATGCTGTAAAAAATATGGGAAGGGGATTTATTTAAATATATGTAAAAATTTGAATAACGTCTCCTAGCTAAGACTTCAAAGTCTTCCAGAATCTGCCTTTTGTCCTGATTTTGCAAGAGTTACTCCTTAGTAACTGTTTCTATTTCCTGTGACTCACCTAATAGAGCATGCTTTTGAAAACTCTTTTTGGGCATTTCTACCCTTTTCTGCAACTTAGTTTTCTAAGATGGTAATCCTAGATACTTTTCCCCTCCAACACATGAAGAGTACATGACTTATAAGTTACAAAACCTTGAGGTGATTCTGAAAACACTCCCCAACCCAGCAGTTCTCAAAGTGTGGTCCAGGTAATCCTGGTGAGAGGGGTCTAACATCCTTTTCAGGAAGTATACAAGATTAAGACTATTTCATAATAATAAATAACACTGAGCCTTTGTCATTTTCACTCTCATTCAATCACAAGTACAGTGGGGTTTTCCAGAGGCTGTGTGACATGATATCACCACAAATTAAATGTAGAAGCTGCTTTGTGAATCTAAACACCTTCTATAAAGCAAGGTACTAAAGGGATTAGCAGGAAAAAAAAAGTAAAAAACGGTACTCTTTTCACTAAATTTTTTGTTTTGAAAAAATTATTTTTCATAAAAGTTATATTGATTTCAATCTCAAGAAAATGTGGTGAAAAAAGTTCTATTATTTATGTTAACATATAATGGGTTATCATTTTTAAATGAATGCTTTAAAAATTTGTTTTAATTTTCCATAAAGTAAATACCAATAGATAAAACTCATATAAACAAAACTCTAAGAACCATGCCCTAACCCTGTGTTGCAGCATGAATCCCCTTGTTCCACTCACTGATCTAAAAACAAAAGATATTTTACTGGCTTCTATGAAACACACTTAATATTGTTACAGAAAATATAACAGTCTTGCAAAAACGTGGGGTTTTTTTATTCACTTGAAAGCACACTATATGCAAGTGATTACATACTGATATTAAAAATTAAATAAAAATCTGAAACTGAAGATATTCTTGTAATTCAATTAAGATAGCTAAACTATAGAATTGAATATACATTATTATATATTTTCCCATCCATAACATAAGTGTATTACAAATTTACAATTTCAAAAACATGAAAAGAAACGGCATAATTACCATTACAATTTCAAGAGCAGGAAGAATTCCCAATTTTGCCAATGTTTTGAAAAATGCATCCCTGTTTTGAGGTTGTAATGTCTGAGAAAATGCACAAAACTCCTTGAAAAAATTAACCTGTAATGTCAGAAATTTTAGTGAGACATTGATAAACATAAACTTGGGGCACACTATAGTAATCATCTACCATGGTGTGGTATTCACCCTTCTGAAGGATCTCATCTTTTTGGAGTATGCTGGCTCCTCAAAACTACATTAAAAACAAATTAAAAACTAGCACCCCATTAAAAGTAAACCTTGCATTACTGGGTGCTATTAAGCAAAAAGAGAAATCCACCAATACAAGGTAAATGTAAGCTGGCTTTCTGAAAGACACATCATAAGCTGCTTTTTTCCTTTTTTTTCCAGTGAATGGAGGTGTTTGACAACACATCTTTCTAAGTGAACCTTTGAAATATGTTATTAGAACATTTTCCTTACTCCAATGGGACCTTATAGGTCAACAGAGATATTTGGCTATAAAAGGCAAATGAAAGCATGCATGCTTTGTTTACAATGCTGGATTTGCCTATTGGTCTATTAGTATGCAAAAATGCAAGATATACTTTTAATGGGGTGCCAGTTTTTAAAATGTTTTTAAATGTAGGTTTTGAGGTGCCAGGATACTCTGAAATGATGACATCTGGCGGGGCACAGTGGCTCACGCCTGTAATCCCAACATTTTGGGAGGCTGAGGCAGGCGGATCACTTGAGTCCAGGAATTTGAGACCAGCCTGCCCAACAGGGTGAAACCCTGTCTCTACTAAAAATACAAAAATTAGCTGGGCATGGTGGCACACGCCTGTAATCACAGCTACTCAGGAGGCTGAGGCACGAGAAGCGCTTGAACCCAGGAGGCGGAGGTTGCAGTGAGTTGAAATCATGCCACTGCACTCCAGTCTGGGCAACAGAGCAAGACTCTTTTTCGAAAAGAAAAAATAAAAAACGATGACATCTTTCAGAAGGCTAACACTGATCAATTAACTCTTTAAACACATTCAGTGCAAAAATGCCAGGTAATAAATTTGTTTTGAATTATGAACACATAGTTTCACAGAAACCATCCTACAACTCAACTCTAGCTGGGTCCCCAGTAATATCTCAAAAACATAATACTGGTTTAAGGACTGAAATGTACATCAAAACTTCTCTAGTCTAAAACACCAATATTATAATTGAGAAAACGAAGTAGGCTACTAATAAGTAACTACACCAAAGATGACTTAGAGGTTTTAAATTAGCCATCTTTCATTATTTTGTGAAATCCAAAATAAATAAATAAAAATCTGAAACCGAAGATATTCCTGTAGCAATTCAATATCAGATAGCTAAATTATAGAATTGAATATGCATTACTATAACATATACTTTCCCTTCTCATCTCATTATGTTTGAAAAAAATGTCAAACATCTGGCAAACGGCAATCACAATCACTATTCTCTTCCTCAAAATGGTTTATATCTCAAAGAAAATGCTTACAATAAAAAATAAAAAATTTCCAAAGAACCAAATTATTTATATCATTTATTCAGGAAGCATTTTCCTTATCTCTTGTTTAAAAAGAAAAGCATTGCGGCTAGGCGCAGTGGCTCACACCTGTAATCCCAGCACTTTAGGAGGCCAAGGCGGGGGGATCACCTCAGGTTGGGAGTTCGAGACCAGCCTGACCAACATGGAGAAATCCTGTCTCTACTAAAAATACAAAATTAGCCGGGTGTGGCAGCGCATGCCTGTAATCCCAGCTACTTGGGAGGCTGAGGCGGGAGAATCCCTTGAACCTGGGAGGCAGAGGTTGTGGTGAGCCGAGATCGCACCACTGCACTCCAGCCTGGGCAACAAGAGCGAAACTCCATCTCAGAAAAAAAAAAAAAAAAGAAAAAGAAAAGCATGGCTATAATGCGAATGTCTGCAACCATAAAAATGTATGAATTTTGTAGTTCTGTTCTAACATAAGGCACTTATCTGATTTGGGGATTTATAAGGCATACAATGGTGGGGGGTGATACATCAGAACATCCTAAGAAGTTTCTAAAATACACAAATTCTAGAAACAAATTTTAGAAACTCTGAATAATCATTTCATAGTTCAATTTAAATACATACTTTTCATCTCTTACTAATCTAATTACAAAAAATTGTCTCAAGTTAGCAAATTCAAGATTAAAAGCTGTGCATGCCAAAAGAATAAGTGCTCTTTAAGAGTTTGAATTTCATAACTTACCAATTCACGCCGTTTATCATCATCTGTAGCCTCATCTGTTAATTGTGCAAAAACTTCAGACAAAAACTTCTCATCTTCCTGCATGAGAAAAATAATTACTATGAAATATTAACAAAAGAATAAAGTTATACTCATTTATATGACTTACACAAATTATAAAAAATAGTTGACAAGTAGTATTTTCATCATGAAACCTAATATTCTGGGGTGTATTTCTGTGTTACAATTTTCTAAAATTTGACTACACCATTCAATTCTTGTTATAAATACATCAATATCTAGTTTAACTAAAAACCTCAACTACAAATAACTCTCTGGAAAACAAAAATATTTGTTCTAGAGGTGTTACGTGAAAACTCACTTAACTTAGATTCTCTAGCCCCCTTTCAGGGTCTACTTACTCTTAATTTAAACATAATTCAAACAAGCCTAAGGATCTTATTGTCAGTTTATAACAGATTAGAAAAACAAGAATTGTAAGACAAGGAACAAGGAAAACAGTAAAGGAGGCTGAATTCCGACAGTAGATAAAGTTACAAAGCTATTTAAAATACAATAACTCATAAAATACAACAACCTACAACCAACTGGTGCACAGTTTTACACGTTCTTGCGGTCCCCAAGGATATAACTAAATGACAAAGCACTACAATAACTGCTTTTCATACTAATGACTCTGGGGTATTAAAAAGAAAGACAAGTGCTAATTTCTACAGGCGTTGTCTAAAAGGACAAACAGAAAAATATAGTCAAGTGGCCAGGCGCGGTGGCTCACGCCCGTAATCCCAGCACTTTGGAAGGCCGAGGCGGGCGGATCACGAGGTCATGAGATCGAGACCACCCTGGCTAACATGGTAAAACCCTGTCTCTACTAAAAATACAAAAAAATTAGCCAGGCATGGTGGTGGGCGCCTGTAGTGGCAGCTACCTGGGAGGCTGAGGCAGGAGAATGGCGTGAACCCGGGAGGGGGAGCTTGCAGTGAGCCGAGATTGTGCCACTGTATTCCAGCCTGGACAAAAGAGCGAGACTCCATCTCAAAAAAAAAAAAAATTATATATATATAAAAAATATATATAATTATATATATATTTATATATATATTTAATATATTATATATATATAATATATATATAGTCAAGCACGCATTTTTAAAAAATAAATTTGTGGGCCAGGTGTGGTGGCTCATGCGTGTAATCCCAGCACTTTGGGAGGCTGAGGCGGGGGGATCACCTGAGGTCGGAAGTTCCAGACCAGCTTGACCAACATGGAGAAACCCCGTCTCCACTAAAAATACAAAACTAGCCAGGCATGGTGGCACATGCCTGTAATCCTAGCTACTAGGGAGGCTGAGGCAGGAGAATCGCTTGAACCTGGGAGGCGGAGGTTGCAGTGAGCCGAGATTGCGCCATTGCAGTCCAGCCTGGGCAACAAGAGTGAAACTCCGTCTCAACAACAACAAAATAATAATAATAAATAAATTTGTTTGTCTAAAGTCTAGGAGTACCGGTTAGACTGTTAACTGTGGTTACTGCTTGCTGATAGGTTATGAGTGATTTTCTTTTTTGGTTATCTATATTTTCTAATTGGTGATAGGTTATGAGTGATTTTCTTTTTGGTTATCTATATTTTCTAATTTTCTACAATAAGCACAGACTAAATTACAAAGGAAAAAATGGGCAAAAATATTAAAATTCACCTTAGAGATTTCATCAAAATCTGCTAAAAAAACTGATGGAAATTGTTGGTGGTTTTAAGCTTCAGTTATCTTCAAAATTCATTTTTATGAAATGTAATTTCCATTAATTTAAAGTAACATGTTCTAAAAAAGTTTGTAACAATAGTATCTGTAGAGTTGATAGTAAAATAAAACCCTAACATTTAAAGGATACACCCCAACTACCTGTCCTTTTTCTTACTGAGGATCATCCATTAAATGGTATCAATCCCTTAAATCCTTTTTGAAATAACGTGGAACATGTATTTTTAAAAAATGAATAGAAACCACTAGGTACAATCAGAGAGTATAACATGCTCTTCTACTAAAAATCAATTGGTGCTACTCAAAGACAAGACACTGGGAGATGAATCACTTAATTAGTCTGACTCAGAATGTGTCTGAGTCATTTAATTAGTCTGACTCAGGTGTTTCTTTTCGTATTTCATTGACTCCTTTTGGACCTTATGCACTGCAGCCTGAACATCCATCTTTTGAGGGAGTTTATATGCATATGTAATCTTTTATTTAGCCCTCAAGTTAGTTTTTCCTTTTTTTTTTTTTCTAGAGTCTCACTCTGTTGCCCAGGCTGGAGTGCAGTGGTACAAACGTGGCTCAGTGTAGCCTCGACCTCCTGGACTCAAGCAATCTTCCTCCCTCAGACTCCCATGTAACAGAGACTGCGGGCACGTGCCACCATACCTGGCTATTTTTTTTTTAATTTTTTGTACAGATGGGGGGGTTTCACTTTGTTGCCCAGGCTGGTATCGAACTCCTGGCCTCAAGCAATCCTCCCACCTCAGCCTCCCAAAGTGCTAGGACTACAGGCATGAGCCACCATGCCCAGCCTACTTTTTCCAAATACTTTTAGTCTTAATATTTTAGGTTAGGGTGAGTAAGTACATATTTACCTCCATTCACACCTTTTATAAATTTCTATTTTCCTGCATCTGTTGTAGATTACATCTTCATCCTTTACTACCTGAAAATTTAATTTTTTCAAAATATTTTCATAAGAAAAAAGTTCCAACTCCTTGATAAATGCAATTTCCCACTTGAATTCTTCTTATATGATTCGGTACTTGTGAGCTGATAAGTAGAACTGCATAAAATATTACAGATAGAGGCAATCTCAATTATTACAGTCCATTAAGAGAATATGTATTCCTAGTATTTTTTCCCTGATTTCCAGCATTACTCTGGCTATTATTCATTAAGCTATAAAAGCACTCTGTTCCAATATATTTATGAAGGAAGCAAATAATCAATAACTTAAAGCCTATCATATAGTTGAAATACTTACTCCAAAATCTCTGGTTCTCCAAGTAATCAAACTAATCTCTTTTAGTTTTTCTTTTCTATTTGGTTTTAACAGCTTTTGTTTTAATAAAACCTATATATTTAAGTCAAAACTTGTGTGGCTGCTTTTCTGGACAACATAAAAAAACACTGTGGGGAAAAAAAGAGGTTGCTTCTAAACAGTCTAAATCAAACTCTTCTCTTTGCAGTAATATAAATACAGGCCAAACAAAAGAAAAAACAGAACCCATTCATTTTTAGAAACATATAAACACAGAAATTTAGAATTAAATCAGATTTTGCAACATTACAGAGACTGTCAAGTCCAATTTTAAATTTCAAGAGACTGAGGTTCAAAAAGTGAACCTTTCTGAGGGTAGCTAGTGACAGATGGATTTAGAATCCAGGCCTCCCAAATAATTAATGAGGTTTTTGTCACTCCTACTAAGTAAACCACAAGACAGGTTTCCAAGTATTTCAAACTTCAAACGTATGAATCAAACCAAAGCAAAAGATACACAAAGCTGGAATGGGCCAAATCTAGTAAGATAAAATTTAATATATTAAATCCTGTACTTGAATCCAAAGAAAAATCCTAAAAACAAAATGAAAAGCCCTATTACTCTAAACAGTTTTTTAAAGAGTATCTGAAGATTTTACATACTTAATCTGTAACTGGGATGGGAAGTTAGAAATTTTTCTCTTTCCGTGCCAAAACCTTAGCATCTGCAAAATATGTTAAAAAGAGAACTAAACCGCTAATCCTGCTGGGCTAATTTTAAGCTTAACTCTTACCTATGGAATAGCAGAAATATGTATATAATATAATATATGTAAATGTGTTAAAATGTCAACATTTGAGATTCCTATCCTCCATCATTTCTAGTAAGGAGAGAAATTAAAACTTTGTTCTGAAAAGGATCTTATTCTATAACTGTTTGTGCAGAAATAATCTCATTTTACTTGCTTTCAAAAATTTAATTTCTGGCTGGGGGCAGTGGCTCATGCCTGTAATCCCAGCACTTTGGTAGGCTGAGGCGGGTGGATCACCTGAGGTTGGGAGTTCAAGACCAGCCTGGCCAACATGGTGAAACTGTCTATACTAAAAATACAAAAATTAGCCAGGCATGGTGGCTGCTGCCTGTAATCCCAGCTCCCAGGAGGCTGAGGCTTGAGAATCACTTTAACCTGGGAGGCAGAGGCTGCAGTGAGCCAAGATGGCGCCACTGCACTCCAGCCTGGGTGACAGAGCGAGACTCTGTCTCAAAATAAATAAATAAATAATTTCTAAAATATTTTAAAAGAATGTTGCTCAATTCTGGGCACAGGGGATTTTGATCTGCAATTAGCTAGAACATTTGGAGTCACTAAAGTCTTATGTCCCTATCATGCTTAAGATATTGTCAACATGTATTAGCACACATACTAGGAGCCACTGACTATGCTAAGTACTCTCATATAATTTCTCAGTTAATTAACCTAATTTAAGCTAGGATTTATGATAAGGACCTTCGTACTACCTCACTTCGGCCCAGTTACATAAAATTCTTACATATTCACTTGCCTTCTACAACTCACACAGCAGCAAGTTAATGCGCATTTAAGAAACCACAGGTAAGTGTACTAGATACCCAGATAGGTATCTAGAAACACCTACTACCTAACCAAAAATTTCTACATGGAAATCTCAGAGTGAGACTTTAGGAAATAAGTGCTTAGAGGCCACTGTAGGGCCAGGTGTGGTGGTTCACATCTGTAATCCCAACACTTTGGAAGGCTGGGCACTAGGATTGCTTGAGGCCAGGTAAGAACAGTTTAGGCAACATAGCAAAACCCCACCTCTACAAAAAATAAAATAAAATAGAGACCACTGGCCACAATCTTATTTCTTTCCTTTTCACACATAGTTGAAAACACAATTCATACCCAAAGGAAAAAAAAGCATTATATTAAAAAGACACCTGCACTTGTATATTGATCGCAGCACTATTCATGATAGCAAAGTCATGGAACCCACCTAAGTGTCTACCAACAGATGATCAGACAAAGAAAATGGGGTGTATATATACACTGTGGAATACAAATGAAATGTTAAAAAATAATGAAATCATGTCTTTTGTAGCAACATGAATGGAGCTGGAGGCCATTATCCTAAGTGAACTCAGAGGCAGAAAATCATATATCGCATGTTCTCACTTACAAGTGGGTACACAAGGACATTAAGATGGAAATAACAGACACTGGGAACTCCAAAAAGGGGTAGGATGGGAGAGGACTGAAGGTTTAAAAATTATCTACTGGGCACTGTGTTCAATATCACGGTGATGGGTACACTAGAAGCCCAATCTCCACCATTACTCATGCAATACCCATGTAACAAATAAGCCTATGTGCCCTCTGAATCTAAAATAAAAAAAAAAAAAAAAAAATTCAACATCATTGCTGGCACATAAGAGATAATTAAGTAGTAAATGTTATGTAAATAACAGACAGTTCACAGAATCTGGCTATTTCATGAAATGCATCTCATGAAGCAGAAATGAGTAAATCTTTTAGAAAAATAAAAAGCTGCACTTGATTTACGTAATTATAGCCTTCACAAATAAACCTATTATAAAATACATAAAATGACAAAGTTTTACAAATATTTATAGTTCATATAATTTATTTTCTGAATATAAAAAAGTATTTACGATTTACTAGTATGAATTTGGAAACCCTTCTGAAGACAAAAACAGTCATTTGAAAGCTACATATGAGCTTCTGTTCCTGGTCCTCTTTTTATCAACTACAGACTGTGACTCTGTCCAATCTCCTAAGATTATTAAATGTTTTTCTGTCAACAAGTGAAATAGCACCCTGAATTGTATACTACAGTTTAAAAATACACAGGTCCTATATATTATAAAAAGAACCTGATATGTACATCTAACCTCCCCCACACTCATTATTGGTGAATAACAAAAAATTGGTAGGTGAATAAATGACCTGAAAGAAAAGTAAATCCTATGCAAAAAATTAAAGTAAACAATAATAGGTGACTACTGGTGGGAAACGTCGCAAAATGAAGTCGATTAGCTAGGCACTAAGTCAGAGATAGAATCTCAATTATTTGTATCAGGACCCTTTTAAACTTTTTTTTTTTTTTTTTTCAGACAGTCTCGCTCTGTCACCCTGGCTGGAGTACAGTGGCACAATCTCAGCTCACTGCAACCTCCGCCTCTCGGTTCAAGCAATTCTCCCACTTCAGCTTCCTGAGTAGCTGGGATTACAGGCACGTGCCACTGTGCCTGGCTAATTTTTGTATTTTTAGTAGAGATGGAGTTTCGCCATGTTGGTCAGGCTGGTCTCAAACTCCTGACCACAAGTGATCCTCCTGGCCTTGGCCTCCCAAAGTGCTGGGATTACAGGCATGAGCCACCACACCCAGCCTAAACTCTTAAGAATTATGCAGAGGCTGGGTACAGTGGCTCATATCTATAATCTCAGCACTTTGGGAGGGTGAGGAGCATCACTTGAGGCCAGGAGTTTGAGACCAGCCTGGGCAACACAGTGAGATCCTGTCTCTATATAAAAAATAAAATAAATTTTTAAAAATTACAATTAAAACCAAGACTCGTGAAAATATTTATGAATTCATTTTAAAATAAGTCATTTTATGTTTATGTAAATATTTTTTAAGAGAAACAGCTATATGATCCAAAATTTAAACTTTTATAAAAAAGAGTAGCCCCTTTTACATTTTTGCAAATCTCAATACCTGGCTTAACAAATGACAACCAGATACTCATTTATCTTTTCTGGCATTCAGTGTGTTGCAATATGTTCTTTAAGCAAAAGTACATGAAAAAAAAAAAAAAAACACAGCCTCACACTGACATCAAACTAGAAAAAGGAAAACCTCATAAATGCCTGTAAGAGGGGCTCAGGGACTTCCAGAGGTCCACAAACCACACTCTGAGATCCACAATACTAAGTATATAGTAGCTGCTCAATAAACTTAGTGAATGATATGGAAATAACAAAAGCAGTTATGCAGAAAGCTGAGTATAGGCTACTGTTACAAGTAAGACAAGTACTTAAAAAGCATGCTTACTATACTGTTAGGGTGTAAAGGATTAACATGATAAATATAGTATAAAACTCCTATTTCACAACTCAAGGAGACAGAATAAAATCACCTTCATATAGCAAATAGCCACATACTCGTATACACCCCAATAATAACAGTATCTCTCAAAATGGAAGAAAACATACTTTTAACCCTTTACCCATTGAGAAAAAAAAAGTACAGCTTGCTGCAAGGACTCATTTAATTTTACATAAACACGCTCTTTGAGGCCGAAGCAAATCTGACTTTCAAGGTGAAAATAAAATATAAAAACTGTTCTTGGAGTTATTTCTAAATAGAACTAACATCAGAATTGTTTGAATCATCAGATTCGTCTATTTCGAAAAAAAAAATCAGATTCAACAAACGAATCCTCGGGCAACAACTGTTCGAGAATGACAATACCATGTGCAGGACTGCTATGTTTTCTACGATTTGACATTTTCAGTGATTAACAATTACTATAGTTTGTAAATGAAAATATCACTATTAAAACCAGAATGCTATAAATAGAATGATGTCTTCTGTTTCCAAAGTCAATATGCCACAGCAATGCAAAAATAATAATAAAAGCTAGGTATTTTGTGGCAAAGTTATCTCAAGGTAAACACTGCAGCCAAGCACTACTGGCGAGTATTCACAGGACAGACAGGAAAAGGGTTAAATATAGCTGCATTGGCCAGGTGCAGTGGCTCACGCCTGTAATCCCAGCACTTTGGGAGGCCAAGGCGGGCGGATCACCTGAGGTCAGGAGTTTGAGACCAGCCTGGCCAACATGGTGAAACCCTGTTTCTACTAAAAATACAAAAAATTAGTCGAGTGTGGTGGCGTGTGCCTGTAATCCCAGCTACTGGGGAGGCTGAGGCAGGAGAATCGCTTGAACCCAGAAGGTGGAGGTTGCAATGAGCCGAAATCACACCATTGCACTCCAGCTTGGGCAACAAGAGTGAAACTCCGTCTCAAAATAATAATAATAAAAAATAGCTGCATCATCGATATATATAATAGGCAAATTCATAAAGAGTAGAATAGTGGTTACTAAGAGCTGGAAGGAGGGAATATGGGGAGTTACTGTTCAATGGGTTCAGAGTTTCTGTTTGGGATGATGAAAAAGTTCTGGAAATGGATAGTGGTAACTGCTGCATAACACTGCAAATATACTTAATGCCAATGAATTGTACACTTAAAAATTGTTGAAACTGGCCGGGCACAGTGACTCATGCCTGTAATCCAAGCACTTTGGGAGGCCGGGGCAGGTGGATCACCTCAGGTTGGGAGTTCGAGACCAGCCTGACCAACATGGAGAAACCCCCCTCTACTAAAAATACAAAAAATTGGGCTGGGCGGGGTGGCTCACGCCTGTAATCCCAGCACTTTGGGAGGCTGAGGTGGGTGGATCACAAGGTCAGGAGATCGAGACCATCCTGGCTAAAATGGTGAAACCTTGTCTCTACTAAAAACACAAAAAATTAGCTGGGCGTGATGGCGGGCGCCTGTAGTCCCAGCTACCCGGGAGGCTGAGGCAGGAGAATGGCGTGAACCCGGGAGGCGGAGCTTGCAGTGAGCCAAGATTGCGCCACTGCACTTCAGCCTGGGCGACCGAGCAAGACTCCGTCTCAAAAACAAACAAACAAACAAACAAACAAAACTAGCTCGGCGTGGAGGCACATGCCTGTAATCCCAGCTACTCAGGAGGCTGAGACAGGAGAATCACTTGAACCCAGGAGGCAGAGGTTGCGGCGAGCTGAGATCATGCCATTGCACTCCAGCTTGGGCAACAAGAGCAAAACTCCATCTCAAAAAATAAATAAATAAATAAATAGTCAAAACGGTGAATTTTATGTTATGTATATTCTACCTCAATTTTAGAAACACAAATACTAAATTGTATAAAAAGCTAAAACACAGGCTACTTAAAAATATAAAAGGCTGGGCTGGGCGCGGTGGCTCACGCCTATAATCCCAGCACTTTGGGAGGCTGAGGCGGGCGGACTGCCTGAGCTCAGGAGTTCAACACCAGTCTGGGCAACACAGTGAAACCCCTTCCCTACTAAAAATACAAAAAAATCAGCTGGGCATGGCAGTGCACACCTGTAGTCTCAGCTAATCGGGAGGCTGAGGAAGAAGAATTGCTTGAACCCGGGAAGCGTAGGTTGCAGTGAGCTGAGATTGCGCCACTGCATTCCAGCCTGGGCGACAGAACGAGACTCCGACTCAAAAAAATAAATAAAAGGTTGCACTAAAACCACAAGACATAAAGTCCCAATTTCTTTTGTTTACTTTAAATGTACTTAATAGTACATTTAAACAAAATAAATCTTTCAAAAAATAGAGGGTATAAACACCTGCTTGAACTATTAAGGGAACTAAATATCTGAAAAATGGAATCGTGAAGAGTATCTTTTTACTTACCTGCAACATGCTGACTATCTCAACTTTGTTGAAGAAAATAAAAGACGTAAGAGTAGAAAGAAAATTCTCTTCAAAAACAGATGGTGTGGGCAAAATGATGTCCTGAATGTACTGTACCCTGTAAGTCTGATGTATTTTTTGCCTTAGTTCAGAGTCTGTTATTGGTATAACTTCCTTGAACTTTGCAGTTTTGGTCAAGAATTCTCTATGTCTTTTTGGCTGAGCCAAAGCAGGGTCATATTCAAGGCATCCCACGACATCCATGATACACTCATCAGAAAACATTACCTCAAAAAGAGTTGCCTTATTTAGGAATAAGATTCCTCTAATAATTTCATACAAATGGTGTAAGCCTTCAGTGTTTTCTAGGTTCTCGCAAGCTTGGAACAGCTGCAATAGTTTTTTAATATAGCCTTCATTTTCCAAGGCGAGAGCCAGCTTTTCCCTACGGATAGGTGAGGAGAGCACTGAGGTAACTAAGTCAGCAATCTCTTCAAGTTTATTGAGTTCACATGTGGGCAGGTCAATCAGATGACTAGTTTCAGGCATTTCTTCAAATCGTTCTTCTTCAGATTCATCAATGAGGTCCTGTGTGACTTCCACTGATGGGTCTTTACCTTGAACCTAAAAATATCCAAGTATACAGCTAATTACCTTAAAATACAAAATAATTCAAAATTTTGGAAATCAAATCATTTGGAAATGCCTGGCTAGTCACTACTAATTAAAAGTGAAGTCTAGGCCAGGCACGGTGGCTCACGCCTGTAATCCCAGCACTTTAGGTGGCTGAGGCAGGCAGGTCTCTTGAGGTCAGGAGTTCAAAACCAGCCTGGGCAACATGGTGAAACCCCAACTCCACTAAAAATACAAAAATCAGCCAGGTGTGGTGGCATACGCCTGTAATCTCAGCTACTCAGGTGGCTGAGGCAGGAGAATCGCTTGAACCTGGAAGGTGGAGGTTGCAGTGAGCTGAGATCGCACCACTGCACTCCAGCCTGGAAGACAAAGCAAGACTCTGTCTCAAAAAATAAAATAAAAAATTAAAATAAAATAAATAAATAAAATAAAATGAATTCTCTTCCAGCTTGGTCCCTGAATGACTCTCATGAGTAGGGCCCCTTCCCCTATTGGTCAAACAGCATTAAGGAGAAATCAACTTTTGTTGTGACAAGCCATTGAAATTTTAGGATTGTATTACTACAACACAATCTGATCATAACGTCTCAGAGACAGCCAATGAACTCTGCTGTATGGATTCACAATAAATCCACACTATCAATAGGGTTTTTCAATAAAAATTCTCTAGTCTATAATCCTATCGTCATCCCTTACAGCTGCTGCTTTAAATATTTTTTCACTTTCCAACTTCTCAAACATTACCTTCACCTTTAAGTCTCAGAAGATAAGAGGCTTCCTTTGAATAAAAAGCCCATCAGTACTCAACTTCCTCTAACATTTCTCCATCTCACAACTTACCTTCACACATTTCCTTCATTCATTTCAAAGGAAATGTCTATACCATTTCCTAAGGTTAACATTTCCATATGTACTTCTAAACTTATGCTTTCTCAAAGCTAAACATATAAAAATTATCTTTGCTCTTGTTTTTATAATTTATTTCTCTCCAATGGTTCCTTCTATTTCATCATTCTCCAATCCCCTTAAGACACTCTGAACTATCTGAACCATCAAACTTTTTCAGGGAAGCTTTTTTGTTCTATTTTCTCATTATAAGGGGTGGCGGCTCACGCCTGTAATGCCAGCACTTTGGGAGGCCAAGTTGGGCGGATCACCTGAGGTCAGGAGTTCAAGACCAGCCTGACCAACATGGAGAAACCCTGTCTCTACTAAAAGCACAAAATTAGCTGGGCGTGGTGGCGCATGCCTGTAGTCCCAGCTACTCGAGAGGCTGAGGCAGCAGAACTGCTTGAACCTGGGAGGCGGAGGTTGCAGTGAGCCGAGATCACACCACTGCACTCTTGCCTGGGCAACGAGAGTGAAACTCTGTCTCAAAAAAAAAAAAAAAAAAAAAAAAAAAAAAGGCGGGCAGGGGTGGTTAAGAAATAATTAAGTAATATGGCGCTTACTGAAATTGAAATTGTCCTTTCAAAGATCAGTAATGACTTCCCAGAACTGAAAAAGTAAAACATGAGATATGATTTTGTGAAATATCATGCAGTAGTTAGGAGCAAAAAACTAAATACATATTCAGCAACATGCACAGATTTTAAGAAGTAGAGTGCTGCGTTGTACAGTAAAGAGTTAACTTTGCTGGGCTATCAGAGTGCTATCTAATATCCCTTCCAAAGGTGGAAAAGTCTGAATAAAAATCAATGACAAAGAAAAAAATAAAATTTAAAAAAACAATGACAAATGGAAAGGAGAAACAGTAAAAGAGGGAAAAAAACATGAAAAAATGAGTAATGTAACAAGGAAAATTCAGTATTAACATTGGTGCCTAAGCTGGGCGCTGTGGCTCATGCCTGTAATCCCAGCACTTTGGGACGCTGAGGCAGGCAGATCACGAGCTCAGGAGTTCAAGACCAGCCTGTGCAACCTTGTCACTACAAAAAATACAAAAATTAGCCAGGCATGGTGGCGCACGCCTGTAGTCCCAGCTATTAGGGAGGCTGAAGTGAGAATCCCTTCAGCCTGGGAGGCAGAGGTTGCAGTGAGCTTAGATCACACCACTGCATTCTAGCCTGGGGAGAGCCAGACCATGTCTCAAAAAAAAAAAAAAAAAAAAAGCAGTGATGCCTCAAGAAAGGCTGAAGGCAAGGGATGACATTGTCTCTTAGCTCAGTTATAACAGATGCCTGGAAGGGTTAAGCAATAGGTTTGCCAAGACCACCCCTCCTCTTAAAACCTGACAAGGTCAAATGGGAGCCTGTAAGCTTTGAAGAGTGACACTGCTCTGGGAGACGTTTTGTCATACAATATGATGATGAACCAGACCAACTGTCTTTTTCTTTTTTTTTTTTTTGAGACAGAGTCTCGCTCTGTAGCCCAGGCTGGAGTGCAATGGCGCGATCTCGGCTCACTGCAAGCTCCGCCTCCCAGGTTCATCCCATTCTCCTGCCTCAGCCTCCCAAGTAGCTGGGACTACAGGTGCCCACCACCATGCCCGGCTAATTTTTTGTATTTTTAGTAGAGACGGGGTTTCACTGTGTTAGCCAGGATGGTCTTGATTTCCTGACCTTGTGATCCTCCTGCCTCGGCCTCCCAAAGTGCTGGGATTACAGGCATGAGCCACTGCGCCCAGACCCAGACCAACTGTTAATGACTACGTGGGATTCTAGTAATGTGCTAGAATCTACCAACTCTTACTTTTCAGGTTACATCTACTACCATAATGTGATATGGTATAACACTAGTATTGTTGATCCAGCTATCTTATCTATATAAATCTTATAATACTGATATTGATGATCAAATGTATTGGGAGACTGAGTTAAAGCTTCCTGAGGATGTAATGCTGATAGAAAAACCACTGGCCCATGCTGCAGTTATTTGAATAATTAAACTAAACTAAACTAAGAAAAATGAAAGTCACTGGCCCTACAGAATCATGGTCTGGAACCTAAGAAGAAAAAAAATCACTGGACTGACAAAAAGCTGGATTTTGCTGACTATCAGTTTCTATGGTACACAGTTCTGTACAAGTTTATGATAAGGTACAATCTGCAGATCAAGGAGAGAAATAAGAAATCAAAGCAGTACAAAAATACAAAAGGTATGACATGGTTTTATAGGAAAAGTTAGTTGTTTCTTTAAACCTAGCTCTACTCCACACTGGCCCCAAATACTAGGTATATTCATACTGATATTATTTCTCTGTCTGTGATATAAATCCTACGCTAAATGTAGATGCTCACACAAATATGATCATTTTGGTGTAAGAGAGTCTTGGTCAAGGAGTGGCCTGTGCAGTAAAGGACTGACCTTGCCAAAGGAAAAGTTTGGCCCTTATCTAGCCCCAGAGAGGTAAACTCTAAGCACTCAGAATATCCTGCTTCATAATAATGTTTACCTGGGGGACTTCACCTATGCCAGACATACTATGCTAACAATGTGCTATGTGGTGGGGGCCTTGGACCACAAGATATTCTTGACCTCTGGAGGTGCTGGAATAAGGTCAGCCACACAGGCGGTCAGCCATGCTTACATAAACTCTAATCTCCAGTGAAAACCCTGGACACGAAGGTTTGGGTAAACTTAACTAGTTGGCAATACTGAATGTATGCTGCCATATATCACTGCTGGGAGAAGTAAGTGCTGTCTGCGTGATTCCACCAGGAGAGAGAACTGGAAGCTCAAGCCTGAAACTCTCCTAGACCCTGCCCTATGCACCTTTTCCCACTGGTTATTGGAATCTGTATCATTTTGCTATAATAAACTGTAACTGTGAGTATAACAGCTTTGCTGAATTCTGTGAGTCTTTCCAGTGAATTATGGAAATTGAGAGTGCTCTTGGAGACCTCCTGAACTACCTAAGTGAAAACAGTAATAAACAAATTTCCACAAAAATTTCTAGGACGAATACTCTTTTTTTTTTTTTTGAGACAGTCTTACTCTGTCACCCAGACTGGAGTGTAGTGGCATTATCTTGGCTCACTGAAACCTCCCTCAGAGGTTCCAGCTATTCTCCTGCCTCAGCCACCCTAGTGGCTGGGACTACAGGCATGCGCTACCACGCCCAGCTAATTTTTGTACTTTGAGTAGAGATGAGGTTCCACCATGTTAGCCAGGGTGGTCTCGAACTCCTGATGTCAGGTGATCCGCCTGCCTCGGCCTCCCAAAGCGCTAGGATTACAGGCGTGAGTAACCGCGTCCGGATGGACAAATACACTTATATCCAAGAACATGTATTAAAAAGTAGGTGTTGACATATAGGGGTGGGGTAGTAGGATGGGACAAGGTATAATCTAATACAGTAATCACTAGAATAAATTATCCACCATATAAATTTATGTTCTAGCAGATATGTAAATCAATATCCTAGTTCTAAATAAGAGGAGATGTTTGTCTTCTGCATTATAGTTATATTTTCTGTAAATCTAAAACTGTCCTAAAACAAAAGGTTTCTTTTAAAAAAATTCTAGTTACTTAAGAGTTACCACATATTCTATATATCCTGCTACACTCTAAGTTCCACATAAACTGAAGTCATGAATACTGTTGAGCATTAGTGCCTGGTACAGTATGCATAAACATTAGGCAAACATATGACCAAATATTTATGTTTTTAATCTAAAAGCTTGATTTAATTACTTAATCTTCTTTTGGTTTGCTTAAAGTACTTGCCATTTTACAATATAAGGTATTAATTATGAGCATATGCTATCAAAATCTAAAGTGGTAAAACAAAAGTATGACAAAGTTGTTTTTAAAAAACTTAAAGTAAAATAATTTGCCGTAGAATATAAAAAATTTCAAGTTAGATTATCAAGTCTCACATTAAGACACTATCTCGCCACATCCTAATATGTTTGAAGTAAAAAGGAAACAAAAATTCCAGAAAAGAAGCAAACATTAAGTTAAATATTATAAAAAGAAACTTACCTGACAAATTTTTTCCCAGATCTCATCACAGCCAGCTTTCTCCTGAAAACTCAGAGCCAAATCATAGTTCTCTGCTTCTGACCAAACAATTAATGTATCCTGTTTAAAAATAAATATTTCCATATCATCACACTAGAAAAGAGGTATCTACAAAGTACAAATAGAAATCAAGAGGACTGGAAACAACACAGCAATGACAAATGCCCCGATATGAGTAATCAATGTATATCTGATTGGCATTATTAGTAATATATTGGCAATACAATAGTAGCTTTGATACTAAAAATGACTGAGCAATTTTTTAAAACAAAAAATATTAAAACAGGCTAGTAGGCTCTGACTCATGTTACTCAAATAATATTTATAAAAAGGCTAGCCATTCTTGGCCAAAACTATAACAAAGACATTCCAACCATCTACTTTCTGTTGCTTCCAGAAAATCAGCTGTCCCATTCACTAACCACCTATGTATTTATCCTTCCCTTTGAGCTGGTTAAAATAAGCTAATACCTGAAAATAGGTTAAGGCTTAACTCTATTTTTGCCTTTTTTTTTTATATATCTGGAAAAGACTTCAGGATCTTAAGAAATGTAACACCATGGTGAAACAAAGCTATTTGCTCTTATTTACAAGTGCTACCAACAGCACCCAGTTCAGTACCTTAGCTTAGGGTGTAGAAAAATTAGCCCAAGGTTTAGGTAAGCAGTCTCCTAGAATGTCTTCAATTATATGCCTACCAAAGGGTTAGTTACATTTTTAGGAAAAGGTTGTCACCCCTTGTATTAGAAACCAAGGTTTGGATTTAAAATAAAACATAGACACACACACACACACACACATACACACAAATATACATATATATATTTTGTTGTTTCCTCCTTGAGACAGGGTCTTGCTCTGTGACCAGACTAGAGTGTAGGGGTACAATCACGACTCACTGCAGCCTCGACCTCCTAGGCCCCAGCAATCCTCCCACCTCAGCCTCCCAAGTAGCTGGGACTACAGGTGCACACACCACGCCACACTAATTTTTCGTAGAGACAGGGTTTCACCATTTTGCCCAGGTTGGTCTGGAACTCCAACTCCTGGGCTCAAGCGATCCGCCTGCCTCGACCTCCCAAAGTGCTGGGATTACAGGTGTGAGCCACTGCACCCAGCCTACACACACATTTTTAAACACTAAAAACACTATGCAATACTAAAATGAACAATCTTTTAAGGATATATAATAATGAAAGTTTAACGTGGCTAAAACTTTGATTTTCAAAAAAATACAAACTAAGTTTATACGCTACCAAAAATATAATCTACAAAACACCTTATATGTAATAACTTGTTCATTTAAGTAGTACTTATAAATATCATGACCTGACATGAATACAAAACTAAAAATCATCCCCAGATCCAAGACAAAGTGTTGAAAATGGGAACATTTCAGTACTTTTTGGCTTTAAACAGTAAATGAAAAATATTATTTAATTAATCCAGGCCTCAGATTAATACTTCTTATTTTCTGTGTAATCAGGTAAAAATAGCTAGAAATCTGTGTTCTACCTTCTTCCTGGCTATGCTTTTTGGGAGAAATTTGCTACCAGAGTTAGTCTAAAATTCTCTCAAGTCACTCCTTTGTCTAAAATCCTTCAGTTCTGGCCAGGTGCGAAGGCTCACACCTGTAATCCCAACACTTTGGGAGGCCAAGGTAGGCAGATCACAAGGTCAAGAGATGAAGACCATCCTGGCCAACATGGTGAAACCCCGTCTCTACTAAAAATACAAAAATTAGCTGGGCGTGGTGGCGCGTGCCTATAGTCCCAGCTACTCAGTAGGCTGAGGCAAAAGAATCGCTTGAACCGGGGAGGCAGAGGCTGCAGTGAGCCGAGATCAAGCCATTGCACTCCAGCCTGGCAACAGTGCGAGACTCCGTCTCAAAAAAAAAAAAAAAAAAAAGAAATCCTTCAGTTTCTCTCATCATCCACAAAAGTTTTCAAACCTTTTTTTAAAAAAACCAGAAACCCTTCTACAAACAAAAATTCAGTAAGAACCTCCATATATAAAAAAAAGAAATAAATAGAGCTACTCTGGTCAGTGCTGGTTAAAACACCAGGGTACCCACTCAGGCTCCCTACATTCCCAAGTCATCTTAGAGCCTTCCTCAAAATAGCTTCACAAACAGTGATCTCCAAAACATTTTTGACTGCAGTTTAATTCGCTTATTATATACAAAAATATATTAGTATATTAATACATTATAAAACACATGCTAAAATAGAAAAGTCTTAAAGGAAGATAACATAAGCAAAATTTTTAAATGTTTGAACTGTAATGGCTCCGTATCATTAGTTAGTATTAAGACCCAATATACACTTAAGGCATAGTATACCCAAACATAACAGTGGATATAAATCCATATTTAAAATTATCCTTTGGTAGAATGCAATGGCTCAAGTCTGTAATCTTAGCATTTTGGGAGGCTAAGGCAAGTGGATCACTTGAGGCCAGGAGTTTGAGACCAGCCTGGGCAATGCAGTGAGACTTCTATATTTAATTAAAAAAAAAATTATTGGCCAGGCACAGTGGCTCACACCTGTAATCCCAGCACTTTGGGAGGCCGAGGCGGGCGGATCACCTGAGGTGAGGAGTTTGAGACCAGTATGGCCAACATGGTTGAAACCCCATCTCTACTAAAAATACCAGAATTAGCCGGGTGTGGTAGCAGCCACCTGTAATCCCAACTACTCGGGAGGCTGAGGCAGGAGAATCGCTTGAACCCGGGAGGTGGAGATTTCAGTGAGCGAGATTGCATCATTGCACTCCAGCCTGGGGGACAAAAGTGAGACTTTGCCTCAAAAAAAAAAAAAAAAAAAAGTAAAAAAAATTATCTTTTTAATAACCGAACTTTTTGAGAGGGGTAACTTCTTGTCAGATCTATTACATCATTGTTTCTGCTTTGTCCCATGGTTGACAGTTTACACTAGCAGTAAATGTAAATTTAACCATTATCTAGTTCATTTGTACTTATATCATCATCAACCCCTTTTAAGGCACCTATCCATTTTGTTTGAGTTAGGATAGTTTAAGTTACAAAATATTTGCAGTTATCTCCACATATAGGCTACAATAATTCACAAAAGTTGGGTATGAGACTATAGAAATAAAAAAACAGTTTCTCATACTACACTATCACAACACAAATCACTGCTGTCACCTTCATCACCAAGAAGTGTGAGGATTTCTCCCCACCAATAATCAATCAGTTCCATATTAGACACCAGGTGGGTGTTCTCCAATTCACCTTCGACACTGTTTACCCGGAGACACTGTCAGATACCACAGTTGAGGGCTCAGCCCTACAAGACTGCCCCCTACTTCTAATGCCAATTGCAAGCCTGCGTTGTTTTACCTGTTTCCAACCAAACGGCTATAAATCAGGCTTCCCATGACTCCCTCCTTGGATTTGATTAATTTGCTAAAGTAGCTCACAAAATGCAGGGAAACAGTTATATCTACCAGTTTATTATAATATAAAGGATATTTTAAAGGATACAAATGAAGAGAGGTACAGAGCAAGGTATGGGGTAAGAGGCTCAAAGGTTGCATTACCTCCCTGGGCACATCATCCTCCAGGAACTTCCACTTAGTTATCTGGGAGCTCTCCAAACCCAGTCCTAATGGGCTTTTATGGAGGCTTCATTAAACAGGTATAATTAAGTAAATCACTGGCGACTGGTGATTAATAAACCCTCAGCCCCTCTCCCCTTCTGGAGGATGGCGGATGGGGTTCAAAGCCGCAATCTTCTAACCATGCCTTGGTCCTTCTGGTGACTAGATCTATAGATAGTACTATCTACAGTCAGGTCAATGGATATTACTAACAGAATGAAATCCAAAACCCTTTATCCAGCCATCCAATGCCTTTTCCATTTTGGCTACAATCAATGTTTGGTCCAGGTAAACATTGAAAGAGAAGGTCCAGGTAAACAACGAAATCTGAATTAAGGTAACTGAGCACCTTTTCATCATCACTTTCTTTTGCTCTTCTTTTTTTTGATACAGAGTCTCACTCTGTTGCCCAGGTTGGAATGCAGTGGTGCAATCTTGGCTCACTGCAACCTCCACCTCTGGGTTCAAGTGATTCTCCTGCCTCAGCCTCCTGAGTAGCTGGGATTACAGGCGTGTGCCACCACACCGGATTAATTTTTGTATTTTTAGTAGAGACAGGGTTTCACCATGTTGGCCAGGCTGGTCTTGAACCCCCGACCTCAGGTGATCTGCCAGCCTTGGGCTCCCAAAGTGCTGGGATTACAGGTGGGAGCCACTGCACCCAGCCCCTCATTCTTAACTTTAAATTCTTTTCTCTGATCTTGTCAAAATACCAGAAACTAAATGGGGTTTATATTTAGAGTTCTTTTCCAATGCTGAGGACTGACCCTGGGAAACAGTCAACGGTTACTGATCTTTCTTCTTCCTGATTACCAATAACTGATCCATCACATGCCCTGTCAATTCTACCTTCAATAAAGATCACAAAATCCATCCATCTCTGTCCATCTCTATCACCTCAATCCAATCCAACATTATCTTTTGCTTGGACTATGCAGCAATCTCCCAATGAGTTTCCCACTTATTGCTTCTCTTCAATTCCACAGATTGATACTATTAAGTATTTTGGATCATGTCATCACTTTGCATAAACTCTTCAAAAGCTTACTTTAAAAATCCCAACTTGGCTGGATATGGAGGCTCATGCCTGTAATCCCAGCACTTTTGGAGCCCAAAGAGGGAGAATTGTTAAGCGCAGGAGTTTGAAACCAGCCTGGGCATCATAGTGAGACCTCATCTCTACTAAACATTAAAAAAATTAGCCAGGTATGGTGGTATGCGCCTGCAGTCCCAGCTACTCAGAAGGCTGAGGTGGGAGGATCGCACCTAGGAGGTCAAGGCTGCGTGAGACTTAATCATGCCACCGTGCTTTTGGCTGGGAGACAGTCTCATCTCAAAACCACCGCCCTGCCTCCAAAAAAATTCCAAACGAAAAGATAGTGACCAGCCAGAAGCAGCACTCGATGAGGTATTTCTGGATGAATGAATATATGTGGTCAGATCAACAAGACTCAGTCTTGAGCTCTGTTCTTTTCTCAATTTATAGCTATTACCTCAAAGGAGGTTACCTTGTAGCTAAAAATTCATAATTCATCTGATTTTTTTTTTTAAAAGGCTGGAGTGCAGTTGGCTATTCACAGGTGTGATCATCACGAACTATAGCCTCAAACTCCTGGTCTCAAGTGATCCTCCTGCCTCAGCCCCGAAAAGCTGGGACTACTACTGGCATGCTAGGCCTTTTATGATTCTTAAATTAGAATCTCCTGCCGGAAAGTCTCACCCTATCTCTATTCCCAGATGTTCATTTTAAGACCTTTTCATGGGCTGGGTGTGACGACTCATGTCTGTATTCCCAGCACTTTGGAAGGCCAAGATAGGTGGGCTGCTTGAGCTCAGGAGTTCAAGACCAGCCTGAGCAACATGGCATAATCCCATATCTACAAAAAATTAGCCAGGCATGGTGTGCACACCTACAGTCCCAGCTACTCAGGAGGCTGAGGTGGGAGCCTGAGCGCAGGAAGTTAAAGCTGCAGTAAGCCATGATCACGCCACTGCACTCCAGCCTCGGCAACAAAGCAAGACTGTGTCTCAAAAAAAAAAAAAACAAAAAAAACAAAAAAACTCTTTCCATTTATTTTACTGTATGTAACTTCAAAGCCCGGATGGAAAAGAAAAAAAAAGCAAAGCACAAAACAGTATACAGTATGCTACCAGTTATACCAATAAAAGGGAAAAAATACATACAATTGTATGCATATTTGCTTACATATGCATACCTCCAGCAAGATATATAAGAAACTGGTGATGTCAGTGGCCTCTAGCAAGGGAAACTGTACGGACAGAATCTGGCGTGGGAAAGAGACTTCAATAAATACCTTTTGAATTTTTAACTGGGCTAATATATTACACACTAAAAAAAATTTTTTTTAATAAGCCTCAAACCAAAAGATTAATGTAAACCTGCTTAACTTCCCACTTTCTGGAAAGAACCATCACCTTCCTGGCCAGACTCAAAAACACTATCAGTGACCTTTGATTCCTTCTCTTTAATATTTAATCATTTACTAAATTTTCCAGCACTTTCTGGAAAATATACTGGAGCTCTGTTCCTTCAAGTCCATTTACCGTGGTGGAATAGACTTTCATTTTTTGTATCTGAATTATTGCAAAAGGTCTTGCTACTCAAAGATCTTCTGCTCCACCCTATCCCTCCTCCCCAATTTATTATTCATGACATTGCCACACTCATTTCTTTAAACACAGTATCACTTTAGGCCCCTACTCAAGAACCTGTAATGTCCCCTTCTGAACCTGTGTATTATCATATTTGGGATTGGTGGTAGGAGGGGGAGAAACCACTGCTACAAATAGGCTTAATACCTTTTGTAGCAAGTGTATTTCCTTTCCTATCACAGTTCCTTCCACTACCACCACCAAGAATGAAGTTTTTCTTAATGATTCCAGCTTATATTAACCTCTTCCTTAATTTTCTACTGCTCTAAGTCTGTGGAAAATGCAAGTTTACTTTTTATATTTTGTGTTGGCACATACCTGCTGTATAATCTCAGTCAAGAATCTTACCCTTTCTGTACCTTTGTTGCCTCATGTGTGAAATGCTTTCACGGGCTTTCAGTGAAGACTGTGGTAAAACACTGTTATAAGCTATCTTATTATCATTCTTTATCTGTTTCATCTGTTACATCCTGCCTCCAAATAAAACTGCAATGAGGATTTTCTTAAACCCAATTAACACACAATTGTGTTAAATAGGTACACATTCTTATGACTCTGGTTTTTTTTTTTTTTTTGAGAGAGTCTTCCTCTATCGCCCAGGCTGGAGTGCGGTAGCACAGTAACAGCTCACTGAAGCACTGACCTCCTGGGCTCAAGCAATTCTCCCACCTCAGATTCCCAAGCAGCTGGGACTACAGGTGTGTGTCACCATGCCCAGCTAATTTATATTTTTTGCAGTGAGAGTCTCAGTATGTTGCCCAGGCTGGTCTTGAACTCCTGGACTAAAGTGATCCTCCTGCCTCAGCCTCCCAAAGTGTTGAGATTACAAGTGTGAGCCACTGTGCCTAGTATGACTCTTGTTTTTTATTAAGATATGTTGCCCAGGCTGGGGTGCAATGGCTACGCACAGGCACAATCATAGCACCCTACAGCCTCAAACTCCTGGCCTTAAGTGATCCTCCAGCCTCAGCCTCCCAAGGAGCTGGGACCACAAGCACACGCCACCACACCTGGCTTTGACTCTGCTTTTGATTTAGTCAGTATCAGTGGGACTGATTTGAAGTAACTTAAAATTTCTGTCACACCTATCAGGTATGTTATTTCATGTTGTATCATATAATGATTCTCTTCTCTTTCCAACATGTTTAAATGCTTAAGTTTATTGGGTAAGTACATCTTCTTCCATTAACGACTTCAGTACTATGCACAGTAAGGAAGAAAGTGATGTGAATCAATAATGACTTTTCAATATCCAGTCATATGACATTCAGCTTGACTCATTCTAACTCCTTTTAGGCTCACAATTTGGTACTTCATTTATGAAAGAAAAGATGTATCTTGAGCACACAATTTAGTAGTTGGCTCATTTTAAAACTATAATGTTAAAAGAAGAATGTTAAACATTCCCCTCTGAATTTACTCAATTTTTTTTTTTGAGACAGAAAAATCGCTTTGTCTCTCCACCTGGAGTGCAGTGGTACAATCATGGCTTACTACAGTCTCGACCTCCGAAGCTCAAATGATCCTCCCGTCTCACCTCCAGAAGTAGCTGGCACTATAGCTGCGCACCACCACACCTGGATAATTTTTGAATTTTTTTTGGTAGAGACAGGGATCTTGCTATGTTGTGCAGGCTGTTCCCGAAATCCTCAGCTCAAGGGATCCTCCTGCCTTGGCCTTCCAAAGTGCTGAGATTGCAGGTGTGAGCCACCATGCCTGCCATAGTCAACATATTTTAATACAGCAAAATGGCCTATAAACATCTCATTCACTTACTCATTAAGTTTTTAATAAAAAACCCGCTAATGGAAACAAAAAATTTAACCCATTACTGCAGTCCCAGCTACTGGAGAAGCTGAGATGGGAGGATCACTTGAGCCTAGGAGTTCAAGCTCAGCCTGGGCATCATAGCAAGATCCCATCTCTGAAAACAATTTTTTAAATTTTAACTCCACTACTGAACAACAGACTTCATGTGATATTTGGAAATTAATAACTTTCTAGACTAATTTATTGAATAACCTAAATGATGCCTTTTACAAAGGATAATTCTAACAAACATAGAAAAATGTTACTGTATTTGGAAATCTCAATTTGTGTAACTTCAAATAACTACAAATTAAGCTGAATACAGCCACTGCTCACACCTGTAATCCCAGCACCATGGAGGTGCTGAAGCAAAAGGATCACTTGAGGCCAGGAATTCAAATCAGCCTGGGCCACACAGTGAGACCGTCTCTACAAACACAACAACAACAAAGTTTTGTAATAAATTTTTTAAAGGTGCAAATTTAGCCTGGACAACATAACGAGACCCCATCTTTACAAATTTTTTAAAAAATTAGTAAGGTTGGCCGGGCTTGGTGGCTCACACCTGTAATCCCAGCACTTTGGGGGGCCGAGGCGGGCGGATCACGAGGTCAGGAGATCGAGACCATTCTGGCTAACACGGTGAAACCCCATCTCTACTAAAAAATACAAAAAAATTAACTGGGCGTGGTGGCGGGCGCCTGTAGTCCCAACTACTTGGGAGGCTGAGGCAGGAGAATGGTGTGAACCCGGGAGGCGAAGCTTGCAGTGAGCAGAAATCGCACCACCACACTGCAGCATGGACGACAGAGCGAGACTCCATCTCAAAAAAAAAAAAAAAATTAGTCAAGCATGGTGGCTCACATCCATAATCCCATCTACTCAGAAGGCTGAAATTGGAGGATCGCTTGAGCCCAGGAGGTTGAGGCTGCAGTGAGCTGTGATCAAACCACTGTACTCCAGCCTAAGGGACAGAAGAAGACCCTCTCAAAAAAATTATTTTCAAAAGTGCAAATTGAAGATTTGGGTGAAAATATGAAAAACCATGTCTATTACAAAGAAACTAAGTTTAACATAACCCCTAAATGGCCCTATGATTTCAATTAGAAAAGTGTACTCAATTTAAACAAAAATAAACAGGTAACATCATTCACACAAGTTTTTCACTCTTCTTCAGTGTTTCCATATTCTTCTCATTACCAGAGTTCTCTTATACACCTGAATGTTATGTTGCCAAAAAAAAAAAGCCCAACGAAAAAATAAACTATTACAAAACCCCAAATAGTATATTATTTAAATGTGATTACAGAAAACATTTCCAAATGGTGTAATTTTTTTAAATAATGCATTTTTTCCAATACTTTATACTAAGTGTATACAAAAATGCTAATTATCTAGAACTAATTTTCTAGTAGAGCAACATTATACATGAAATTACCTACATATCCTAATGATTCTAAAGTATTCACAGAATCACTATGTATTTTTAACTTATGTTGGGTGACTATTTTAAATACAAACCTACTCCATAATGTGATGTTTCCAAAGTAACAACAGCTAAAAGATCTTATATACAATCTGAGAAGAATCCATTATTAAACCTAAATTTGTAGGGAACTGTTTATGACTTAGTTACATTTAAGAACAAAGTTCCTGATAATTATATTCATGCAGATAAGGGAAATATGGTAAAAAAAAAAAAAAAATTAGTATTTCTTTCCCCACAAAGAAGCAAGCAAACAAAAACAAACTAAAAGTGATCATCTGGTAAAAACTCGGTATAAAGACAGAGATTAAGAGCTGCCTGGCTGACTGAGAAATTAAATTTACTTAAATGTCTACCTTACAATGTCTAAGGTATAGGAAACATCTTCAGGTTTTCAATTCAGGACAAATGTTTAATTTGCTTCTCCATCAAAAAAGACACACAATATTTTCTAAACAGAGAAAAAAGCTATGAATTGAATATTGAAAATTTTAAAGTATTTCAAATAACTGATTAAGAATGTGTTATATACATAATTGTTCTAACAGTAAGACTTTGTAATAATAAGCTGCACAACAGACAGAATTTTATTCCTCCAACTACGAAGTACTTGTTTCTGGGCATCCAAATTTTCATAAACCTTGAAGTGGGCACTGACGCTGTAAATGTAATCCTAAAATAATTTATCTTCCTTCAAAAATCTCTGCCATCGTGACTTTACATACCACACACAAAAAAGAATACCTGGAAATAATTCAAATGTATAACAACAAGTGTATGTCATACATAAGAATACTATACAGAGTTTAAAAAGAAAACTAGATCTACATTGTTAACATGAACGAATATTCAAAATGAATGTGTGAAAAATGCAAGCTGCAGAATACATGTAAGAGTATGACATCCACTGTGTAAAGTTTAAAAACACACAACAGACTACATATTATTTATGGATACATACATATGCAGAAAAGGTATAAAAGCATGTACACAAAGAATACACATCAACTTCAGAATAGTGGTTACCTATGTAGGGGATGGAGAATGTAAACAACGGGATGGATACAAACAAGCTTTAACTCTATCCATAATGTTCAATATTACAAAAATATTTGAAACAAATATGGCGTAACATTAACATTGTTAAATCTGGTGGTGTTACAGTAGACACCGATTATTCTCTGTACTTTTCAATTTTAATATATTTCATAATAAAAACAAAAACATTCACAGAATAAAAAAGATTGAATCACTGCTACCATTTTCAGATTAATCAGGCGTGCTAAAATACAATACACATTTTCTTTCCCAAATAAGACAATATTAACAGAAGATGTTACATACTTGGTAATGTACATTTTTATAAAGTATCCATTGATTACTATATTAAAAATACACAACAATTAAAGAGCAGGATTTAATGCTTCTACTTCAAAACCTCTACCTTTACTTGAGTCAAAGGATTTAATTTCACACCACAAACAGGCTTTCCTTGCTTTAAGAGTATCCCTTTGAATTTTGTTCTATGTCATTTCCTTTAAACGTGACTCAGAATAAAAGGTTTCATGTACAAGGTATAGAAGAGACTTGGCTAACTACAGTTAAATAATACTAATAAATACATCTTAGAATAAACCGACAGTGGCTCAATCCAAAAATGATAATTATCACCAGTACAAAAACTTTTTTTCAGTCTGAAACTTTTAACCTGCAAGAGAAATACACATGATCTTTGTTTACCAAACATGTTTTTTTCTTGTCAGGAAAGCTTTCCCACCTTTGTCAGATTAATACTTCCTTGATCACAGATGAAGTCTTTCAAATTAAAGATAAACAACTACTTGCCTGTTGTTTCTGATATGCAGTATTTGGATTTATCTTTGATTCCAAGAGTAGTGATCCTGAAAGATAAAAAATAATACATCATAAGTCTCAAATGATAAAACCCTGAATAAAAATTAGAATACACATTAAAGCCGGGCGCAGTGGCTCACGTCTGTAATCCTAGCACTTTGGGAGGCGGGCAGATCACGAGGTCAAGAGATCCAGACCATTCCAGCCAACATGGTGAAACCGTCTCTACTAAAAATACAAAAATTAGCTGGGCGTGGTGGCGCATGCCTGTAGTCCCAGGTACACGGGAGGGTGGGGCAGGAGAATCGCTTGAGAGAGAGGGAGAGGAGGCAGAGGTTGCAGTAGCCCAGATCGCGCCATTGAACTCCAGCCTGGCAACAGAGCAAGACTCTGTCTCCAAAAAAAAAAAAAAAAAAAAAAAAATACACATTTAAACCCCGCCCCCCGCCCCCGCAAACTTTTCAAGTCTTTTTACCGAGTTGGACATCTTAATAAAATGTATTCGAATTCACATTTTCTCTCCAAATCTAGGCTTCACATTTAATCTAAAATATTTCACCCTATTCCCATACACCCTTAAAGGAAAAATTAATCTAAAACCAACAATCAAACCAAGGAATGAGGAGACTAGATGACTATTAAAATTTTATTGAAATAAAAATTTTAAGGTCTAAATGACCACTTCAAGCCATTCGTTTTAACAAAAGTTGTTTTATTGCATTCCCAGTTTAACAAATAATGCAAATTACAAAACAAAAACATCATGACAGGGATTAAATACTTAGTATAGAAATTACAGTGCTGCATTTATCCTTTCCTCATTAAGAACAAAAGAACACCTTCTGTAGAAGTGATGACTATTTAAAATAAAAGGGAACAAGCAAGAATACAAAATATGTCAAGACTAAACCTAAGATTATTTTTCTAACTGCCTATATCAGTTGTTCAAATCAAGTCCAGATTATACTATAAAAGGCATTTTAATTACGGCTCTACATTTTGTAATTTAAAATACTTCACATGACTACAATAAACCAAAGAACACAGCAGTTTACAACCTGCTTTGGTGTCCCAACTTGCTTAGATTGTAAGGCATTCACTTTCTCATAGCGCCTTCTACAAAGGCAGCCCGAAGAAATGCAGACTACAGATGTATGTGCTTGTGTGTCCATGTATCGTGGCAACAGTCAGCAATACAGCCAGGAAAACGTGCCTTTCGGTTTTCCCCAGCACCTGTCGACTGTGGCACCTGGGGCCCGTTGGTACAATTTTTTTTTTTTAAAAACACTCGGAAAGAAAAGTTTCCCTAAACCGTTTGTACTAGACGTATAATGGATAAGTAAATAAAGGGGGAGGAAGGTGTCAGCTCCTAGGGCGACATCAGTACCTAGTCTCTCACTACTTCCTCCCTTCTCTCTCACACTCTCCCCTCTTCAAAAGAGGAGGGACTGGAAAGGAAGGAGTCCAATCCTTAAGAGAGATGGGAGAAGGACAGAGAGTCTCGGTCTCCGAGGATAAGTCCAGTCAAAAGTACAGTACTTTGTTTTTGCCGTACACAAGAGCCAGTTCAGAACCAACGCGCTGTCCCGAAGGAGTAGCAACGGTAACGGGCCCAGGGCCCTAAACCCAAGCTGTGCCCCAACCAGAGGCACTATCCCCTATTCTACAGTTCCGATAACCTTACCGTCGGACTCTGCCCGAACCAGCAGCGACATCCCCTTGAGCTCCTCCACGTAAGTGGAGGAGACGTGCCCGGTGCCTCGGTCGTCCCATTGCCGGTCTTCGTTCAGGGTATAGACCTTCACTCGCCGCCGCGTATCCGACATGGTGGCTGCTGTCTCCACCGCTCTAGCCGCCGCCTCCTCGCTTACCTCGTCCGCGCTCCTCACTCTTAGGAGACGGTAAAGGCAGTAGTGGCGGTGGCGGCGGCGGCGGCTTCGGAGAGGCCCGAATTCACCATGGCTCCAAAGGTTCAGCCGCGAGAAGGGGTGACAAGAGCCACTGAGGCCTCTCCGCCCGGAGGCCCCGTTACCTCTCACTTCACCCGCGCATACACCCACTCTCCCGTCTCTTTGCCCCCCAGGGCTCGCTTGCTCTCCCGCCGCCGCGGTAACTACTACAGATCCGCCATCTTGTAACCCGACTCTCTCTGCCTTTCTCTTCCTCCTCCAGCAGGCTCGCACGGGCTGTCCTAGCAGGGGCTACGGCGGCCGACAAGTCCCATGAGCAGCACCTCCGCTTCTGCACGCGCTTCCCAGGCCGGAATGCTCGGCGCTCTCGCGAGGAGGGGTACCGACTGGGGCGGGAGTACTTCGGCGAGACTTCCTCCTCTTTCGGCCCGACTTCCTCCTCTTTCGGCCCCGCCTCTTGGCGCGGGGTCGCAATTGGGCGGGAGGTTCTCGCGATCTCCCCGTCCACGCCTGCGCCGCGAGAGGCCGCTAGGTGGAAGGGGACTTCGGTTCCGCACGTCGTCATGTTGTTGGATGGCACCAGTATGTGACGTTCCTAGGAACTTAGCTCTGAGGAAAAAACAAAGCAAACCGGGGAAGTACGTAGCCTTGAACCGGAGTAACCAGGGACAGAAAGGAAGGAAAAGGGTTTCATACCTTCACGGAACGACGCTCACTTCGTCCGCCTGAGGAGGAAAAATAAGTTTAAACCTTTCTGTGAAAAAGAACGTGGAGCCCTTTCTGCCGAATGGAAACCCGCTAAACCCCGTTATGGAGTCTGCTACAATTAAGCATCTAACCAGGAATTGTCTATGGACACAACTCTCCAGGCAATTCATGCAGAAAGTGTGTTGACGATTTCCTGTTTCTTGCAGAGCGCTTCACCGTTAAGGCTCTTAGTAGCTGGCGATTGTAAAGCACATTTTCCGCTTCATGAAAATACAGTGCTCTTCTTGTGTTTGTAACCTTGGAAAGTAAGTCTGCTATGATAAGTTTAGGGAAGTGGCGGGGAGCTACTTTCCTAACATATCTGTGATTGTTTTGATACTTCTCAGTTTCTCGCGGGCATTTCCTGCGTTCTCTATAGGGCTCTCTTGCACTGAATAAGGAAAGGAGGAATTCTCTCTGCATTGAGGCTATTATCGCACATTGTGCGGTGGATATAGTCACGCGCTGGGTCGTAGTAGCGTGTCGTTTATTTCAGTCCAGCTCACTCTTGGTAGAATCCCTTTATTCGTTTTGTTGTTTTTGATAGTCTCTCTCTGCTTCCCAGGCTAGAGTGCAATGGCGCTATCTCGACTCACTGTAGCCTCCGCCTTGAGGGCTCAAGCGATCCTCTCACCTCAGCCTCCCGAGTAGCTGGGACCGTAGACGCCTGCTCCCCATCCCCGCTATATTCGTTCTTTAATACAGTCTCTCAGCTTGTTCAGCTGCCACTTCTGTGCAGCTCATTAGCCTGATCGGTGAAAACTAGGCGAGACGCGCACACTGACCCTGCAGTGCATCTTGGGAGTTGTAGTCATAACTAATCAATGGTCTTGTTAAAACGTGCTTATGTTTTGACCAGATCGCTTAAGTGTGGACACCCTTCAGCAGTACACTACAACGTGGGTCAGTGTACAGAACACATGCTGATAGAAATAATTTCAAAATCTGGATTCATAGTTTTTTTTTTTAATCTAGAGACCTCAGAAAATGTACTTGAAGAAAATCATCATAATATAATACATAACAATAGAGCCAATTAATTGATGTGATGAAAGTGGACAAAATGTATTTTGACCTCAGAGAAAATAACATTTCTGTCTTGGAAGAGTCAGAGAATGCTTCACACAATTTTTGAGCCTGATGTTAGACTCTCCAGCCTTCTGTCCAAGCCTCACCCTTTGGTTACTCCCCAGGAAGACTGAACTTGGGAAGAGGATTGTGCAGACCCTGGAGTCAGGCTTGGCGTTTGGGATAGGGAATACTAGAGTGCCCACAGCATGGTCTGGAAAAGGGAAAGTGGGCTGCAGGTGGCTACAGTCCCATGATTCCATGGATTTCAGACCCCTCCAAAGCACAGGGCTCAGTGCTTATCCAAGTCTGAGGGCCCCCCATAACCACATCTTCCCCAGCAGATGTTCTTTGCTTCAGGCAGTCATCAAAGTTCCACTTCAAAGAGTTGCTAACCAAATAAGCCCACAATCTTCCTTTTTTGTTGTTTTGAATAAGTAATGCCTTTACACATATGAAATTAAAAAGAGAGGCCGGGCATGGTGGCTCACGCCTGTAATCCCAGCACTTTGGGAGGGCGAGGTGGGCAGATTGCCCGAGGTCAGGAGATCCAGACCAGCCAGGCCAACGTGGTGAAACCCTGTCTCTGCTAAAAATACAAAAATCAGCTGGGCGTGGTGGTGGGGGCCTGTAATCCCAGCTACTTGGGAGGCCGAGGTAGGAGAATCGCTTCAACCTGGGAGGCAGAGGTTGCAGTGAGCCAAGATTGCACCACTGCACTCCAGCCTGGGGGACAGTGTGACAGACTGTCTCAAAAAAAAAAAAAAAAAAAAAGGCAAAGATATATAGTGAAAACTAAGTCTTCTTTTAGTCTTTGTCTCCTGCCACTCATAGAATTTTCCTCTTGGAATCACCTCTATTCCATTTTCCTGTGTATGTTGCCAGAGCAGGGCTGGCTTCATGGTGGTGACCTGTACAGATAGGCACTTGGTTTAATGTTTTGCTGTCACTAACTTGAAATTCAGGAAAGTTTCTGGACAAGGGCCCTGCGGTTTTATTTTGCACTGGGCCCACAAAGTATGTATCTAGTCCTATTCCAGAGATATTCTATGCATATACAGGTAATTATATGTAGATATGTATGTAGTGGTCCAGTAGTGGTCCAGGGCCTGTTAGGAACTGGGCGGCACAGCAGAAGGTGAGTGGCAGGGGAGCCAGCATTTCGGCCTGAGCTCTGCCCCCTGTCAGATGAGCAGGGGCATTACATTCTGGTAGGAGTGAGAACCCTATTGTAAACTGCACATGCAAGGGATCTAACCTGTGCACTCCTTATGAGAATCCAACTCCCCCTTTCCATGGAAAAATTGTCTTCCACAAAACCAGTCCCTGGTGTCAAAAAGGTTGGGGACCTCTGTAGTAGGCTACCATCTAGGTTTGTTTAGGTACACTCTATGATGTTCACACAACAAAAAATCACCTGATGATGCATTTTTCAGAAAGCATCCCCATTGTTAAGGGACACATGACTGTAATGGAATACTATTCTTTTCCTTCCTTTTTATTTTTTGTGGAGACAGGGTCTCTACATGTTGGTGCCCAGGCTGGTCTCACACTCCTGAGCTTAAGGGATCTGCCTGCTTTGACCTCCCAAAGTGCTGGGATTACAAGTGTGAGCCACCATATCTGAACCCCTGTCCCCC
The DNA here is from genome assembly GCF_000001405.40 of Homo sapiens. NCBI lineage: Eukaryota > Metazoa > Chordata > Mammalia > Primates > Hominidae > Homo > Homo sapiens. The sequence goes on from NC_000002.12 coordinate 55,620,825, forward strand.
ACTTTTTTTTTCTTTCTTTTTTTCCATACACAGTCCAGGCTGGAGTGCAGAGGTGTCATCTCGGCTCACTGCAACCTCCGTCTCCCGGATTCTAACGATTCTCCTGCCTCATCCTCCTGAGTAGCTGGGATTATAGGTGTCCGCCACCACGCCCAGCTAATTTTTGTATTTTTAGTAGAGATGGGGTTTCACCATGTTGGTGAGGCTGGTCTCAAACTCTTGACCTCATGTGATCCACCTGCCTCAGCCTCCCAAAATACTGGGATTACAGGGGTGAGCCACCGTGCCCAGGACAGCCTTTTTTGGGTCAGTGTGTATATAGAGCTAACTCATTCTACTTAATGGCTACATAGTATCCCACTGTGATAGCCGCAAAAGGCAGACAAATCCTAGGCAGACAGGGGCAGGTCCCTGGTGAAACCCTTCAAGCTGAGGACAGTTTAAAGGCTAGCCACAAGACCAGGATAAATCCACAGACCAGATTGAGAACCTCTCTTCCCATTTGGCGTGCTTTCTTCTGATTGATCCCCACCCTTCACCTATTTTACACATATCCTTTCCTAATTGTTTTTTTACACTGTTGTACCTACCTTTGAGTGGTGCTGTTGTTTTAGCCTTTTTTGCATACTCACAAACCAATCAGCATGCACGCCTTCATTCTGAGCCCATAAAAGCTGTGGACTCAGCCGCACTGAGAGAGAGACCACCTGACTTTGAGTGAGGGACCACCCTTGCATCCTCTCTCTCCTGAGAGCTGTTTCATAGTTCAAATAAAACTCTTCTCCACCCTCCTCACCCTTTGATTGTCAGCGTAACCTCATTCTTGGACGCTGAAGAAAAATTCGGGACCCACCAAACGCAGATACAAAGAAGGCTGTACACACTGTGGCCCTTTGCCCTCTGCTGGTGGAGGGCAACCGTCCCACACAACGCGATGGGAAGCAGCAGTGGGGCAGAGCCAGTCCTGAAGCCACGGGCCTGAGTGGGGCAATGGGACTGATAGAGCTGTTAACATGCCACTGTCCGTTGGCCTGCAGACGGCAGAACTAAAAGAGTGCTTAGCATACTGTAACACCTCTGGGGCTTCAGGGTCATGAGCACCCCTGTTTGGGTGCCACCACATTTCCCTCAATGTGACACACCTGGTCCAGCCACAAGCCCCGCACAGAGCCCACTCCTGCCCTGTACTCGTTCACTCACACACCCCCTCCTGCCAGGGGCTGAGGCCATGGTGGCTGCAGGATTCGTGCCTGAGCACAAGCCAGACACATCCTGGTGGGCCGAGTAGTTGGGGTGTTGCTGGCCGGAGGTCTCCAGCTGTCAAAGTGGCCAAGAAAAATCCTGCATCAACTGTACAAATGTACCCTAATTTATTTAACTCATTTATTGTATATTTGTGTCATTTCCAATGGTTCGTAATTTCAAACATATGATTGTGCAAAAGTTGTTTTATGTGTGCCAATATCTTTGTAGGTTAATTTCCTAGAGCAAAGTTTTTCAACCTAAGCACCACTGACATCTGGGGCTGGATAATTTGTTGTGAGGGGCTGTCATGTGCGTTATACGATGTATCCTATCCACCCCTATATGTTATGAAAAATATTTCAGTGGCCAGAATCCTTTCAATGACTTAAAAAGCCCTTTTCATCCTGCTTCTGCCTACCTCTCCAGCTGCATCTTAGTACCCGCACACTCTTTTTTCATACTCATGCCCCTGCTTGCTGTCTTTGCACAGGTATTCTCTTTGTCTGGAGCTTTCTTCCTCACCAATCATCTCCTAATAACTCCCATTTTATCTTTTAAATGTTGCCACTATTATCACTTCCTTGGAGGAGCCTTCTTGGACTGCCTATTTCAAATCCCCTGGGTTTTTTTTTTTTCTTTGACAAAAGCCACATTCGAACAAATCCCCCTTGGAATGTTACAATTACCAAAAAATCCAATTTAAACTAGTTTAAATGATAAGAGAATTTATTGGCTCACATAAATGAGAAGTCTGAAGATAAGGTGAACCTCAGGTTGATTTGAGTGACTTAACAGTATCAGCAGGAACTTGATTTCCTTCTACCTCTCAATTTTCTTTCTGATGTCAGATTCATCCTAAGGCTTACTCCTTTTGTATCATAAAATGGTGGCCAGGATCTCCCAAGGTTATGTAGTTCTTTGTCCATATCAAAAGAGAGTTTCTTTCACATATTTCACAGTTTCAATGTGATTAAATTAATTTAGGTCACATGTCCGCCCCTAAACCTAGAGTTTTGTGGTCTAGAGAATGTCAAGCACTGATTGGCCAGGGCAAATCAAGGCCTATCCTTGGAACTGGAAGTTACGTTAATCCCACCTAAATCCCATGAATGTTACTCTATGAGGTATCGGTAAAATCGATGCTAGGAATACAATCAGAATCCATTATATCCTATTACACGCTTATAGCACCATGCACCCCTCCATTGTAGCACCTGTCATACTTGTAGCTTTATATTTATTTGTATGATTTCTGATTAATAACTGTCTTCTCATCCAGATGAAAAACCTCTATTAGTCCAGGGAACTGCATTTTTTCTCACCATTGTATCTCTAGTCTAGCACAGGGTGTCAAACATAGCAGGTTCTCAATAACTATTGAAAGAATGAAACTTCCCTTAGAAGTTTACTACTCAATTTGACATTCCCTTTAGCAGGCAATTTAATAGCTACCATATCAGACTTATATTACATATTTGAAAGTCCCAGACTGAGATCTCTAATTTCTATCTCCAGGCAGTCAGTTCTTGACACACCACTGAGTAAGATTCATGGAATAAATCTGACCATATTATATTCCCTTGACATCTTTCAAGTTCCTGATTTCTTTTAGGATAAAGTTCTTTATGATGCCATTCAAAGCTCTTCATGGTTTGGCCCCTATCTGGCTTTCTATTCTCAAGAGCAAAACTATAGACTTCTGGCCTTCTTCAGGGTGATCTTTCTCTTTCAATCATAGTCCCTCCCCAACCACTCACCAAATATCAGTTTTTAGAAGTCTTGTCTCTTGCAGGGAGTAGAGAGGGGGCAGTAATAGTTTATTCAGGGATTCCCCCATATCTTTCCTGGGTAAAGGTATTCTAGAAGGAGGCAGAGGAAGGAGGCTAGAGGTCCCACTGTTTGGCATTCAGGCTTTCACTTAATGCTCACTTTAGCCCTGCTTCACAGTCCCCTACTACCTACTGTGACTAATATTCTCAAGTCAAGAGTCTCTCCCATTCTAGAAAATAAATCAGGCTCCTGGGATGTGGTGATGGTGTTATAGGGGCATGTGTGGGTATGAGTGTGTGTGTATGTGTGTATGTGTGTGGGGTGGCAGTCCTTTGGTTATATGGGATTGGGGAATAGACCCAGGAATGTAGGTGTTCTTTATATAGGCTTTCACCCTTCCCTAAAATTTTCTGCCCTGATCCTTTCTAATTTTTTTGTGGAAAGAATTAGCTCTTTTAATTTATTTATTTTATTTTATTTTATTTCATTTTATTTTATTTTTTTGAGATGGAATCTTGCTCTGTTGCCCAGGCTGGAGTGCAGTGGTGTGATCTTGGCTCACTGTAACCTCTGCCTCCCAGGTTCAAGCGATTCTCCTGTCTCAGCCTACTGACTAGCTGGGACTACAGGCATGTACCACCATGCCAGGTTAATTTTTTGTATTTTTAGTAGAGACGGGCTTTCACCATGTTAGCCAGGATGGTCTCCATCTCCTGACCTCGTGATCTGCCTGCCTCAGCCTCCCAAAGTGCTGGGATTACAGACGTGAGCGACTGCGCCCGGCATCTTTTTATATTTTTAAAAGGTCACATGTATGTCCTTTCCTGTGAACTGTTTATATTCTTTGCCAAAGTGCTGGGATTACAGACATGAGCCACTGCACCTGGCCTTACCTCTTCTTTTTTTCTTTAATCACCTGTGGAGGCTTTTAGATTGTGCCTTTTGCTGTCAAGTCTACTACTACTCTTCCATCGGCTTGTCATACAACCATTTGTTGAAATTTCTTTTGTATTTTGTTTGCCTTTTGGGCTCTACACTTTTTAAAAATTTATTTAGCTGTCAAAGAGATGACATACTGTGTATGGTTAATTTTCCATGTATTCTGGAGTTCTAATATATTTTCATGGTTTTTAAATGTTTAGTTCTTTAATCAAGTTGGAATTTTTAAAATATATATGAAGTAGGATGCTAATTTAAAACTTTTCCTCCAAATGGATATCCATCCAGTTGTCTCAACATCATGTATAGAAAAAACAAATTGAAAATGCTATCTTATCATATTATTTACTAAATTTACATGCATATACATATACATACATAACATATATCTGAGTTTGAGTCTGAATTCACTACTGTTTCAATTGCTGTAGTTGGTCAATTCTAGTATGACAGAGTTTTAATTGCTACAGTTTTGGAATGATTATGGGGTTACTTTTGAGACAGGGTCTGGCTATCTTGCCCAGACTGGTCTCAAACTTACCGGCTCAAGCAATCCTCCCATCTCAGCCTCTTAAAGTGTTGGGATTATAGGTATGAACCACTGCACCTGGCCCTGGATTGCATTTTGACTGTGGCCATAGAAGTTTCCACTCAGATCTTCAAGAGAACCTACTCTGGGGACTACAAGTGACTGACAGCCAGCTGCCACCCCTTTGGAACTACCATGCATTCATGTCAATGCCACATATCTCTGGAGTCGCCCCCAGCTAGTGGCTGAGCACAGCAGGAGTACTAAACTTGTTCTTTCTTGCCCAGTGCAGAACTCCTCTAACGGGCAACTTTGGCTTGGGGAACTTCTCATCAGCCTGGATGAGACTATCTTAGAACTACAGTGTAGTCGAGGCTCTTTCTACCCAATATTTCCTTCTCTTCTTTTTACAGAAGTCAGACCTGCACCACAGTCTGAAGTCTCTCTGCCAATTCCTGAGCCTTCCCACTTTATCCTTCACAAACATTTCCCCCAATAAATATCTTGCATGTCTAATCCCTTCTTGGCATCTGCTTCTCTGAGGACCAGAACAGACAGGTGGTTTACCAAGTGGTGCAAGAAAACAGATAGTAAGATGGGTTTTGGGCAATGGCTTACTTGGTCCCTGGCACAAAGCAGCCATCTGAGTCCTGATTTAGCCAGCAGTGACCTAGGAAAACATCCCAGAGAAGGGAAATCCTCTTGCTCGTGCAATTTAGGCATTTAAAAGATATGGGGAATACGATGCCTACAAAGAAAGCAGAGCTGGCCAACTGTTACTAAGACAAGTAATGCCTTGCAGATGGATAATGAGAAACCGAGAGCACTTAAACAGTTAAAGGCTAAGTGTGGGAGCCGGGGGCTTCTCTGGAGCTTAACAAACTTTTATTTCCTGCAGTGGAAGAGCAGAAATGGGATTGGATGGTCACAGAGCTCTAAAGATATTTGAATGCTCAGCCTAGGGAGATCCAGTATGTAGTCAGGGCGCTGGTTGGGGAAACCAGCCTGAAGCTTTGAAACATGGAATGGGTGCCCCTGAGGATTTTGGCTCTGTAGATACCTCTGGACACTCAAGAGCTTACAGAACTGGCTCATACTTCCTAGTAAGAGCAAGCACTTCCCTCATTACAGAAAGACCTCTTCCATAATTGTTCTCAGTTTTTCTCCTGGCTGCCAAGCCATGGTAACTGGAGTTAACATCTCAGCATAATCTGCCTAGGAACTGCTGGCCCTGATAAGAAAGGAAAGATTACACACCGAAGGAATTGAAATAAGTTACCATGACTATCAGGAGCCAGAGAAGTATACTTAGGATTGGATTTTAAGGGTGTTCAATTAAGGGGGCTGGAATTTAAGACAACATAAGCAAGACTTCATGGACTTGGGGTACTTTTTTGGGACAGATTTAACCTCAGCAAGTAGTCCCGAGGTTAGCTTTTCAAAGCCTGGAAAAGGTGATGGCTTTGAAAAAGTGGAAATGAATTCACACCATGGCAGCTTTTAACTTGAGGAGAAGATAGCTATTTATTTTGGCATATTTATGTGGTTACTGCTCACTTACTAGTCCCAATTGTTTTGTAACCACTTTTTATTTATTTTTTGAGATAGTCTCATTCTGTTTTCTAGACTGGAGTACAGTGGTGCAATCTTGGCTCATTGCAACCTCTACCTCTTGGGCTTAAGCCATCCTCCCACCTCAGCCTCCTAATTTTTGCATTTTTTGCAGAGATGGGGTTTCCCCATGTCACCCAGGCTGGTCTTGAACTCCTGGACTCAAGTCATCTGCCCATTTTGGCCTCCCAAAGTGCTGGGATTACAGGCGTGAGCCACCACATCGGGACTGTTTTTTTTGTTTTTTGAGATGGAGTCTTGCTCTTGTTGCCAAGGCTGGAGTACAATAGCACCATCTCAGCTTACTCCAACCTCCACCTCCCGGGTTCAAGCAATTCTCCTGCCTCAGCCTCCCGAGTAGCTGGGATTACAGGCACCTGCCACTACACTTGGCTAATTTTTATATTTTTAGCAGAGACGGGTTTTCGCCATGTTGGCCAGGCTGGTCTCAAACTCCTGACTTTGTGATCCGCCCACCTCGGCCACCCAAAGTGCTGGGATTACAGGTTTTAGCCACCATGCCCGGCCACCTGGCCTGTTTTATACCAATTTAAAGTGTTTTTTTAGGCTTCACATGGTGGTTCATGCCTGTAATCCCAGCACTCTGGAAGGCCAAGGTGGGAGGATCGCTTGAGCCCAGGAGTTTGAGATCAGCACCTGGGCAACAGAGCGAGACCTCACCTCTACTAAAAATTAAAAAAAAAAAAAAAATTAACCAGGCATGGTAGTCCATACCTGTAGTACCAGCTACTTGGGAGGCTGAGGCAGGAGGATCCCTTGAGCCTAGGAGTTCAAGGTTGCAGTAAGCTATGATTATGTCACTGCACTCCAGCCTGAGTGACAGTAAGACCCTGTCTAAAAAATAAATAGTGGTTTTTAGATGATCATCTGCAAATATTTTTGTTCTTTCCCTGTATCCCTTTTTAATCTCATCACATTGATTAGGACATCCAGAACACTGGTGATTCTTGTTTTGTTCCTGACTTTAATGGCCATGTTTCCAGTGTTGTATACATGTTCCTAATTTTTGATACATACCACTTGTGACGTTAAGGACATTTCCTGATATTCTAAACTCTCTAGGAAATGGATATTGAATTATTAAAAAAAAAAGTCTCTTTTTAGCCTGGGCAACATAGTGAGACCCAGTCTCTAAAAGAACAACAACAGCAAAAAATTTGCTGGCATGCTGGTGCATGCTGGCAGTCCCAGCACCTCAGCAGGCTGAGGCAGGAGGATCACTTCAGCCCAGGAGTTTGAGGCTACAGTGAACTATGATCCTGCCACTGCACTCCAGCCTGGGCAACAGAGCAAGACCCTGTCTCCAAAAAAAAAAAAAAAAAAAAAAGAAAAACAGGACCATTTTTTGCATCTGGTGACCATATGGTTTTCTCTTAATATTATGACAATTTATAACTGTTCTCATAAATGATAATGATCTATAAATTTTTATGTTTGCTTTTTTTTAATCATCTCTTCTAGGTTATGAGTCCTAGGCAATTGCATTAAATTTTATAACCATAGTATTAAAAAAACTATTTATAGTCAACAACTCAAGTTTGGTTTTCATGAAACACTGGGTATTTTTCAATGCTTCCCATCCCATGCAGGATAAAGTCAGAGTACTAAATCTCATATTCTAAACTCCCACACAATCTGACGTCTATTTACTGGCTTCTTCATCCATTAATAAAACTGTTCCTTCTCCACAAAGTGCCTTTCCCTTTATAATCGTCCTTTAAAGCCCAGCTCAAATACTAACTCTCTATATTGAAATCCAGTTCAAATTCCACTTCTTAGAAACCTTCATTTTTCCTTCTAGTTTACCTCTTCTCTTTTTATAGCATGACTTTTTAAAAACTTTCATTATAGTGCTCACCAACCTGCCTTTCATTAATTAGTAACTCTGTATTAGACTATATTTAAGTCCCTGAAGGAAACAAACTATTCCATAGCAGAGTACTGTGCTCCTAATAGGTAGTTTTAAAGTTTTTATTACATTAAAATTAATTTTGTAAATTTCTGTTATATTGAAGCCTCTTGCAATGATCTGAGATATGCTTTAGATGGCAAAACTGAGGTTGCTTTAAATATTACCTTTACAAAAGTCACTTATTACCAAATTGCCTTTTAGACCATTTTACCTGTCTGTTGGTTGATGACTTCATACTCATATTTAATGAGTCAGACATCTCTCTCTTTTTTGAGACACAGTCTGGCTCTGTTGCCCAGGCTGGAGTACAGTGGGACAATCATAGCTCACTGCAGCCTTGAATTACCGGGCCCAAGTGATCCTCCTACCTGAGCCCTCAGCCTCCCAAGTAGCTGAGATTACAGGTGCGCACCACCATGCCAGGCTAATTTTTTTATTTTCTGTAGAACAAGGTGTGACCATTTGGCCCAAGCTGGTACTGAACTCCTGGGCTCATGTGATCCACCCACCTTGGCCTCTCAAAGTGCTGGGATTACAAGCCACCACACCCAGGCCATCTTTAAACTATTTAAAACTATTTAAACTCTTTAAAACTATTTTGTCCATTGGCCAGGTATGGTGGCTGACGCCTGTAATCCCAGCACTTTGGAGGCTGAGGCGGGCAGATCACAAGGTCAACAGATTGAGACCATCCTGGCCAACATGGTGAAACCCCGTCTCTACTAAAAATACAAAAATTAGCTGGGAATGGTGGCGTGCAGCTGTAATCCCAGCTACTCGGGAGGCTGAGGCAGGAGAATCGCTTGAACCTGGGAGGCGGAGGTTGCAGTGAGCCGAGATCACACCACTGCACTCCAGCCTGGCAACAGAGCGAGACTCCATCTCAAAAACAAAAACAACCCTATTTTGTCCCTTTTAGTTTCTATTTATGTAACAGATCCTATTGTCCTCACAATCCTCAGCCTGAAATCCTTAGTCATAACTGCCGCTCTCTTCCCTCCACTTGCCACTCACTCCCCATTTTATCTGGGTTAAGTCCATCCATTATCCCTTATATTTGCTCTGCAACATCTTGGTATGTGCCCAGCCCACTTTTTCTGAATACACTCTCTTCTCAGAAGTGAGCTCTTGGTAATTTTCTGACCAGTTGCTTATACCAGGTTTAGGGTTACCAGATTTAGCAAATAAAAATATAGACAATTGTCTGACCAGTTGCTTATATCTGGCTTATGGGTACCAGACTTAGCAAATAAAAATATAGGACATTCAGTTAAATTATTTGAACTTCAGATAAACAAGGAATAATCTTTTAGTGTTACATGGGACCTACACTGAACATCTGTTTATCTGTAATTCCAATTTAATTTGGCATCATTATTTTATCTGGCAATCTCAGTCAGGTTTAACACCTTTCCCAAGCTGAGCTTGTCATTTCCTCCAAAAGAACACAAACCTATAAAGGACAGGTAACGTCCTGTGGGACAGCCATCCTTTGCCCTATGCTGAGAAAACAGGTTTGCAGAGAATAAAAACGAACAAATAAATAAACATTTAAAAAAGCAGTTGTGTGGAAAGAAGCACAAAAGAGAGGCCATGAGACTCCATAATTAAGCAGAGATGAACTGCCCTAGTTCTTAATGGCTTGTTAGTCCTCATTCCAGTCTTCCACAGGGTGTGACTTGGCTTCCATAAAATAAACTCACGGTCCCATGATCATTTTCCCTCTTTGCTTTAGCAAGAATCTTTAACTAAAACAACTCTCTTTTCATTTCCACTGTCTACCACTCTAGTCTCAACTCTCATGAGTCTGGAATTTTGCAAAAGCCTGATAAACTTGTCACATGATTCCAGTGTCTACCCATTCCTTGTAAGTAACCAAGATATTCTTGCCTGATTAAATGCTTTGAAAATATCATCTTAGGCCAGGCGCAGTGGCTCACACCTGTAAGCCCAACACTTTGGGAGGCTGAGGTGGGCGGATCACTTGATGTCATGAGTTCGAGACCAGCCTGGCCAATATGGTGTAACCCCGTCTCTACTAAAAATACAAAACTTAGCTGGGTGTAGTGGCGGGCGCCTGTAGTCCCAGCTACTCGGGAGGCTGAGGCAGGAGAATAGCTTGGACCCGGGAGGTGGAGGTTGCAGGGAGGTGGAGGTTGCAGGGAGGTGGAGGTTGCAGTGAGCTGAGATCACGCCACTGTGCTACAGCCTGGGCGACACAGTGAGACTCCGTCTCAAAAAAAGAAAAAAAAAAAAATATCATATTGTATTGGCCATCCCTTGTTTCATATTCGTTAATAAACTTTGCTACTTTGCTTTCTAATTTCGGTGAAGAACAAGCACAAGATTAAGGAGTAAGACTATGTGAAACTGGGTTATAAATTGAAAGGCTGTTGGCTGTTGTATCTTGTAAACAATTCAACGCAATGCCAAGTGAAAATGAAGTTGTTAGTCCCTCTATCTAGAATTCTTTCCCAAATAGCTGCATATCTTTTTCCTCTGCTTCATTTAAGTCTGTGCTGAAATGTTATCTACTCAGAGAAGACATTCTGGATCATTTCATATTAAATAGTAACTTTTATCACTCTATCTCTTTATCTAGTTGTTTTTCTTTAAGGTACCTACCACTACCTGACATGTTGTACAGTTAAGTTCTTACTTAATGTCTTCGATAGGTTCTTGCAAACTGTAACTCTAAGATAAACTACATAAAATGAAACCAAATTTACCACAGGCTAATTGATATAAACAAGAGTTAAGATCCTATGGCACATTTCTGGTAAAAAAAAAAAATTACCAAACTTGCAAATAAAGACCAAAACATTTCTGATGTTAAACACTGAAGTAAATGTGAGCTAGACAACATTCAAGAAAGATGAATAAAACAAGATGATTTATCAAATTACAACAGTTCAGGGTTTTGGGTGGTTGGAGCCCATCCTGGCAGTTCAGGGTGCCAGGTGGGAAGTGATACTAGACAGGACAGCCATCACATTGCAGGGTGCACTCACACACACATCCACACTCACTCAGACTGGGCAACAAGAGCAAAACTCTGCCTCAAAACAAACAACAAACAAAATAAAATAAATTATCCAGACTCAGGTATTTCTTCTTTCTTTTTTGAGATGGAGTCTCCCTGTGTCACCCAGGCTGGAGTGCAGTGGCATGATCTCGGCTCACTGCAACCTCTGCCTCCCAGGTTCAAGCGATTCTCCTGCCTCAGCCTCCTGAGTAGCTGGGATTACAGGCGTGCACCACTATGGCCGGCTAACGTTTGTATTTTTTTTTCAGTAGAGACGGGGTTTCACCATGTTGGCCAGGCTGGTCTCGAACTCCTGACCTCAGGTGATCCACCTGCCTCAGCCTCCCAAAGTGTTGGGATTACAAGCATGAGCCACCGCATCCAACCTCAGGTATTTCTTTATAGCAATGCAAGAATGGACTAATATACTCCTGCAGACGTGGGAAAAAGTGCAGACTCCACACAGACGGTAAGCCTGGCCAGGAATCAATGTTTTGTTTCCTTCTCAACAACATTTTAATGCAAATGATGTTGAAAAAAAAGTTATTCAAGGACCTGCTGTATCGTAATTTGCTATCAATTTCCAAACTCTAGAATATGAGCATTGGAACTTTAGCTGTTTTGTCTGTTTTTGTTATTTTGAGATGGAGTCTTGCTCTGTTGCCCAGGCTGGAGTACAGTGGCACGATCTCGGCTCACTGTAACCTCTGCCTCCCGGGTTCAAGTGATTCTCCTGCCTCAGCCTCCCGAGTAGCTAGAACTACAGGCATGTGCCACCACGCTTGGCTAATTTTTGTATTTCTAGTAGAGACGGGGTTTCTCCATGTTGGCCAGGCTGTTCTCAAACTCCTGGCCTCAGGTGATCCACCCGCCTCAGCCTCCCTAAGTGCTGGGATTACAAGTGTGAGCCACCGTGCCCGGCCTAACTTAGGTCTTTTATTTACTGACACATCCCCTGCATACCTTATAATGCCTGGCACATGTTAAATGATGAATAAAAGAATGCTATGCTTGGCTGAACTGAACTAAGAAAGATATTCATGTTTTCATTTTAGATCCAAGAATGTAAGATATTCTGTAATAGAAGAAAAAATGATTATATAAAAACTGTACTGTGATAGAACAGTAACTTATGGAGTATGTGTGTTCCTGTATCAAAACAAAAGTCATGGGAAAAAAAGTCTTACTTTTAAGTACTTGTATTGAGCTAACCACCAAAGATGGCATTCAGTTTGATCTGAGTCACTATAAATTAGTGTTTCCAGCATATAATATAGCCGTCATAGAAAAACTTCATTGGGGCCAGGCGCAGCGGCTCATGCTTGTAATCCCAGCACTTTGGGAGGCCGAGGTGGGCAGATCACAAGGTCAGGAGATGAGACCATCCTGGCTAACATGGTGAATCCCCGTCTCTACTAAAAAATACAAAAAAAAAATTAGCCGGGCATATTGGCAGGTGCCTGTAGTCCCAGCTACTGGGGAGGCTGAGTCAGGAGAATGGTGTGAACCCGGGAGGCGGAGCTTGCAGTGAGCTGAGAATGCACCACTGCACCCCAGCCTGGGCGACAGAGCAAGATGCCATCTCAAAAAAATAAGAAAAAATAAAATAAAAATACAAAAATTAGCCGGGTGTAGGGCACCTGTAATCCCAGCTACTAGGGAGGCTGAGGAAGGAGAGTTGCTTGAACCTGGGAAGTGGAGGTTGCAGTGAGCCAACATTGCGCCGCCGCACTCCAGCCTGGCAACAGAGTGAGATTCTGTCTCAAAAAAAAAAAAAAAAAAAAGAAAAGAAAGAAAGAAAGAAAGAAAAAGAAAAACTTCATTGGAAAGTAGGGAAAACTACCAACATTTAAATGAAGACAAAAATAAGAAAAGTTCAGACATAAAGTGTAGGCTCTTGGTTTAAGCAGAAATGGTGTTCTTTTGGTGGTTTGCAGTTAGTAAGCTGTATTTGTACTTTGTGTCAGTTCAGGTTTCTGGAGTTTGTTTAAGAACTGGCTTCATTTTCCATATTATTAGGAGTTGGGAGTTCCTTTGAAAAAGAAAACAGAAAATTTAAGAAAAACACAAATTGCAATTTTGAAATTCTACCATTAAGGATGATATCTTAAAATAAGAATTATGTCTTAGAAAGCAGAAGTGAGAATAAAAACTTTTGTTACTGTTATTAAATAATAGTCGATATCAAGTGTAGAAAGCAAATAAATTTAATCTTTCATTTTCAATTAATCTTTAATATTTCAGAAGTATATCAACATTGCCTAACATGCTATTTTACACACAATAGATATATAATCAATGTTTATTGACTTAAAAATCTTTGGTTTAGCCAGATAAATTTGTAATATTTTATGAACTAGTTAACCCTGAGTCATGAATTTACCTTTTTTTTTTTTTTTTCTGGAGACGGAGTCTTGCTCTGTCGCCCAGGCTGGAGTGCAATGGCGCAATCTCGGCTCACTGCAACCTCCATTTCCCAGGCTCAAGTGATTCTCCTGCCTCAGCCTCCCGAGTAGCTAGGATTACAGGTGCCTGCCACCATGCCCAGCTAATTTTTGTATTTTTAGTAGAGATGGGGTTTTACCGTGTTGGCCAGGCTGGTCTTGAATTCCTGACCTCATGTAATCCACCCGCCTCGGCCTCCCAAAGTGCTGGAATTACAGGCATGAGCTTCTGTGCCCACCATTTTTTTTTTTGAGATGGAGTTTTACTCTTTTTGCCCAGGCTGGAGTGCAGTGGTGCGATCTCAGCTCACTGCCACCTCTGCCTCCCAGGTTCAAGAGATTCTCCTGCCTCAGCCTCCTGAGTAGCTGGGATTACAGGCGCCCGCCACCACACCCAGCTAATTTTTGTATTTTTAGTAGAGATGGGGTTTCACCATGTTGGCCAGGCTGGTCTCGAACTCCTGACCTCAGGTGATCTACCCGCCTTGACCTCCCAAAGTGTTGGGATTACAGGTGTGAGCCACCATGCCTGGCCAGATATACCTACATTTTTATAAGATTTAAAATTTTTTTTAGAGATAAGAGTCCTGCTATGTTGCCCAGGCTGGAGTACAGTAGCTATTCACAGGTATGATTGTTGCACACTACAGTGTCGAACTTCTGGGCTCTAGTGACCTTCCCACTTCAGCCTTCCAAGTAGCTGGGACTACAGGCACGTACCACTGAGTCCAGTGTATTTTTATAAGATTTTAAAAAAGATTACACATTCTAAATTATGACGTCCACATACCATTTACTTTTCTGTGGAATTATAAGGTGATATTTTAAATGATGGGAATGAACAACTTGACATGTGTATCAGTAACCTCTAAACATCTATTTCAAACATCTATTAACCGAAAGTCATGATCCTTCAGCTCTTATACTAAGAACTTCCATACATTAGAGCAATACACATATTCAAATTGACCTAGTTCAATTTGATAAGTAAACAATTTTTTTTTTTTTTTTGAGACGGAGTTTTGCTCTTGTTGCCTGAGCTGGAGTGCAATGGCGCAATCTCGGCTCACTACAACCTCCACCTCCTGGGTTGAAGTGATTCTTCTGCCTCAGCCTCCTGAGTAGCTAGGATTACAGGCATGCGCCACCACGCCCGGCTAATTTTTGCACTTTTAGTAGAGACGGGGTTTCACCGTGTTAGCCAGGATGGTCTCGATCTCCTGATCTCATGATCCGCCTGCCTTAGCCAATAATCTTTCTGTTTAGGTAAATTTGAAAAATATACATCATTACTACCACATTCATCCTAGTTAGAATCTCATTTATATTTATTCCACTCTGTTTATGATTTGGTAACTAATTTGAAAGGCATTATATTATCAAAAGTGTATCAGATTAGCTCCCTCAACTCACTATATCTGTTAACAGTTCTGAAGAAATAGGCACTGGCTTTGAATATGGCCTGTTCCAGTTTGTGAACCGTTGTAGGCAAGTAAAGTTGTTGGGCACAGAGGTGACCTGTAGGATGACTGAAGGTAAACTGTCACTACTGTATACAAAGAAGAAAAATAAGATGTAGGAAGAGATCTGTTATAATAACATATGACATATTCTATCTAAGTTTTTCATATATTTCAGAATTGTAAAAACAAAACTATGTAATTTTTTCTAAGATGTATAAATGACTTACTTTTAATAATAAATATTTCTTGATTTATAATGTAAATACAATTAAACAAATATGGGTTACTCGAATTAAAAAAATGGCACATGTAAATGAGCATTTTAGTACAAATAATTAAAATGTATTTATATTATATAGAAATCTACACAATGGAAGATACTACTAAAATGTTGCTCTACAGCACATCACCCTAGACAAAATAGAATTCTAGAATTCTCTTTAAAAAAAAAAATCACTGAGAATTAGATGATGACTGTGAAATAGGTTCTCCCATTACAATACTACTTCTGTCATTCAAAGTTCTGACCACGGTTGTAGCTGGCGACTGAAGCACTTTTCGAGAAAGCCTCATTCTTCCATCGGCTGGGTCACGTCCAAAGTATTTCACCTGTGTTAAAGAAACAGATCTTCCTTTAAAGTTACAGCACATTGAGTGACATCTAAACTAATAGACATTTAAATTTACATGGTCCAAATAAGGCAATGATTGTTTTTACTTGTTCACTGAAAGCATTGTTCAGTGCTAAGTGGACGTATACACTTAACACATATAAGTAGTCATTATAAAAGAGAAAAGAGACGGGGCAGTTAGTTGTTCAACTATAATCTGCCGCTGAACTCATCTGTGCCTTTTTATTCTCACCAGGCCAAGTCCTTATACTGGGGGAACAGTCACAGGCATAGTGAATGATCCTAGACAAGGGCTTTGAGAGCCTAATTGTGTTATATACTATAGAGGATTATGCTTAGGTCACTTGGATTTTCACTACTGCTCAAAGGACCAACACATTAGTGTTTATTTGGCTTCACCTTGGAAAATGAAAGTCAGGGGCAAATGCAAAGGTTTAAAGTTCCTTCTGATGTGAAAACAACAACAACAACAACAACAACAAATAAACCAAAAAATCAACCTTATACAGAGATACTATATCTTAGCACTCATCTTCCCCTGGAGGCTACTTGGACAATAAGACTACACATTGGGAATAAACCAGAAGCCTTAGTTACTCAGGTCATGCGTATTAGCGTAAGTGAAAGACAATGTGGTGGAGCCCGAAAAAACAGACTGGCAATGACTTCTTTCATCCACTCATAAAGGACTACAAAGAAAGGGCCAATTTTGTTATATGAATTCTAGGCCTGAATAACATGGCTCTTACCAAGCTCAAAAACTTTAAGTAGTGGAGAAACAAAGTCTCACCTCCTCAAAGATGACATTCAAAGACTTTAACAAGTTACCTTATCACAGTTCTTACGTCAGTGCCCAAATCATGGAGTCTGCATAGCTAACACTAACATGCTCATGTATTTTTTAAACGAACTAAGGGTGACTACCATTTTGGCCAAGCTGCAAGCTCCTTGAGGGAAAGAATTGTGTCTTAAATCCTTAATGAGTCTGTTCAAGCAATTCTAAGATTAAAAATGAAGTACTGCATACAAATAAAAAACTTCATAGATGGTGACTCTTCTTTCAACTTTTTGAAAAAAACAATGGAAGCTTCAAGAACAATTTACAACTTCAAGGCTAAAAGGTGGAATACAAATACCTGAATTTCTTGGCCAACTTCTAATCCTAGGGCAGTAGGATGTTTAATCTGGAAAAAAAAATGTTAATCTATTAGTTGTTGTGCATAATTATGTAGTGTCCATGGAAGTACACATTTTTTCCTCAAGCTTTATTAGTTTTTCTGATTAAAAAAATCAGTTAGCGGCTGGGCGCAGTGGCTCAAGCCTGTAATTCCAGCACTTTGGGAGGCAGAAGCGGGCAGATCAAGAGGTCAGGAGATTGAGACCATCTCTGGAGGTCAGGAGAGTGAAACCCCATCTCTGCTAAAAATGCAAAAAATTAGCCGGGCATGGTGGCGGGCGCCTGTAGTCCCAGCTACTCAGGAGGCTGAGGCAGGAGAATGGCGTGAACCCAGGAGGTGGAGCTTGCAGTGAGCCGAGACCACGCCATTGCACTCCAGCCTGGGTGACAGAGAGAGAATCCGTCTCAAAAAAAAAAAAAAAAAATCAGCTGGGCATGGTGGCTCACGGCTGTAATCCCAGAACTTTGGGAGGCTGGGGCAGGCAGATCACTTGAGCTCCGGAGTTCGAAACCAGTCTGACCAACATGGTGAAACCCTATCTCTACTAAAAATACAAAAACTAGCTGGGTGTCGTGGCACACGCCTGTAGTCCCAGCTACTTGGGAGGCTGAGGCAGGAGAATTGCCTGAATCTGGGAGGCAGAGGTTGCAGTAAGCTGAGATTATGCCACTGCATTCCAGCCTGGGCGACAGAGTCAGACTCTGTCTCAGAAAAAAAAAAAAAAATCAGTTAATTATAAAGATTTAAAATACAGATGTATTAAGAACATAAAAATTATCCAAAACAGGCTGGGTACAGTGGCTCACACCTGTAGTCCCAGAACTTTGGGAGGCCGAGGTGGAAGGACTGCTTAAACCAGACTGGGCAACGTGAAGAAACCCCATCTCTACAAAAAATCCAAAAAAATTAGCCGGGTGTAGCGGTTTGTGCCTGGGGACCCAGCTTCTCCAGAGGCTAAGGTGGGAGAATCACTTGAGCCTGGGAGGCTGAGGCTGCAGTGAGCTGTGATCATGCCACTATACTCCAGCCTGGGTGACAGAGCAAGACCCTGTCTCAAAACCCTCTCAAGTTGTAGATAACTACTGCTAACATTCCAATGAGTATCCCTTCAGATGTCTACTTAGTGTATGTGTACGGCATTTATAAAAATGGACCCTCTGTGCTTACTGTATATCTTAAGGACATCTTTTTTTTTTTTTGAGATGGAGTCTCGCTCTGTCATCCGGGCTGGAGTACAGTAGCATGATATCCGCTCACTGCAACCTCTTCCTCCCAGGTTCAAGAGATTCTCCTGCCTCAGCCTCCAGAGTAGCTGGGATTACAGGTGCACGCCATCATGCCCAGCTAATTTTTTCTATGTTTAGTAGACACGGGGGTTTGCCATGTTGGCCATGCTGGTCTCAAACTCCTGACCTAAAGTGATCCGTCCACCTTGGCCTCCCAAAGTGCTGGGCTTACAGGCGTGAGCCACTGCACCTGGCCCAAGGACATCTTTTCATATCAATAAATTAAGAATTACCGTTAAGTTTCAAACTATATAGTTTATTTAAACAATCACCTAAAGACAATAAATTGCTTTAAATTCCAGTGTTGCAAATGTTAATGACTGATGAATATAGGAGAAAGATATATGAGGGTTTAGTGTATCATTCTTTCAACTTCTTTGTACATTAAAAACTTTTCAAAATAATAAGGTGAAAAAAAATAAGTTGCAGTGTAGCACAAATCATGAATTCATCTACTCTAATTATCCTCTCCAAATAAAATCCTACAATGTCTAGGTCCATAGACATTTACCAAACACCCTCTAAAAAGTTTGTCCCAATTCACACCCCCATCAACAGTGTATGAAAATGTCCATCTTTTCTCTTATACACACTGAGAATTTTAAACTATCTGAAAGTTAAAACTGATATCTTAATTTCATTTGCATTTCAAAAATTGCTGTTGATATTAAATATCTTGGTTGGCTTTTTATAAAAATAATTTGTTCATGTTCTTTACTTATTTTTCTATTGATATTCATCATTCTTACGGATTTATAAAAGCCCTTTGTAAATTAAGCTTCTGCATATAAGCATTTTTACTTTAGGTTGCTGATTATCTCTTAACCTTATTGAAATTTTTGCCATATAATTAAAAAATTATGGGGTCAAATTTTGTAAGTTTATTTACTTTTTTGGCTTTGATATCATGTTGAGGAGTTCTCCACTACTAATCTTATTAAAACATCCAATTTTCTTCTAGTAAACCCTCCTGCCCCAACAAGATTATCTTTTCCTACCACCTTTTTTAAAAAGCACATTTAGCTCTTTGATCCAGACAGGATTTAGGTATAAAAATGAGTAGAGATCCTGTTTTAAGATAACCAGCTGTACCAATATAATTTATTAAATAATCTTTATTCACTGACTATAATACAACTTCTAGCGTATATTATAATCCCATGTATATTATTTCTAGTTTTTGTTTTCTTGTTGCATGGATTATCTATTTCTGGGCCGGTAATATACTATTTTATTGTCTATGGCTTTATAATATATTTTAATATATGGTAAAACAGACACTCTTTTTTTTTTGAGACAAAGTCTCACTCTGTCGCCAGACTGGAGTGCAGTGGCACAATCTTGGCTCACCGCATCCTCCGCCTCCCGGGTTCAAGCGATTCTCCTTCCTCAGCCTCCCGAGTAGCTAAGACTACATGCGCACGCCACCACGCCCAGCTAATTTTTGTATTTTTAGTACACACTGGGTTTCACCATGTTGGTCAGGATGGTCTCCATTTCTTGACCTTGTGATTCACCCGCCTCGGACTTCCAGAGTGCTGGGATTACAGGCATGAGCCACCCTGCCCAGCCAATTTTTCTTTATGCTAAACAATGTAAAACTTTTTGCCAGCAGCATCTCTGCCACTTGTTTTCTCTGTTTAGGCTAGTAGTAGGCAAAGTGTATAATTCTTACCAACCTAGGTAATTTCAATACAGTGTTTCAAGGCAGTTATAAAAATAATAACAATAACATCTGTCTTTTTACCTTTCGTTGATCAAGTTGTGTGTTATGAAGCAGTACCGCAGTCATATTTGGATATAATTTTACCATTACACCAGTATCTCTACAAAAAAATAAATAGTAAGCCTGGTTAAAATAATAAGTATCTGTATATCCATTGACAAATAAAACATTGTTTTCATATGAGGAAAAAGTAAAAAACGAAAAGAAACAATTCTAGCACGTTTTTAGAACTATAAAAAGTATACTTTTCAACTGAAAATATACCCTATAAATAAATATGTGTGAATCAAAGAATGAAGAAAAGATAAAGAAAAAACATGCAATAGAAAAGCTTTTAGAGCCAGGTGCGGTGGCTCACACCTGTAATCCCAGCACTTTGGGAGGCCAAGGTGAGCAGATCACGAGGTCAAGAGATCAACTCCACCCTGGCCAACATGGTGAAACCCCGTCTCTACTAAAAATATAAAAATTAGCTGGGCCTGGTGGCGCGCACCTGTAATCCCAGCTACTCAGGAGGGTGAGGCAGGAGAATTGTTTGAACCCGAAAGGCGGAGGTGGCAGTGAGCCGAGATCGTGCCACTACACTCCAACCTGGCAACAGAGTGAGACTCCGTCTCAACAAAAAAAACTTTTAGAATATATGTTCTTCTGTATTTCTCTTAACAATTTCCAAAAACATTTTTTTTTTTTTTTTTTTTTGCCACCCAGGCTGGAGTGCAGTGGTGCCATCTGGGCTCACTGCAACCTCCGCCTCCCAGGTTCAAGTCATTCTCATGCCTCAGTCTCCCAAGCAGCTGGGATTACAGGCATGTGCCACCATGACCAGCTAATTTTTGTATTTTTAGTAGAGATGGGGTTTCACGAAGTTGGCCAGGCTGGTCTCGATTTTCCAAAAATTTTCGAAATGACATTAAATATTTTAAAAATAGTATAGAATCTCATATGATTAACCTGTAAGGTAAGGATTTAAGGAAGGTGGTCAGGTAAAATGGAATACTTATTTCATTAAAAAACTAATCTTCCCTTTTTTCTCTAATCTATGAAAATAAGCCATCCCATTTCTTATTTTTCACCTGCAATATTAAACAAATTATCTCCTTGCCTTTTATTTTATTTCAAATAGCTTTGAACATTTTTGCTACATTTGATAATTTCCTTTTTCTTAAAAGAGGGATTTTCTTATCCTAAAAAAACAAGCTCTTCTAGCTGGTCAAAAAAAATGCTTTGAGACTGAAATTGGCTTTTTTTTTTTTTGAGATGGAGTCTCGCTCTGTCGCCCAGGCTGGAGTGCAGTGGTGCGATCTCATCTCACTGCAACCTCTGCCTCCCGGCTTCAAGCGATTCTCCTGCCTCAGCCTCCTGAGTAGCTGGGATTACAGGCATGCACCACCATGCCTGGCTAACTTTTGTATTTTTAGTAGACATGGGGTTTCACCATGTTGGTCAGGCTGCTCTCGAACCCCCCACTTCCTGATCCACCTGCCTTGGCCTCCCAAAGAGCTGGGATTACAGGCGTGAGCCACCATGCACAGCCGAAATTGGATTTAAAAATATGTGCCAATTAAGCATTCAGATATGTTTAAAATAAGCCATCAAAAGAAAAAAAAAGAAATAAAGAAATATTGCTAAGTCTATTTTGGGCCTATTTAATATTTACTGGGAAAATTAATTTGGGGTTTCACCAATTACTAGTAGAAAATTTGGTTAAAGAATTCAGTTGGCCGGGCGCGGTGGCTCAAGCCTGTAATCCCAGTACTTTGGGAGGCCGAGGGGGGCGGATCACAAGGTCAGGAGATCGAGACCATCCTGGCTAACAAGGTAAAACCCCGTCTCTACTAAAAATACAAAAAATAATTAGCTAGGCGTGGTGGCGGGCACCTGCAGTCCCAGCTACCGGGGAGGATGAGGCAGAATGGCGTGAACCCGGGAGGCAGAGCTTGCAGTGAGCTGAGATCGCACCACTGCACTCCAGCCTGGGTGACAGAGCGAGACTCTGTCCCAAAAAAAAAAAAAAAAAAAAAAAAGAATTCAGTTAAGAGAACCTATCATAATTAGAACCACAGAACTGCTACTTTAATTTTATAAAATGATATAGAAAACAAAATATACTATACCTTAAAAAATAATGATTATATGGCAATTGGCATGTAATCTAAACACCTTATGATTTCAAAGTAAATGTAAAATTAAATTGGGATTATAATAGGAATCTGTTAAAAACCAAAACAGGGCTGGGCACGGTGGCTCATGCCTGTAATCCTGGCACTTTGGGAGGCTGAGGCAGGAGGATGGCTTGAGGCCAGGAGTTTAAGACCAACCTGGGCAACATAGTGAGACCATGTCTTTACAAAAAAATTAAAAAATCAGCCACGTGTGGTGGTGTGTGCTTGTAGTCCTAAATAGGAGGCTGAGGTGGGAGAACTGCCTGATCCCAGGAGTTCAAGGCAGCTGTGAGGTACAATGGCACCACTGTATCCCACTGTGGGTGGCAGGGTGAGACCCTGTCTCTAAAGAAAGGAAAATGCTCAGCATAGTATATTACTTGATATTACCTGATTTCAGTTATTGTGGCGGTATATACTGCTCCAAATTCTAATTGCTGCTCCTGCTGTAAGTGCAAAATAAGCCATAAGATTCATAAAGAAAACATCAACAAAAAGTAGAAAAAACAAATATAGCTATATGATACGTAATTAATATGATCTATACTTACATCATCCTTGCAGATTTCAGTAATGAAGTCTCTTGCCTCATGCATAGCACTGGGTGTTGGTGCAAATACAGAAAACGTTTCTTCATCCACCTGACTAATAGTTACACCTTTTAAAAACAAAATGTAACATATTAAAGTTAACTTGGCTGGGCATAGTGGGTCACATCTGTAATCCCAGCACTCTGGGGGGCTGAGGTGGGAGGATCACTTGAGCTCAGGAGTTCAAGGCCAGCCTGGGCAACATAGGGAGAGCCTGTTACTACAAAAAATAAATTCAAAAATTAGCTGGACCTGGTAGCATGTGCCCACCTACTTGGGACTCACAGTCGGGAGGATCACTTGATCCCAGGGGTCAAGGCTGGAGTTAGCTGTGATTGTGTACTGCACTCCAGTCTGGGTGACAGAGCAAGGCCCCATCTCAAAAAAAAAAAAAGTTAACTTGCTCATTCCAGTGGAAACTCGTCTTAAAAATAGATGTGAGAATAGGAGGGACCTATTAGTAGCTGGGTGGAGTTATGCTGTATTTAATCATTACTTTAGGAATGAAGGAATTCATTCATCAACAAATACACTCTGCATACTTGCTAGGTACCTGGCATTATACTAGGTAGGCCCTGGGGATACAATGGTGAGCCAATATGCTTGATTTCTTGAAATTCACCATCTAGTGAAATCAAATATATCTATACAAATTTTGGAGAGTCTGGTTCTGCTCTCTTAATTACGAGTAGAAACTATAATAGAACCCTTTCCTTACTTTTTTTCTTTCTCCCGCTTACTCTTACGAGGGGTGAATAAATGAATAAGGGACAAAATCACATCAGTTTCTCAGTGTTAGCAAATGGCTAAGGTGACAGTGCTTCTCACTCTCTTGCAGTAACCTCAAACCTTGAAGTACGAGGTAATTCAAACATTGCTTCAGGAAAAATAAATTAAAGCTTTTTTTTATATACTCTTTAAATAAAAGAGTTAAAATAAAACTAAGTGAAAGTAGCAGAATAAAAAGAAATAACTAAGTAATAATTCCTCTAAAGTTAAAAACTAAAAATTATTCTAGATGTTCAACTATAAAATGTTGCAAAAAAGTCCTGATGAATTCTTTGTAATCCTTCTTGAATTTAGTTAAGAATGACCATTTGCTAATTTATTAATAGGCACACAGAAAACTCACAGTCAAGACACGTCATATCCTTTTCTCCTGGTCTTTCTCTCATTTCTCAAATAAATATATATTTAAAGCAACATACTAGAGATGAAATAGCAAACTTTTATGGTCTAGCATTTAATTAAAAAACCCCAAACTTCATACAACTCTTACCTGTTTCAGCCTGAAGTTTTTTTAAGTTATAGCCACCAGGTCCAACAAATTTTGCTCGTTTTGATAATGGAACCTGAACAGTTTCTGGAACGTAATACAGACAAATATATAAACAATTCAACTACATACATGAACCTAAAACATGCCATGGTCACTTGAGATTTTTTTTTTTTTTGACCTAGACACATGTAAAAATATTTTACTATAAAACAGAAAAGTAGATGATTAAAATTACTGAAAACTGTTAAAGAATATTCCCTA